>NC_000012.12:130111995-130413619 GCF_000001405.40 Homo sapiens | reverse complement strand
GCTCTGTCACCCAGGCTGGAGTACAGTGGCACCATCTCAGCTCACTGCAACCTCTGTTTCCCAGGTTCAAGTGATTCTCCTGCCTCAGCCTCCCGAGTAGCTGGGAACACAGATGCGCGCCATCACACCCAGCTAAATTTTTTTGCATTTTTAGTAGAGACAGGGATTCACCATGATAGCCAGGCTGGTCCCAAACTCCTGATCTTAAGTGATCTGCCCGCCTTGGCCTCCCAAAGTGCTGGGATTACAGGCCGTGAGATCCAGCCTTCTGAGAGGAGAGGAGCCTTGTGAGTCTCAAGTAGGGAAAATGAGAGAAAGTGTGCTGTTCAGTAGGAGAGGGGAAAGAAAGAGGGCCTTGAACCCTGTTTGCAGTTTCAGCAAGGGTCCTGACAGTTGGCATTTGAGAACGGTCGGAATGCCTGCTATGTGGCACTATCTTGTTACGTAGGAACCCATTTCAGGCAGACAGAAACACCACTTTGTGCAGCCTACCTGGTCCTTCTTGGTAGAGTGGGGTCTCATCACACACCCTTTTAATGTGCGTGAATTTAAATAACATGCATTCATCCAAGCAAACACCCTGCCTGATGAGAAGAATGGCAGGTTGTCCAAACACTAGATGAAAAACTGGCTCTTAAGTCAGAGTCATAGAGCGAGGGTTACATGTACACATCCACAGCACACACGTGGGTGACCTATGCAGGTGATTTATGGTATTTTTAAACTATATTTAAAATATATTTTCGACTACACTCACTTACCGTCAGTGGGACTATTGTATTTCTGAACCAATCAATTACAGTGCTTGATTTATTTTCCCCCTTGGCTCTAGGTTTATGGTGATAAAGACGCTGATGGATTCTACCGTGGGGAAACCTGTGCCCGGCTTGGCCTTATTCCTTGTAACATGGTCTCTGAGATACAAGCAGATGATGAGGAGATGATGGATCAGCTTCTTAGACAGGGCTTTCTCCCTCTGAATACACCTGTGGAGAAAATAGGTAAGCGCAAACCCCTATTCGACCTTCCCTGTGCATTTTATCCCACAAAACACCTGCCGCTCAGAGAGGCAGGCGGTGATGAGGAGACCCCAAATTGCATCATTTAAATATGCCAAAGTCATGTAAATGTTGACCAGTGATTTTTCTTGGGCAAAAGCCACCCTACGAACCAGGACTGCCAGTAGTCTCCTGTGTGCTTTAGGGACACAGATACACCTAAGTGTGAAGACACAGATGATCTAATGGGCGATGAAGTACCGTCTTGCTTGCAAACAATTTATCGCATCTAGAAAACACATGATTAGCTGCTTTCTGGTAATACGGTTTGAACATCAGCCTGTCTACAATAAATTTCAGTGGGTGGTTGGGGGGCCGCTATGCCTTTCATTCTTTAGGTGACCTTTGCTTATCCAAGAGGCACAAGCTCTTTTCTCTTTAGTTTGGGTAGACATGAAACTCCTTCATTTATCTTAAGCCAGTCTGCAAGCACCAGTGAGAATGCAGCAAAACTATTTTCAGTGATTTTTTAAGCAACATTACATTTATGAGTTTTAAATTTTTTTCCACGTGCAATAACAATGTCCTCATTAAAAAAAGCCTCTGTAGTCTCAAAAAAAGCCTCTGCTTTTTCTAAAAAGCTGTAGAGAGATATCAGTTTTATATCATTCATATTTAAGGTTTAATACTTCAAAACTTGATTAGCTTCTAAATCAGACTTCAAAGACAAAATTCTGTGCTTCAAAGAATATACATAATTTTAAGGATAATCACAAAATCAAAACATTTCAACCTTTTTTGGCATTAATAAACGCATTGTTTCAAGACAGAATCCACATCTAATAGTCGAAGTTTAGTGTGAATATATCGCCCACATTAAATCCATGAGATCGAAGATCTTTGAGCCCTTTATCCCCTCTACTCACTTTTGTTAAGATCTCCTTTCCCGAAGTTGACTAAGACTCTTTCAAAGAGAGCACAGGCCCTGTACACCACAGACCCAGAAAGTATACAAGAATTTCTGTTAAGGAACGGTAACTTGATTTATCAGTTAGATTAAAATTTTTTATGCTATTTTTCTAAATGTCGATGGCCAAGGGAACCTAGCCTGATATATCTATGTGCCCCCTGCCGCATTGCCAGAAACTATCATCCTTAATGGTGAAAGGCTGAATGTGATCCTCCTAATACCAGGCACAGACAAGGATGTCGGCCCTCACCACTCCTTTTCCACATCATACTGGAGGTCATAACCAGGGCGACATGGTGAGGGGAAGTCACACCTGGTGTACAGACTGGAAATGAAGGAATACAACTTTTTCTGTTCACAGATGACATGGAAATCTACTTAGAAAATCTCAAGGAATCTCAAAGGATAAAAAAGTTCCTAGAACTAACAAATGGAGTGTAGCAACATCAATGGATACAAGGTCAATATACAAAAATCAGTTCTATTTCCATATGTGAGCAATGAAAATTTAGAAATTAAAATTTTTAAAAGTAGTGCCGTTTACAATGACACAACAAAACATGAACTACTTAGCATTAAGTCTAACAAAACACGTGCAGTATTTGTATGCCGAAAATCAGAAAACACTGAGGAAAGAAATCAGATACCTAAATACATGGACAGAGAGATCATATTCATGGACTTAATATTGGTATGTCAGCTGCCCCAAGTGAGCCTACAGATGCAGTGCAAGACCATTCGAAATCTGTGCTGGGATTTATGTAGAATCAACAAGCTAATTCTAAAATGTATATGGAGAGGCAAAGGAACTAGAGTAGCCAAAACTATTTTTAACAAGAACAAGAAGCTTGGAAGATTCACATAAGCTAATTGCAAGCTTACTACTATAGAGGTATGCTAATCGAGACAACGTGGTATTGGAGAAAGGATAGAAACATAGATTAATGGGGCAGAATGAAGTCCAGAAACAGACCAACACATATGGAGTCCACTGATTTTGGACAAAGGTAAAAAGGCAATTCAACGGAGAAAGGATGCTCTTTTCAATCATTGGTGCTGACATTACTGCACATCCATATGCCAAAATGAACCTTAACCACACTCTCACCATATTAAAAACTTAAATAAAAATGGATCATAGTTTCAAGTATAAAAATTAAGACTCTAATATTTCCAGAAGAAAACACAGGAGAAAACTTTATAATAATCAGGCAACGATTTCTTTGACAGGACATTAAAACATGATACATAAAAGGAAAAAGTCAATGTTAGGCTTCACCAAAATTAAATACTCTGCACTTAAAAAGTGCAGAATAAAAAGCCACAGGCTGGCAGAAAATCCTTGCAAGTAAAACCCACTGGAAAAAGGATTTGCATTCAGAATACACAAAGACCTTTCAAAACTCATCAATAAGAAAACAACCCAATAAAAATATGTACAAAATATTTAAGTGACCTTTCGCCAAAGACGATATGTGGGTGGCAAATAAGCACATGAAAAGATCTTTAACATCATCAGTGAAACACAAATTAAAACCACCCTGAGAAACCAATGCACACACACTGAGAATGGCTAAGATTAAAACGGCTGGCCGTCGCAGGTGTGGGCACAAAGTGTGCCAGGTGGGCCTGTGCATGCTGGTGAAAGTGGAAAATGGCATCACCGCTCTGCAAAACAGTTCGCTGGTTTCTTGTAAAGTTATATGTGCACTTACAATACAATCCAACAACTTCCCTCTTATACACTTACTCAGAAGAAAGGGAAACTTACGTTCACACACAAAAAAACTGTACATGAATGTTTGTTAATAGTGGTTTGACCAACGGTCATCAAAATCTGGAAACAACTCAGGTGCTTTTAGCTGGTGACAGAAACAGAACGAAGGCGCCCCACACAATGGGGCCTACTCAGCAATGGAACAGAGCCACTGCTAATACAGCCAGTGACAGGGGTGAATCTCAGAGGCGTCATCCAGATGAAAGAAGCCTGTCTCAAAAGCTACATTCTGGGCCGGGCGCAGTGGCTCACGCCTGTAATCCCAGCACTTTGGGAGGCCGAGGTGGGCGGATCATGAGGTCAGGAGATTGAAACATCCTGGCTAACACGGTGAAACCCCGTCTATACAAAAAAATACAAAAAAATTAGCCGGGCGTGGTGGCGGGCGCCTGCAGTCCCAGCTACTCAGGAGGCCGAAGCAGGAGAATCGCATGAACCCGGGAGGCGGAGCTTGCAGTGAGCCGGGATCGCGCCACTGCACTCCAGCCTGGGCGACAGAGCGAGAGTCCATCTCAAAAAAAAAAAAAAAAAAAAAAAAAAAAGCTACATTTTGTATGAGTCCCTTTTAGTGACATTCTGGAAAGGGTCAAGGTCTGGGACAGGAAACAGATCTGTGGTCATCTGGGCTGAAGTGACTACAGAGGACTATGGCCGGTCTATATCTTGATTGTTGTGGGGTTTCTGGACTGTGTGTGCTTATCACAACGTAAAGTACTGCACGCTGGGAAGAGTGAGCCTTCGTGTATGTAAGTTTGACTTCAGTGAGAAGTACATGTATGTTGTTATGCCACCTTTCAAAAGTCATACTTGTAACATTCCCTGTAACATGAATAATGCTGAGAAACACGAACCTCTGGAGGAGACACACATGTGCAGGTCCTGCAGAGGACACATGTGCACAGAGGCGTGTGTGCGTCCTGTAAACTACAGCAGTGGCTCCTAACCAGAACCCAAGGGGAGAGTAATCGCTGGAATGTTGCAGGGCTACACAGCTGGCCCCTGTACCTGCTGAAAACCACTGAAAAGCCACATCGCTGACTTTAGTTGCCGTTGAGATATTTGCCTTTGATAGTTTTCATCTGTATGTTTGGAATTCCCCAAATCAAATGTAAGCAAAAAGTGGCTGTGTTTAGAAGAAACACATAAATGCCAACTTTCGCCAGGAGGAAAGTCCTTCACAGCCCCACCCCTTCAGTCTGACAGGGGTTTCGTGATTGGGCCAGGTTCTGCGGCTCTGCACTGAGGCCTCCTTACGTCCTGAGAGTGTTCACCTGTTATCTGTGTGGAGCGCTCACGCTGGGCAGAGCCTAGGGCAATTCCTCTGCAGCCCCTTCTTATGCTTCTGAGTGTGCTGGGATGATGCCCAGGCCCCGATCTGTGGCAGAGACAGAGCCAGGCCGTGGGAATGCACCTCTAAGTCGACTGTGCAGAGCTGGGATCTTCTCTACGGCCGCTGCTAAACCACAATGGAAGGATGCCAGGGAAGCAGCATGAGGGAAGCCACTGGGCTGGGTGGAGAAGGCATCCCTGTTTATGTTCGTGCTTCTCCTGAGGACAGTGCCTTAGTTTTGCCTATGCTTAGGGGAGCATGACTTGATTTTGTAGCGCCACCATAGTTACACAAACAGGCACTTTTAAAACTGTGTCTATGGGGCCTTCCCAGAGCAATGTCACAACCGTGCACTCTGCAGGGCCTCCCAAGCCACGGCCTCCCCGTGCTGGCCAAAGCCGTCTAAATTTGCTGTTCGAGAGCCCCGTGCTTCATGTGAGTCTCACTGGTTTAATGGACAGACTGGAGGAAGGAAAAGGTTCATGTTAGTCTAAGGGGGAGAAACCATACTACAGCAAAAATATAAGAATATGGAGTCCCAGACCACTGACCCAAAGTAGAGACGTTTGCTGATGTGAGTGCCCAGGAGCACGTGGCCCTGTTAGCAGTGCCAGGTCTCGGCTGTATTGGCCATGTGTGACCCGGAAGGAGGGGAACACCGCTAAGTTTGAAATAACCTCATGATGGATTTCTTTCCCCCTTGTGATCTGAACAGAGAGAAGCAGGAGAAGTGGCAGGCGTCATTCGGTATCGACGCGGAGAATGGTGGCCCTGTATGACTACGACCCCAGAGAAAGCTCGCCCAACGTCGATGTCGAGGTACCAGCCAAACACTGCACTTCATGACGGACACAACCACACCCTTCCCTTCCCTCGTGGTACACCACACTGAGGCCACGTGTGTTCACCTCCTCATTCCTTCTCTCCGAACCATCCGTAGGAAGGGCTGCCGATCCGAGGGATGGCTGATACAGACATGGCCACGCAGGAGAGAAATCATGGGATTCCCAGGGACATGGCCAGCCCCTGACAAGCCCTGTCCCCATGGCCCAGATTTTCCTGTGCCATGACAGAAAGAACAATCTGTCATCCACATCTAATGGTGATGCCACCTGAGGGCCATCTTTAGGAGAGAAATAAAAGCCCATCACATGTGGTCAGCAAACAAAAGCAAAGCAGTCAGGCCCCACACATAGAACAGTAGAGAGGAAACCAGTGATAGGTGAGGTTGTGTCGCCTGGCACAGCTTGGGATGCCTGGTGTCTTGAAGGCTGAAACCACTGCCTTCAGAAATGAGAGGTGGGGTCTCCAGTCTCTGCAGCTACTAGCTGAGATGACAAGATGTATGTGAACCCATGTTACACAGTACTTTGCTCTGACAAGCCACTGGCTCACCAACTATATTCCCTCATTTTGACATTTAGAAAGAAAATGTGTTTGGTTGTGAATATTGTCTAGATTTCTGCTTCCATGTTCTGCTGGGTGACTGGGAACTGAAATGTGCTGGGTCAGTTGGACCCCTGAGGGCAGTGGGGCGTGTTTGACACCGCCTGCTTTGGGGCTGCAGCCCGGCCCATCGTAGACACTGAATAAAGAGATGTTTAGGCTGGGTGCGGTGGCTTACGCCTGTAATCCCAGCACTTTGGGAGGTGGGCAGACTGCTTGAGATCAAGAGTTCAAGACCAGCCTGGGCAACATGGCAAAACCACATCTCTATAAAAAATATAAAAATTAACCAGGCTTGGTGGCACACACCTGTAGTCCCAGCTGCTCAGGAGGCTGAGGCAGAACAATTGCTTGAACCCGAGAGGCAGAGGTTGCAGTGGGCCGAGGTTGCACTGCTGCACTCCAGCCTGGGCAACACAGTGAGATTCTGTCTCAATAAATAAATAGATGTTTCATTAATAATTGAGTAGGTTTTAAAATACTCAGTGAAAGGATATTTACGTAATGGTCCTTATACTGCAGAGAACATTTCCCTAATATTCCAGGTTTTTACAATTAACCATTTCACTAGCTTTAAAAATGTATTATCAGTAGAACATGGTAATAATCTTGAATTTTGGCCAAAATCAAAGCACTGCAGCATTTTCCTTTTAGGTGCACATTATCTTGGTTTGTTCTTACTTTCTAGAAGACTGTGGACAGAGCCATTCATTAGCTTCTACCTTTATTTGACTGAAAGAGTAGATTAATACCAGAAATTCTCAAATAGTAAGGGAAAGCATAGAGAACTTATTTTTAAAAAACTACTACTGTTGTGTAGAAAAATACGATTAATTTTATGTTTCATCTCCACAGGCCGAACTTACATTTTGCACAGGAGATATTATTACAGTTTTTGGTGAAATTGATGAAGATGGATTTTATTATGTAAGTTTTTGAAATATCAAGAAGTACCATTTGATTTTTGTATTTTCATTTATTTTGTGTGTTTTGTTTTGCTAGTCCGTTCCTTCTCTTAAAATTGGGCATGAACGTCATACGCCTGCTGATAGCTTTGCTTAATTGGCTGAGTTATAGAACTTTGCTGAGTTATAGATAATCTAGAAAGTTGGGACTGTGAACTTCATTGTTTCTTCCTTGCTAATACTAGTGTTTTCAATGTATATGCACTGTAAACAAAACAAATACATTCATATTCTTATTTTTTAAATTGCTGCCACCCAAACATTTACAAAACAATTTAAGTTTCTAGATTACTTAACTGTATAGGTCAAAAATAAATTTTAGGAAAAGGAAGAAATACAAATAAGCAAAAACAAAACAAAACAAAAACCTAAAACCCCACAGATTTTAGGACTTCTCCCTTACCTTTTTTCTAGAGCCAACTGCTGTTAGCAGCTTGGAACCCCCCACCCCGCCCCCACCCCTTGCTGCTGGTGATTCCTGGCAGGGACCTCAGAGCCACCCTCCCTCCTTTTCTGTTCCCCTGGAGCATGTCTTGAATACTCCCTGGGGCAAAGGGAGGGAATGGGGTGGGGTTATCTCAGAGTTTCCGCAGCTGGGGCATCTTTACAAGTAGCTGCCCCTCCCTGACCAGAAGCCCACAGGGCCACTTAGGACCCTGCGCAGAGCCCAGTGGGGGTCCCCACCTTGCACATGTGTTTCCACCTGCTCCCCCACCGCCTTTATCAGAATCGGCAAGAACTGATGACATCCTGGACGGTAGGTTTCTCTTCAAGTCAAACATGCTACAGCCGCAGGCATGTGTAGGATTCCCAGGCTCTCTCCTCTGCCTGGTTTCTGATTTGCCTTTGGTGAGGATATTCATACTTTGTCACATGTGTTTCAAATAGTTCTTTCCAGCTCAACCTCTGCTTTTTAACTTTGTGTGTGTGTGTTTGCTTCTCCATTTTTGTTGTTTATTAAGGATGAATTTCACGTTTGCATGCGGTCAAATGTTTCTGCCTTGGGGGTCATGCCTAAAAGGTCCTTCAAGGTGATAGAAATAATCACCTCATTTTGTTTCAATTTTATAGTTTCACTTTCCACATGTAAATCTCAAGTATCTACCATTTTTTCCTAACTATGAGAACAAATGTCTCAACACATTTACTAAATAATCTGCACTTTCCCTACTTTAAAAAAATCATTTTTTAATAATAAAAAATGAATACGTTTTAAAATTAAAGTGTAAATAGGAATTTAATACTTAGAGTATTTATGGACTTTAACACTACTCCATGCTGTCTTAATTATTGTATTTTTATAATGCATTTTTATGTTTGGGAGGGAACATTTTGTAAAGAGTCCCACCTCCACAACAAACCTATACTTTTTTGTTTAGATGTACATTTAGCTTTTGGAAGAAATAGACATAATATTGTCTTTCAATTCTGACATAGCATGCGCCTCCTCTTAAAAAGTTTTTCCTTTCATCTGTCAGAAAAGATTCATAGATTTATTCTTACGCATCCTTTATATATCTTAAGTTTACTCTTAGGAACTATATAGATCCAACGGCCGGGCACGGTGACTCATGCGGAGGCTGAGGCGTGCTGATCACCTGAGGTCAGGCATTCGATATCAGCCTGGCCAACATGGTGAAACCCCGTTTCTACTGAAAATACAAAAGAATTAGCCGGGCGTGGTGGCATGTGCCTGTAATCCCAGCTACTTTGGAGGCTGAGGCAGGAGAATCACTTGAACCCAGGAGGTGGAGGTTGCGGTGAGCTGAGATCATGCCATTGCACTCCAGCCTGGGTGACAGTGAAACTCCGTCTCAAAAACAAACAAAAAGGAATTATATAGATCTTATTATGATTGTGAATGATTTTTCCCCCTAGCATATATTCCACTGTTATTTAGAAAACATGTTGGAAAAGTGTGTGTGTGTGTACATGTCCCCCACAAATCATTTTTCTGAATGCATTTATTTCTCTTATCAACCGATTCCCTTGGGTTCCCACAGATTGTCATTATTTTGCCTCCTCTTCACCAATATTTATAATTTGTCATCATTTTTAATTGTCTTACTAATCACTTAGAACGATTCTGAATAACAGAGATAAGGAAATCTGTGACTCGTTATGTATTTTAGTAGGAATACCACTCATATTTTACATGTTATATGTAGGTTAGACTATCAGTAAAGATAGATGGTCTTTATAATACGGAGAAAGTATCCTTTATAATGCTAAGAAAGTTTTAGTTTGCTCTGCTTATTTTTCATCAGTAAATTACTGGCCATCATATATAATATTTTTAAGGCACTGGAAGTTGATTTGCTAATATTTTATTCAGAAATTATATTCCAGAAATAATAATAATCTGTATTCATTGGAATACCTTTGTTGTAGCTTTTGATACCGGGATTATGCTAGAATTACCAAATAAACTAAGAAAATTTCAACCTTTTTCTATGCTTTAGAGGAGATTAAGTGACACAGCAATTACTATTATTTGAAGGTTATTAGAATCTGCCCAGAGAGAGATCCTTTAGGTTCAGTATCTTTTTAGACTGCAGTTGCACAAAAGTTTTTATTTGCTTAAATGGTTATCTTATCAGTTTTTAACAATCTACATATCTTCAGAGGAATGTACTTTTCATTTAGATTTTCACATGTAGAAACAATGGGCTTTCCTGGAATTTAAGAAGATTTTTCTAATTTGTCTGCATGTTTCTATTCCCCAGTTATGTTTTATCTTCTTAGTTTCTTGAATAGTCTTCCCTAAGTTTTTATATTATAGTGGGAATCAGATCTAAATTAATATGAAACGTATGCTTCTTTTTATTTACCACTCCTCCAAATGGTTTTACTATGATTTTGCTGGTCATGTTCACTGAGCGGACTGCCCAGTTCATTTAAGTATTTCTTATTTGATAAACAATGACAGGGGACACCTAATTTGATACCAAAAATCTTAAATTTCTTGGTACTTTGTTTTGATATCTGTAACCTTAAACATCTCGAGAGAGCGAATTCAAATACTCCACCGGTCCTAATATTGTAATATCACCCTCCTCTTTCTCTGTTCTGCTATATCCCATATCAGTAAAACAAGCGTAAGCAGGGACCCCCGAGGGACTCCTGCTGTCCTCCCTGGCCTTTTCCTCCTTTTGCTATTTCATAATTTACATCAGCCCCCATTAAGTCACTGAAGACTTCTAACACCCCATCGTGTTTTAAAGCGTGTGCTGTTCTTGCTATAGCCCAGCATCTCGGTATCTGAAACCTTAAATCCTGTACCTTCCTATGTCAAAAGCAAGCCATCACGTGGCGTACTAAGGTACGGGAGATAATCCAGAGGAGTGTGCAAACACGAGTGGATGTCTCACTGACTGGGGCACAGAGAAAACTGGGAGGGGATCGATTTTGGTGTTTTCTGCCTTTCAGCCTATTCCCATTCTGTCTGGACATTAGGCCTCCAGGTAGTTACTGTTTGGCCGCAAATAGAGAAATGGTGGGAAATGAGGCGTAGGAGAGAAGCAGAGATCAAATTATGGAGGGACTGAGGAGGGAAAGGTCAAGGTGAAATTTTTTTAGAGAAAGTTATTCTGTAAAGGGTTTTGATGGTACACTTTTGAAGGGGGATGGGAGTGGGTCCAGGAGGCTGGGAAACATGCTATATGGAACCCTCCAGGCAGGAAACATGGCCCGAAATACGTCAGTACCAGGGGAAGGCAGACTCAAGATGATCTTATCCAGCGTTCTGACTGCCAGTCAGAGGGACAGAGAATGTCGTCTGGGGGAGCCTTCGATTCTGACCTAGGTGATGGGTGCCCTTGAGAACGCAAGGATAAGAACAACGTTGAATGGAAAACCTGGCTTAGAAACTCTTGAGCTTGAGGGGTGTGAACAGGACCTCTGAGCCTCTCCAAACAGAACGGAACTTAGGCCAAAGCAGTATTCACACCGCGAGCAAGTCCCGTCGTCACTTTGGACGCAGTAGCACGCAGTGGTAGAGGCATCAGACATGGGGAAGGGAGTGACATGGTACATGTGCGTTCTGACGTGGATTTTACTAGGGCTGTGTGTGTTCAGCCCAAAAGAACAAGAGCAATAACCAGTGCAGGCAGTTCCACCCACATTCTACTCAGCCAGAGCAGGGGCTGGCCTGGAGGCCTGGCTCTACAGGAGCCTCTGCAGGCTGGGGTACACACGCCTCTTGTGGTGTGAGCATGACACCAGCGGAGATGTGTGCATAACATTGTGTGTGTTCACAGAACACACTCCCCAAATATAAGCCAACTACTCCATCTGGTGCTCAGCCAGAGGAAGAATCTTTTCTAAGGCTGGCAGAGAAATCTGGCTGTTGGACCTAATGAGGGGGGACTTGACTGGTTATAACTTTTGAGTGTCTTCGTATTTAGATGTTATTAAAAACCCTCGATAGGAAGAAATCGCCAGGGGCACATGCACAGTAAAAAGGATAGGTGGCCTAGAAATAGTCTGTAATGTCAACAGAGAAAAATAAGCTAATAATGGAGCCGGTGAGAGAAGGCCCAGGGCAGTCACAGGTAAATAAGAGTAGGACCTTCAAGGTCCAAGCAGAAGAGTGGGGCGGGGCAGGGCAGTGAGTGTGCACCTGGCAGCGTTGCTGAACAGGAAGATGCAGGAAGTATGTGGGGCTGCCTCTTCCAATTAATTTTTGTGATAAAATCTACATAAAATTTATCTAAAATTGGCCAGGTATAGTGCCTCAGCCTGTAATCCCAGCACTTTGGAAGGCTGAGGCGGGTGGATCACCTGAGGTCAGGAGTTCGAGACCAGCTTGGCCAACACGGCGAAACCCTGTCTCTACTAAAAATACAAAAATTAGCCGGGCATGGTGGCATCTGCCTGTAATTCCAGCTACTTGGGAGGCTGAGGTGGGAGAATTGCTTGAACCCGGGAGGTGGAGGTGGCAGTGAGCCGAGATCACGCTACTGCACTTCAGCCTGGGTGACAGAGCGAGACTCTGTCTCAATTTAAAAAAAAAAGATATAAAATCATTTTTAAGTATATAGTTCAGTAGTGTTAAGTATGTTTACATTGTGCAAACAATCACCACCATCCGTCTACAGAACTCTTTCCATCTTGCAAAACTGCCATCTTGTTTTCAACAGCAGCTGCACCATCTCACCTTCCCACCAAAAGTGCACGAGTATTCGTTTCTTCATATCTTCACCAGTACCTGTTTTTTCCATTTTGTTTTTGATAGTAGTGTGAGGTGGTACTACATGGTTTTGAACTGCATTTCCCTGGAGATTCGTGGTGACTGGCATCTTTTCATGTGCCTGCTGGCCACCTGAATCTCATTTTTGGAGAAATGTCTTTAATTGGGTTTTTTGATGTTCTTTATATGTTCTGGATATTAACCCCTTAGCAGATAGATGACTTGCAGACATTTTCTCCCATTCCACAGGTACTCATCACTCTGCTGTGTCCTTCACTGCACAGGTGTTTTGATGTAGTAGGCTCTTTATGTCATTTCCTAGACCATATAAACAGAGAAACAGGATTCCGTGTTGCCCAGAGCCAGCCAATTTTGAACTTGGTTTAGGCACTTTATGGGCAGATGAGTTTGGGGAAGAAGTGACGTGGTAGGCCTGTGAGCCACTTGGTGCAGATGACCAGCAGGCAGATGGACTCATGGATCTCGACTTTAGACAAGGCATAGATATGTAAATGAGTAGAAAGATCTGGAAGGATATATACCAACCTGAAGCAGTAATGTCTGAGGAGGTTATCAACAGACACTTTCATTTTCTCCATATTGTTTGAATGTTTACGATAATAACCTATCCATGAGTAAGAGGGAGGACAGTCTTAAGGCTGAGTAGACCAGTAGCGCTCAAGCTTGCTGGCATGTTAGGACCACCAGGTCCCCACCGTCTGAAGGTGTCCATCATTGGTCTGGGCTGGTGTGCTGAGCGATGTGTTTTTAGCAGCTCCCTAGTGCCTCAGATCAGCCAGGCCCGAGAACCACTAAATGAGATCTGCCAAGGAGTGTTTCCTTCAGAAGCCTGATCCTAAGAATCCCAGGGGCTCTTTGGCCAAAAGGCAGATTCCTCAGCTCCTCACTGAACAGGAGAAATCAAGACCCCAGGAAAGGGGCTTAGGACTCTGCATGTTGCTGAGGAAAATTTGGAAACCCTGATTTAGAGTCCTTTCAAGTCCTGCCACTTTTGAACCAGAATAAACTCACCATGTACCTGTACTCTGAGCTGTATTCCTTTAGCCAAAGCAAGATGTGGGTTTCTAGAAAAATAAATAGTTCTTCTGCCTCACCCCTGGTGTTTTAGGGGGAGCTGAATGGGCAGAAAGGCCTTGTGCCCTCAAACTTCTTGGAAGAAGTGCCTGATGACGTAGAAGTCTATCTTTCTGATGCTCCATCCCACTACTCTCAAGATACGCCAATGCGCTCAAAGGCAAAAAGGGTAAGCAAACCTATTTAGCCTTTTTAATCTCTGTCCCGTTCTGCCATATGTGGTCTAATACAATCTTTGCACTGATATTTTTATATCTTGGGCCGAAAAGCGTAAATACACCCTGAATTTTTTTTCTCTGCCCTGAAGCCATGGGAGTTGTACCTAAAAATTCTTAATTCTAAATCTTACTCATTTTACAAAAAAAGACCCTTTCAATTCTAATCAATCAATCTGCCTTTACTCACAAAGAAATGTCCCATCCTACATTATAGAAGCACATTTCAGTTTGATCAAGAGTGAAAAGGGGATGGCTCCTCTTCAGATTTGGTGGGCAATGGAGGTTATTTGCCCTCTGTTAGGACTTTAGTCTCTTCACAAGGATCCAAGGGCTTCTCAAGCATATTGAACTATTAGACTACATTCATGTTTAGTATCTCATTTTTATTTTATTTCATCACTGCAAGTTTTTCTATATTATATTTTTATATATATATTTTTATTTCTTTGCTCATCTGCTTGGAAACAGAAGAAGAGTGTTCATTTCACACCTTAATCAGGCAATGTAGCCTTCACGTAAGTGAGCAACTGAAGATACCGATAAAGATACCAACTTAAGCTACCTTAACCGGGCCAGTGTGGTAGACTTAAGGCTTCATTGTGGGGTTAAAAAAAAAAAAAGATACAAAGAAATATGTCTCAAAAAACTATTGGACCTAAATAATTAGAATATTACTTGGTCTCAGTTGTAAAGCAACTGAATTTATAGTGAAGCAAATCATCTTTAATAATCATTTCCTACTATTTGCATTAAGAATATTTGAAAGGCCAACATTGGGAACATATTTCTTAACAAGCTAACTGTGTGTTTACATAGAGAGAGCTGCATATTGCATTGTTAGCCACTCTTGGAAAAAGCACAACCTAACAAACATGTTTACTATAGGAAGCTTTACTTTAGAAACTTAACCCAAGGTCAAGCAGATGAGTAGTGAACACAGGTGATCGAGTGTTGGCTCTGAACACTCCAAACACTGGCTCGAGTGGCCAGAACGTGTTTTCCTTAAGTAACCCTGCCTCTACCTTACGAGAGAGCTATGCTCCTCCTCAAAGCACAATCATCCTGTGACAGAAGTTGCTGCAACACGCGTTTGTTGTTGGTATACCAATGCAATACTAAGTTGATGAAGCACGCAGCTCAAATGATCACATTAGATGGAATAGATGGTATCTTCAGGTGTACTTTGGGATGCTTTACTAGGTGTTTTCCATTAGAATTAGACCTTGATTTTAAATCCAAGCAAGCTTGAAGCCCCTTGGCTTACAGCATTTGCCTGCTGAATACTAAACACTCACATGGCAAGAGTTGCTCTGGAGAGGTAGGGCCAGAGGAATGCTGCTGCACTGCCAACTCAGGCACATGCTTAGCTGTAAAGGGAAGCGAGGTGAAGTCGTCCTGCAGCGTATTAGAGTAAAAGTCTACCCCTCTGAAGCACTATTAAGCGCTTAACGTATATTTAAATACTACCATGTGCTATCTACTGAGGAAGATTCATGTTCAATTATTTGGAAATAATGCAAGCATCCACTAAGGGCCTTTAAGCTTTCTTTGATTATAATTAAGGTTCATTTTAGTTTTTTTTTTTCTTTCAACCAGTGTGCCATCTCCAATATTTCTATAGTATACCAACCACCCCAGGAATGCACTTTAACAATATCAGGATTTTATATAACCAAATAGTTTCAAATACAACAAAATTCCCTTTATGAACTTTCGCTTTTTAAGACTACTGATGGGTACTCGGCCAACTTTACTATCAACCTAATTTCAGATCATGTCTCCCCTGCCCTTAGTCTTCATTTATGAAGTGAATTATTACCTGCCTTAGCTTTGCCAAAGCAACGGCCACCCCGCACTCCCTCGAGACAGAGAAACGGAACCCACACATTTATGTCTGGGGCCTCTCTCTGGCGTGCTGTGGGAGAGGACCTTTGCTTCTCATGGCATACTTCAACAACTGAAAGAACAAATGAACCCCCCTGACCTTTCCTGGTGGGAAACGGGGACAGTACGATGTTACCAAGTGAATTCTGTTGTTGGCGCTCACACACTCAATAAACTGTAACACTGTACCTACTAGGTTCCTCCTGAGGGTTCAGGTACAGCAAGGAGAGCTCCATCCCCCACAGTCCATCTCCATTCGGGGTCACCTACGTCATCTATGGGTTCTGGTAGTCCTGGGAGAGGCAGGGAAATGTCCTCGAAAAAGAAAAAGGGGCTGCTTTCCAAAGGCAAGAAACTGCTGAAAAAGCTGGGTGCAGTGAAATGATTCATGTGCTTCCGGACAACTGCCAAATCTATGTAATTTTCTTTAATTCCAAACTAGGGCTTTCATGACTCAAGTACTTCCTAAAAAAACCCAATCTTCTCCCCTGACACCAGTAGAGAAATGCACTTTTGCACTACCAACCACTTTAAACCAACCACGAGAACAAAGAGGAGCGGTTGCTCTCTGTCACCGCTGGCAGTCTGCTCTCATTGTCCAAGCTCTGATTTGGGAGGTGGGAGGGGACGTCTTATTAACAAACGGGGGCGCATAGCTATCACCTGTAGCTCCCTCCCTACCTGTAATTCCAGTCTTTGTGCATTTGTCATCTGCCCTTAAAGGAATGATTTTCAACCTTTCTCCCTTCTCAAAATGCTTGCCTCATAATGCATAACTTTCACTTTGACTCTGGTCTTGAAATTCCTAGTTTAATTCGCCTTGATGTTCTGCCTTATAAATGCACAATGATTTGTACTGTCTAATAAAAACAGTGTATACTTTGTATGTGTCGTGCATTCAGTGGTCTTCATCCTGACACAGTGGTTTGAGATCAAGTTGTACAGGCTGTGCATTTTAAGATACTAGTTTCAGTCTTTCAAAGCCAGCCAGGCTACACACAGAAAATGTTTACTCAATCATTCAAAAAAGAGAAAAGGAGAGAAAGTAACTTTGTTTGGTAAAGCACCAGTACTCCAACCTTCCAGAAAGCCGATTATCTTCATTGCTTTTAATGTTCTATTCTGTGGCATATGGTTTTCTGTTACTTTCGTTGTCAAAATGCCATACCCAAATACACAGCAATGAATGGCACACAAGTAATCCACATAATGCATAAGCCACACCAAAACCAGACTCAATTTAAATCTGCTCCAAATGAGTCCATACCCATCTTCATCATTGGCATTTGAACAAAAGACTTACTTACAAAGTTGCTGGCAGATGTATTTGATGGTTACTCTTTTGTAATTCTTGTCCACTTGTAAATTGTTTTTACTCTTTATACATACTTTTCAGACTGCCTTTCTTTTGTAATTTATGGACGGTTTATAAATGAATGACAAAGCTTTCCCCATTGTGTCTTCAAAAACGCTATTATAAATTGTAATATAATAGTATGTGGTAGATTTATTATTAAAGGAAATCCATGTGTGGTTAAGCTCTGTGTGGGTGTGTGCATGTGCACAGTTAGTGTAAAATATTTTCTAGAAATAAAATTTGTTATTTTATACAACACTGTTTATTCTCTTTGTTTTAAATATTTTATCATAGCGGGATAACTGACTTCCTTTCTCTTAATGTTTACAAAAAGCACCATAACCTTACCGTTTCTGGGAGTATTTTTTTTTTTTTCCAAAAATAATTTTGGTCTATGTTTTGGGAGCCATTGACAATGTTGTGACACTCTCATACTACCAGTAACAGTCCAGTCAGTGACAAAAGGTCATTCGCACGGAGTCAGTATAAGCACTACCAGGATGAATTCAAACACAAATTGTTAATTCCCTCTGGCAGCTTTAGAATTCAAGTGAAATTAATGAACGGCTACAGCAACATAATACAACAAAATATAACTTCCCAAATACATACAATTTTCCTAAAAGCCTTATTTTAGAATTCTCCAAGTAACCAGATGATGTCTTTTCAAAGAAAGAGGTAAAACCAACACACTTACGGCAAGATGAAAATATAGTTCAAGTACATAATTTCATGAACCTATAATTTATCTCATAATTGCTACCATAATATCTTTTTACCTACAGTATTTACAGGAAAAGTTGAAGAGTTGCTAACAAAAAGTATCCAGAACTAATGTTTCTCTAAATCTTTTGAAAATATTTACCAATTCCCCAAAGTATGAAAATGTAGGCAAACCTGAAGTAATAATGAGCTGGTCTTAGCTTTTCTTCCCCCCTATTTTATAAGTAAGTACAATTTTCCTAAAACCAAAGCACCCACCCTGAGGACAAGAAAGTGCTTAAGTCACATTTAATTACTCATTCCAGCCCCAACTCCCTCCCAGACTGAGCTGAGAGTCACTTCAGCAATCTCCCTTTTCTGGTGATGATAAGAGAAAAACCATGTTTTGCTTTTGTTTTATGACCGAAAATTGTACCAAACAAGTTAGGAAGCTCTCCATTACCAGTGTGAGTGTAATTTTCTGTCTTCACAGGTTAGTCTAAAAGTGGAAGCCCAAACTGTACAGAGTACTCAAAGAACAGAAACCATTTCCTCTTGCAGTTAAATGGCTCCAACCCTTCCTCCCGCTGCTTCTAAGGAAGTGGCTGCAGCCCTGACCCATGAGCGCCTCCCCACATTACCATCCATTTGCCTCTGCTGCTCCCCCTCCCCTGCCAAATAAAACAAGTGATTCTTTCGATTCAGAATGACCCTCCCATTCTCATCCTGACCTGTAAAGGCACAATTTTCATTGAACAACAAACAACTATACCTAAATTCTTAATTTCATTTTCTGTTATGACTTTCCTATGTATATTCAAAATGAGAAACTTTTGCCAAATTTCGTTTTGCAGTTACTTCTCATGCACATAAACATTTTTCTATCCTCTCGCTAACACTTTTCAAATAAACTATTTGCTTAAACTAGAACACAAAACTCCTGTGTTCCACCAAGTGAGCTTTACTGTATTTTCTTATTCTTGAAAATTATTTAAAGCTGCACTCAGAAAAAAAAAAAAAAATGCAAAAATCCCCAACCTTCCAGAAATTTCTACGGTACTTTTTTCTGTGGCCCCGAGGTAGAGGCAGTCTGGCAGTGACGAACTGGGTTCTTGGGAAAAGTTCTGCTAAATAAAGCTTGTTTGCAGGTATATTGGAAGCTTTTGGGAAAAGAAAGAAAACTACATTGAAAGCCTCATTCATATTAAAAGAAAAAAGATATACTTCTAAACATTTTTAATTTTGAAAAGAAAACCGTTTTATGTGAAGTGCTCTTTCATATGGGTAAAGAAAAAATACCTAGCTATCCCCTGGCTGGCTCCGTGCACCTCCGCGTGCAAGCTCACTGTTGCAGTCGGACTCCAGGCCCTTGTGCTGCCAGCTGGCGCAGCCCCTTCCTGCAGCCCCTCTCATCACAGAGAACTGATGCCTGGGACTACCAAACAGTATATGGAGCTTATGGTAGAACAACAATAACCAAAGTCTCTAAAAAAGAGGATGAATCAAGTGTCAAAGTGAAATTAAGAATACGAAAGAAATCCGACCCTATGTGGAAATACTCCATGGAGCAGGAGGAGCTATGCAGAGAGAGTGCCGAGAAGGCCCAGGTACAGGCTTTCCACCCACATGCATGGTAGGGGCCTTCTCTACCTTTAGAACCTTACCCCAAAGACGTCAATAAGGAATCCGTAAAATACATACAGCAAACACAAAATGCCCAACTTCACTAGCTGAAGAAATAAAAACTAATAATGCAAAATTTTTCTGCTCCAAAGTTACCCAAAAGCCAAACATGAAACCGCTGATATTGGGGAGGATGGGAGCTCCTGCCGTGGGGGCTGCAGTCTCTATCGTGTGTCTTACGCACTTGGCCAAGTGACTTTCTAAAGCCTTGAACGTGTGTGTTTATGTCCTTTAACTGAATCTCATTTCTAGGAATCCAACTGAAAAGAGATATCTAGGCAAGGATTTAAGAACTAAGAAATGTATCACATTATTATAATAGTGAAAAGTGGTAAATTCACAAAAAAATCCAATACCGGTCTAGTGAAATCATAGCTATTCATCACAGGATTCAACATTCACCAGGTAACTGACACACACACGTGAGGATGGTGACTGGGTCATCACAACATTCAGTATTCACCAGAACTGATGCACCCACGTGATGACGGTGACTGGGTCATCACCACATTCAGTATTCACCAGGTAACTGACGGACACGTGATGACAGTGACCGGGTCATCACAACATTCAGTATTCACCAGGTAACTGACGCACCCACGTGATGACGGTGACTGGGTCATCACAACATTCAATATGCACCAGGTAACTGACGGACACACGTGATGATGGTGACCGGGTCATCACAACATTCAATATTCACCAGGTAACTGACGCACACATGTGATGACGGTGACCGGGTCATCACAACATTCAATACTCACCAGGTAACTGACAGACACACATGATGACGGTGACCGGGTCATCACAACATTCAATACTCACCAGGTAACTGACGGACACACGTGATGATGGTGACCGGGTCATCACAACATTCAATATTCACCAGGTAACTGACGGACACACGTGATGACGGTGACTGGGTCATCACAACATTCAATATGCACCAGGTAACTGACGGACACACGTGATGACGGTGACCGGGTCATCACAACATTCAATACTCACCAGGTAACTGACGCACACACGTGATGACGGTGACTGGGTCATCACAACATTCAATACTCACCAGGTAACTGACAGACACGTGATGACGGTGACCGGGTCATCACAACATTCAATACTCACCAGGTAACTGACGGACACACGTGATGACGGTGACCGGGTCATCACAACATTCAATACTCACCAGGTAACTGACGGACACACGTGATGACGGTGACTGGGTCCTCACAACATTCAATATTCACCAGGTAACTGACGGACACACGTGATGACGGTGACCGGGTCATCACAACATTCAATATTCACCAGGTAACTGACAGACACGTGATGACGGTGACCGGGTCATCACAACATTCAATATTCACCAGGTAACTGACAGACACGTGATGACGGTGACCGGGTCCTCACAACATTCAATATTCACCAGGTAACTGACAGACACACGTGATGATGGTGACTGGGTCATCACAATATTCAATATTCAACAGGTAACTGACGGACACGTGATGACGGTGACCGGGTCATCACAACATTCAATATTCACCAGGTAACTGACAGACACGTGATGACGGTGACCGGGTCCTCACAACATTCAATATTCACCAGGTAACTGACGGACACATGTGATGACGGTGACCGGGTCATCACAACATTCAATATTCACCAGGTAACTGACGGACACATGATGACGGTGACCGGGTCATCACAACGTTCAATATTCACCAGGTAACTGACGGACACGTGATGACGGTGACCGGGTCATCACAACGTTCAATATTCACTGGGTAACTGATGCATCCACGTGATGACGGTGACCGGGTCATCACAACATTCAATATTCACCAGGTAACTGACGGACACGTGATGACGGTGACCGGGTCATCACAACGTTCAATATTCACTGGGTAACTGATGCATCCACGTGATGACGGTGACCGGGTCATCACAACATTCAATATTCACCAGGTAACTGACGCACACACGTGATGACGGTGACTGGGTCATCACAACATTCAGTATTCACCAGGTAACTGATGGACACACGTGATGACAGTGACCGGGTCATCACATTGAATATTCACCAGGTCACTGACGCACGCATGTGAGGACGGTGACTAGGGGGAAAGGCTCTCGTGGTCACAGGCCCTTATCAGGAGCAGCATCTCTGTTAAGGTTCAAGGACCCCTTACGCATGCCCCCATGGGTGTCGCAGGTGGCCTGTCTGCATCCTCACCCCTCTCTGGCCCTTCTCCATTTTCTCTGACACTCAGACCCTCTCTGCTGGCTTGGCCTCATCTACCACAGCTGGTGTCTGCCTCCAGCCTCCCTACCATTCTGCTGGGGTCTTTGCCTCCAGCCTCGTGACCATTCCGCACTTCACAATCCCTATTCCATTTAGTTACCAGAAGAAGAAGACACATGTAAGTAACCATACAAATTGAAAATAATAAAGCTTTTTTCTAGTCCCTTCTTAAAAGACTTCTCTGGGGATAGAGTAGGAGGAAAAGGGACGGGGGAGGAAAGGGTTAAACAACAATGCTGCCTTCTGATAGCATTTGATGAGCAGTCACCAAAACAGCTGCCTCTAATTTTCCAATAAAATCCTTGTAGAGATGGCTGGACTTGCGTCAGATTTGGGGCGTAATCTCCACACACTGTGAGGGAAAAGGAGAGAGAGCACGGCCCCAGCGAGAATTTCCAGCGCTGTCTCACCCGCGTTGTTCCTGAAGACATTGTTTCCGAAGCGGAGACGGTGAGAAGGCAGGCGGCCTCACCTTGGCGAGAAGCCGGGGCTCAGCAGCCCTTCCTCTTCCTCAGGCCCATGTGCTGCTGGTTGTCCCTCATCCAAATCAGCAACTCCTGAGGAACTTAGTAGGAAGCAGGGAGAGAACAGTGAGACGCCCACAGCCATTCTAGGGACACAGCCCTGGAGTGCGATCCACACGACAGAAGAGGGGAAAGAGGGCGAGGGCCCCGGGGACAGCACCTGCTGGGACTCTGATTTTCCATATGTGCCAGTGCACAGAGAACTATGTGGGGAAGGCAGGAGGCTTCAAAGCAGTGAGACAGGGACCAGGTAAGTTGTGCAGGCACCGGTCCTGGAGAAGAAGCTGCCCAGCAGGTGAGAGACAACGACCAGGCCAAGCCAGCCCACCGTCTAGCCCAGTGATGGGTGGGCCGCATACAGCCCTCACCTGTTTGAGAGGAGAGAAAGAAAACAACAAAAAGAAAGGGTGAAAGGGAGGGAGGGGAAGAGGAGCAGAAAGAGAGGGAACAAACCAAACAAGGTCTATGACAAATGACTTCAGAGTAAGGGGTAGGAAACAAGACATGAGATCCTTGAGTCAGAGACAGAAGATGTGGTCAGAAGCAAAAAGAGTATAACTGGTACCCATTGCCCAAGCTCTAATTCCAAAGGAGCAAAGTGAACGGGACCAGTGATGCCACACACACACAGGTGGCTGAATTGGAGCAGGGGAAACCTGGGCTGAGGGACCCCGGAGTCCTTTATAATGGGCAGTAACCTTGTCTGACTTTTGCCCTGAAGCAAGATATTATTTTTATGACGCTGGCCTGTAAGCATGCCTGCCCTCTGCTCTGAAGGGAGACACCATCTCTACCTTCTGGGGCAGTCTGCTGTACAAACAACCTCACAAACATCATCTGGACAAAGGTAGTCAGTACTGCTTCTCACCAGACAGGTAGAAACACAAGACAGTGGACCACTGTCTCACAGCACTATTTTCAAATGTATTACATTCCAAAACCTGGAAATGAAGACATCAGAAAAGATTAAAATACCTATTCTATCTGCAGTACTAAGAGTACGAAGCTGAGTAACAGAAAAAAACTTGTTACAAAACTAAAATACTAATCACAGTGCTGATTAGATTGAACAATACACCAGAAAATCACAACTAAGCTTGGTTACTATTTTTTAAAAACTTGGGGTTCATGTTAGGAGCTCTGGTTTCCAACAACATGGTAAATTAACCCTGGCTACTAAGTGGAAGTTAAATTATCAAATGGCACTAACTTAGAAATTTTATAAAATACACTTCTAAAGAACCCGTGTATCAGCTATAGAGAGAGAGAGCTGGATTACAATGAAAGCACGACAAGCTTGCAGGATGCAGGGAAAGCAATGCTTCAAGGGAAATTTATAACTTTATACGAGAAAAGACACACTAATGAACTTAAGATGTTAGATAGGAAGAAAAGATAACTGAAGAAAAGAGATAAAGAGTAGAAGCCAGTGACACAGAAAACAACAATACGAAGTTGATGTGAACTAACTTTGAACTAGACTAAAGGAAATACAGCTGGAAAGGCTGATCACAACAAACAGAAGATGTTAATAATACTTTTAAATTAAAAAGAACATAATCATACAGCCGATTTTATAAAGATGAAGTATTATCAACTCTCTATTAATAAATTAGAAAACCCAGAAAAAAATAGACAAATGCCTGGAAAAAGTGTAAAATAATGACACTGATTAATAAAAAATTGAAAGCTTAAAAAAATGATAAGTACAAATGAAACCAAAGTAATAGTTAAATTTTTTTCCATAAGAAAAACTTCAGGCCTAGAGAGTTTAACAAAAAGAATCCTACCAAATACTCAGATCACCCCAATCTTATATAAACCCTTCCAAAAAATAAAAAGACAACACCCTTCAAGACATTTTAAGAGAAGTGTATACCTGGATACAAAACCAAAGATAGTAAGGAAATGAAAAAATTATAAGCCCATTTCATCATGAATGTAAGTGTAAACACTCTAAACAAAATGTTAGCAAACAAAAGCCAATGGTATATTTAAAAAAAAGAACCAAGTTAGTTTATCTCAGGAATGCAAGAATGATTGAATCTGAGAAAATCTTAAACTAACATGAACTATGTTAACAGAATAAAAGATAAAAACCATATTATCATCTCAATAGATATAGAAAAACTAAAAAAACTCAACAGAAATGCCTTTGAAAGCTCTTAGAAAGCTATGAATAAATTGTTAACCTGGTAAAAGGTGTTTATAAAAATCCTATAATGGATGTAATCTTAAATGGAGAAAATTTAATAAAGTGAAAGCATAAAGATTGGAAAGAAGAAAACAGAATTATCATTGTTTGCAGAGGATACAACTGCCTACATAGAAAACACAAAATACTACAGGCAAATCATTAGAAATAAAAGTGTATTAAAGCAGCTAGATGTAAGATCAATATTAAAAAGCTCAATTACATATACTTGTAAAAATTAGAAAATATAATCCTTAAAACATTTACAATGGCAACTCTAAAAGCACTTAGGAATAAATCAAACAAAAATGTACAATATCAGTACACAGAAAATTATGAAACTTTATGATGAAAGACATTTTAAAACTCAAGTAAATGGGATAATAAGCCATTTGGAGGATGGTAAAACCTAAAATCGTAAAGATTGTTTACTCTCCCTACATATTCCTATTGATTCTATGCAATTTAATAAAATCTTAAACTTTTCATGAATGTTACAAATATATTCTAAAATCCATTTGGAATCATAAAGGAAAGTGTCCTACCAGACATCAGGATGTAGGTAAGTATAGTAATTAAAACAATGGGATGCTGATACTGGGATAGATCAACTAACTGATCAATGACAAATGGCCCTTCACATTTATGGGGCTGTGATGTGTGAGTGAGGTTTAAATGGAAGATCAGTGGAAAAAAAGAAGCCAGGCAAGGTGGTGCATGCCTGGAGTCCCAGCTACTCGGGAGGCTGAGGCAGGAGGATCACCTGAGCCCAGGAGTTTGAGGCTGCAGCAAACTATGATTGTGCCATTGCAGTTCAGCCTGGGTGACAGAGCGAGACTCAAAAAGAAAAACCAAAATGAAAAGAAGACATTCTTCAGGAAAGGGACATGGAGGTGGAAAACGACTATGCATTCCATATGGAGAAAAGGGAAATTGTTCCCTTATTTTAGACCATGCAAAAATCAACTCGCTCTACTCTAGAGATTTAAAGTTATAAACTTCTAGGAAAATACAGATGAACATATTTCTGACTTTGGGTTAGAGCAAAAGTTTTAAAACACAGAAAACTCTGTCTATAAAAGAAAAACTGGCAAATTTGGACAAGGATATGCTGTAAATTTTATTAAGTTCAAAACCAACTAAAAATAAATAGTAATTAATACTGACCCATGTACATTTGTTAAAACTTTTTCAACAGGCAAGGGAATGATAATTTCAACAGCATCCACTTTGGCAGCAGAGAGGTCAGGAGACAGGAAGGGGTGGTGTGCATGGGTGAATGGAGACAGGAAGGGGGTGGTGTGCATGGGTGAATGGAGACAGGAAGGGGTGGTGTGCATGGGTGAATGGAGACAGGAAGGGGTAGTGTGCATGGGTGAATGGAGACAGGAAGGGGGTAGTGTGCATGGGTGAATGGAGACAGGAAGGGGTGGTGTGCATGGGTGAATGGAGACAGGAAGGGGAGGTGTGCATGGGTGAATGGAGACAGGAAGGGGGTGGTGGGCATGGGTGAATGGAGACAGGAAGGGGTGGTGTGCATGGGTGAATGGAGACAGGAAGGGGGTGGTGTGCATGGGTGAATGGAGACAGGAAGGGGGTGGTGTGCATGGGTGAATGGAGACAGGAAGGGGGTGGTGGGCATGGGTGAATGGAGACAGGAAGGGGTGGTGTGCATGGGTGAATGGAGACAGGAAGGGGTGGTGTGCATGGGTGAATGGAGACAGGAAGGGGGTGGTGGGCATGGGTGAATGGAGACAGGAAGGGGTGGTGTGCATGGGTGAATGGAGACAGGAAGGGGGTGGTGTGCATGGGTGAATGGAGACAGGAAGGGGGTGGTGTGCATGGGTGAATGGAGACAGGAAGGGGTGGTGTGCATGGGTGAATGGAGACAGGAAGGGGTGGTGTGCATGGGTGAATGGAGACAGGAAGGGGTGGTGTGCATGGGTGAATGGAGACAGGAAGGGGGTGGTGTGCATGGGTGAATGGAGACAGGAAGGGGGTGGTGTGCATGGGTGAATGGAGACAGGAAGGGGGTGGTGTGCATGGGTGAATGGAGACAGGAAGGGGGTGGTGTGCATGGGTGAATGGAGACAGGAAGGGGTGGTGTGCATGGGTGAATGGAGACAGGAAGGGGTGGTGTGCATGGGTGAATGGAGACAGGAAGGGGTGGTGTGCATGGGTGAATGGAGACAGGAAGGGGGTGGTGTGCATGGGTGAATGGAGACAGGAAGGGGGTGGTGTGCATGGGTGAATGGAGACAGGAAGGGGGTGGTGTGCATGGGTGAATGGAGACAGGAAGGGGGTGGTGTGCATGGGTGAATGGAGACAGGAAGGGGGTGGTGTGCATGGGTGAATGGAGACAGGAAGGGGGTGGTGTGCATGGGTGAATGGAGACAGGAAGGGGTGGTGTGCATGGGTGAATGGAGACAGGAAGGGGTGGTGTGCATGGGTGAATGCAGACAGGAAGGGGGTAGTGTGCATGGGTGAATGGAGACAGGAAGGGGTAGTGTGCATGGGTGAATGGAGACAGGAAGGGGTAGTGTGCATGGGTGAATGGAGACAGGAAGGGGTGGTGTGCATGGGTGAACGGTGGCTATTGCCATGGTTTAGTTCCAGGATTGGGAGATGGGCTCAAGGGGGCTTATTATTAAGGATAATTATTTCCTTATTATCATTTCCTTATTAATAAGGAAAATAAAAGATATGCAGGGGTCAATGATAAACTCTTGTAAAACAAGGATTATGACAGCTCCAATTCTGAGCATCTTAGCCTTTCTAAAAGTAAAAATGAAAAAAGAAACAAACAATCTACTTATTCCTGTCTTAACTTCTCCCATGGCATCCAAATAAGAGGATCAGAGACAAAGTCTGAAGCAAACCACAACATTCCCAAACCACAGCATGTGTGGTACTGATGGCGGTGGGTTAGGTCTTTGGACAGACCTGCACAGGGAGATTCAGAAGAACATGCAGCAAGGAGCTTCAGAAAGTTTCATTTGAAAAACAGACATCTATTAAGATAGACAAGTAAAGGACTGATATGTTTTTAAGGCCAGATTTGCAACTTAAATATCATTTCAGTCACCTGGTAAAAAGAGCATGACTTTTGATAGGCATAAATTTAAAATTGGAGGGAAGGGAGGAGAAGTAACATTTTTCAACAGCTTTAATACCCAGTTTCTGAATTTTTGGGACATCACTGTATCCAGAAAGCCCCGAGCCACAGATTTCAGTGCAAATGTCAAATAACAAACATGTCTGTTTTGCCTTAAAATCTCAAGACACTCCTCAAACTGATCCGGAAAGCTGAAATAATAAGTTCTTATCATCTCTGAATGTGCATGCAACTGCCCTGAGGTGTGGAACATGAGAACTTCGCAGCCAATGAAACATCTATAAGCCGTTCACATAGACGCATCTTCAGGAAAACAGGTTAAACTGCATCATATATTAAAGCAGTACTTACATTAAGTTAAAAATATATTTGAGTGGGTGTTTTGTTTCACAGTTAAGTAGGTAACTATGTTAAAGAGTTACTAAAATCAGGCATTTGATGAACGAAAGCAGCACAGCAAATGAACTGGAGCAAAGTCTAAAAAACCCACGTAAGGATGTTATGAAATAATGATTTCAACAGTAGCTCATGATAATGTTTCAACAATGAAGAAAGTACTTTAAAAGACAATTTTGAATTACACAAAACACTTTAAATTCCATCCAATTACAAGCTTTAAGAAAGCTTCTGAAAATAAATCTGCAGCACTGTGGACAGGCTGGTAAAGTGGGCAGAAATATATTAACATTCTTTCTCATCACCAAGCCAACTAACTACACACTTCATTATCTATGGAAATGAAAACTAATAGTTCATCAAAAGCAAAGACTAACAGCCCTGCAGTATAAAAATCATAATAGTGTATTATGGTGAGCGTGGAAGAGGGAGAGAAAATGCACAGCAATTTTACCGAAAAAGAGATGTTGTGTTTATTGTTTCGGGGAATTTTCTCTAAAATATCTTTCCCTTCTCCAAAATATTTCAAATACAAAAACTGGAAAATGAAACTGATAATAAAACAAAGAGTAAATAACTTCAAGATGAGCAACTGTTAGATTTTTTATTTTTTAAAAAAGTCATCTTTTTATTTTTTAAAAAGGTCATCTATTTAGGGTCTCCCCTCAGGAAGATAACATGTTGGGAGGCATTAGAGGACAAAGGTGGACAAGACTCTGTTGGTTTTCTATGACCAAGGTTTGTTTTAAAAGATGAAAACATACAATAGTTTGAGTATCTGTCCTTTCATGGCCAAGCTTGTATAAAACCACGATGCACCCCAGCAGCTCTTCTGGAAACATGCTGGGCATCCCAGGAAACACTTCATATGGTAATCAATAAAGCTCCTGACTTTGGACTTCAAGAGGTGCCATTCAACGTATGTCATTAACATGTTCTTGTTGCTTTATGGGTGAACATCATTTTGTACCATTTGAAGCAGCATTCACCCGTGCCTATGTGCTGGTACTCAGCGTCCTTATCTGGCATGTATTCAGAGCAATCCTGATGATCTCAACTCACTGGCAACAGACATCAGTTAAAGCTAGGCCAGTGCCTAACTTCTCTTAAAACCTGGACAAACTGAAAAACTGAACCAGATTTCATTAATTACAAATTTATTGCTTATTCTTCCCAAAATGAGTTTTCCTGAACATAATGGAAATGGCCATTTCAACAAAACAAAGTGCTGAAAGGATAGCAGTTAATGTACATGCCACACACACATCTGTTTGAGGGTTACTGTCTTCATTCGCTTATGTATCAACTGGATTATACTGTAAGTCTAATAACGTTCACCAAAGAGACATTTATAAAAGGGAAAATAAAAATCAGGAACAACCAAAATTTCTAGCAGTGGAGGAACACTAAACAGAGTATGGAAGATTTGTAGTTTGGAAGACTATGCACTCATTAAAAGAAGAGACATGTCATGACACAAAAGATGTTCATGATAATTTTATATGAAACAGCAAGTTATAAAATAGTATGATCAAGTTTCTGTAAACACAAAAATATACATCTATAGAATAAAACAAAAGGGGTCAAAAGAATGCTGTTTCTGCAGAATGACAGAGATTTGTGTTTTATTTTGCATTTGTATTTCCAGAAATTTCTACAGTGAAACATAACTTCTGTAATAAGCACATGTTAAAGCAAATATGCCTCACCACAGGCTAAATGCTTTAACAAAAATTACGTAAAATTTGAAAACCACACGATAGGTTTCTAAGAACCAGCCAGGGGCTGGTCTATTTAGCACTTGATGCCTCTATAATTTTTGTCTTGGGTACGTGCATTTAAAAAGCGCCCCAATCTGGAGTGGGAGGTGGGGAGCTGCTGAGGCTCACATACTCTTTGGGCCGCGCTATCACTAGCAAATCTGGAGAAGATCCCTGACTGCAAGAAGCCCCATCATTATATTAGAGGGAAGTCAGAGACATTTTACCTTGGCTTTCCTGTAGGCAGATCATAGCACTTCAAGTTCTACCACAAAGATACAGCTATTCGATCCCCAGGAAATCCAAGTGGGGGCTCTGGTTTGCTGTTGGAACTCCTAGTCACTGACCCTGATTCCTTGTCTCAGGAGTAAAGCTGCCTCCGATTCTCATAGGGAACACGTCTCCTCAATTTGTATTCTAAGCCAGCTACTGCCTGCAGGCCCTGGTCAAATTAACTTGTCCCTCATGAAATAGCCTCACCCTGGGCATATCCTCCTGGTGGAACGCAATTTGTACAAGAAAAATGCAAATCTATTTATGCATCTCCAATTCAATAAAAACTGGAAGACTTACTATGGGTTAATTCAATTAAGAATTTTTCACTCTGGACAACGGTAAAGACTTGATATATAAAAGCTGCACAGTCTGGAACTGATAAAGCTTGCAATCTATCTTGTTGAGTAATCATGGAAAGGAGAATTTTGTTTACACCTAAGTTGAGAAACAAAGTTCCTAAAATGCACTTAAACAAATATTTAACCTAACCAAACATGTGTAAACTTTCTTACTATTTCAGCTTTCCAAAACACTGTACTACTAAAATTGGTTTTAAAAATAAAAGCATACTTAACTTGGGCTTTCTGTAGTATTATTTGACTGAAACTATGTAGAGTTTAAGGCAAAAATTCAACCCAGGTTTTGGCCAATATAACAACAATTAAACAGTATAAACCTTGGGGTGGGGGGAAATGAGGTAAAGGGGAGAGAAGAGGAAGACATTGAAGCTCATTAGCCTCAGCACTACAGAAATTATGAAGACACCTGATTTTATCAATGATTTACTGAGAATTCCTGAAAAGCCTAACAAAGTTATTACTCAGAAAATCATTTTGCTTGTCAATGTGGCAGTTTGCAAATGGAGAGAATGGGGTTAAAGTGACGACAAATCCATTTGGCCAGCAAGTGGCTCTGGAGCACTCACATCAGAAACTGCCGTGGGCACAGGCTCAGACCACGGCGGCCCAGGCCCCTAAGCAGCATGGTGGTCAGGAAGAGGGTCAGGGAATTTTTGTTGAAGTATTTAGCCTGCAGAGGCAGCAATGAGGAGAACTCAGTGGTTCACAGGTCCAGGCTTACCAGACCCGGGAGGCAGCTAGACGACTCCGGGGCACAACACACACTTTAGGAGCTGCAAGTGGATTCATAGGGTTGGGACCCAAGGTCCACATGGGAAGTGACCACTGAAGATATAGGTTGATCCAGATCAGGAAGGGCCTCGTGGCCCCTGCTAACAAATTTTAATTCTCCAAAGGCAGTAACTTTACCCAAACATCAAACACCTCCATTCTACCTTCAATTGCTCCCATAACTAAGTGCCACCTAACCTGTTTTTTAAAAAGAGGATTCAATATATTTGCAAAAGACCTATCTGATAAAGGACTGTTATCTAAAATATGCAAAGAACTCTTACAACTCAACAATGAGACAACAGCCTGATTAAAAAAGGGGCCAAAAACCTTAACAGGTACCTTAGCACAGAAGACACACAGATGGCAAGTGTGCATAGGAAAATATGTTCCATACCACATGTCCTCAGGGCATTGCAAAGTAAAATGACAATATGACACCATTACACACCTATCAGAATGGCCAAAACCCACAATGACAATAGCAAACGCTGGGAAAGACGTGAATTAACAGGAACTCTCATTTGTTAGTGATGGGAATGCAAAATGGTACGCCATTCTAAAAGACAGGCAGTTTCTTACAAAACTAAACATAGTCTTACCTTACGAAGCACACTGCTTGGTATTTACCCAAAGGAGTTGAAAAGGTGTATCCATACAAGAACCCGCACAGAGATGTTTATGGCAGTTTTATTCATATTTGCCAAAACTTGGAAGCAATCAAGATGACTCCTTCAAGCAAGTGCATGGATACATGTACTGGTACATTCAAATAATGGAATATTAGTCAGTGCTAAAAAGAAATGAGCCACAAAGACACGGAGGAATCTTAAATGCATATTACTGAGAGAGAGAAGCCAACCTGAGAAAGTTACATACCGTGTGATTCAGAATGTATGACATCTGGAAAAGGCAAAACTATGGAGACAGTGAAAACATGAGTGGTTACAACGGGTTGGAGGGGAGGGAGAAATGAACAGGCACAGCACAGGGAGGTGTTAGGGCCATGAAAGGACTCTGTGTCGTCCCATGATGGTGGACACATACATTATACATCCGTCCAAATCCACAGACTGTCCATAAAAGGACTGTTATCCAAAATACGCAAAGGGAAGGGCACAGGCAATCTCTCAAACTTGACGGTAGATACAGGAGTGAACCCTCATGTGAACTGTGGACTTGGGGCAATCATGATGTCACTGTAGGTTCATCAAGTGTAACAAGGGAACCACTCTGGGGGGTGGGATATGTTGATATGGGGGAGGCTGGGCCTGTGTGGGTGAGGGGAACACATAGGAATTCTACCTTCTACTCAATTTAACTGTGAGCCTAAAGCTCCTCTAAAAAATAAAGTCTAGTAAAAAAAAGAAGACTCATTGGACTTGCTTCTTAGTTCTACCTAGGGCCTACTTTGTTTGGCTTTGTTAAAATCAAATGATGAGCAAATGGAGGTGCCAGACACCCCAACAACAAGAGAGACTTTCTCCTGCACATAATCAACAGTAACATAATTGAAAGAAAAGAAGTTCCTCAACACATGATTCTGTGTTACTTAAGGCCCTTTTATCTTGAGTACTACTTTCAATCATCTTCCACTTTTTGGGGAAGACAACCCAGGGCAACTGGAATTTGGACAAGTATAAAAAAGCTATGTGACATAAGAAATCAGCTAACAACATGCCTTCAAATCAGTCAGACAAATACGGTGTCATCCTTAAATGTAAAATCATCTACAGTTTCTCCTTACTCAACCTACTCAATTTTTTCAAAGGATAAGGGATATTCCACAGAGTTCTTTGCCTTTCCCCTCCACCCCGACACCTTAGTGGTCCTCTTGGTTTCAGAGGCTCAGCAATTTCCCCTTCTTTACTTCTAGGCAGGATGAAACCAGGTTCATGACATTGGTCTTTTTTTCCAGTTTGAAATTAGTAGTAAAAATACAAAAGTAAAAAAAAGTTGGGGGGTGGGGGGAGAGGTTGCTAGAATATATGCAAACCAAACAATGGTTACTGCTTGGATGGGAACTGGGATGAGGGAGTTGAAGGAATTGTCAATGCTTGGATGGGAATTGGGATGAGGGAGTTGAAGGAACTGTCAATGCTTGGATGGGACTTGGGATGAGGGAGTTGAAGGAACTGTCAATGCTTGGGTGGGAAGTGGGATGAGGGAGTTGAAGGAACTGTCAATGCTTGGATGGGAATTGGGATGAGGGAGTTGAAGGAACTGTCAATGCTTGGATGGGAAGTGGGATGAGGGAGTTGAAGGAACTGTCAATGCTTGGATGGGAACTGGGATGAGGGAGTTGAAGGAACTGTCAATGCTTGGATGGGAATTGGGATTAGGGAGTTGAAGGAACTGTCAATGCTTGGATGGGAAGTGGGATGAGGGAGTTGAAGGAACTGTCAATGCTTGGATGGGAACTGGGATGAGGGAGTTGAAGGAACTGTCAATGCTTGGATGGGAATTGGGATGAGGGAGTTGAAGGAACTGTCAATGCTTGGATGGGAACTGGGATGAGGGAGTTGAAGGAACTGTCAATGCTTGGATGGGAACTGGGATGAGGGAGTTGAAGGAACTGTCAATGCTTGGATGGGAACTGGGATGAGGGAGTTGAAGGAACTGTCAATGCTTGGATGGGAACTGGGATGAGGGAGTTGAAGGAACTGTCAATGCTTGGATGGGAACTGGGATGAGGGAGTTGAAGGAACTGTCAATGCTTGGATGGGAACTGGGATGAGGGATTTGAAGGAACTGTCAATGTTTGGATGGGAACTGGGATGAGGGAGTTGAAGGAACTGTCAATGCTTGGATGGGAACTGGGATGAGGGAATTGAAGGAACTGTCAATGCTTGGATGGGAACTGGGATGAGGGAGTTGAAGGAACTGTCAATGCTTGGATGGGAATTGGGATGAGGGAGTTGAAGGAACTGTCAAGGAAGCATTTAGGTTTATTCAATGTGGTTTGAATTTCAATAAGAAAAAAATTTGTACAATTCTTTTATTTGACAAATGTGTGAGTGTCTGCTATGTGCCAAATAAATTTTAAAAGAATGAAGAAAAAAGGCATTATTTATAGATACCAGTACCAGGTACAAATGAAGTCAACTGCCAAACTTACATTAAAGTAAGTCTATCTCACCCTACAGCGAATTAAACAGCTAAGGAAGATACTTTTTTCCAAATACTATTCCAAATATTATTTAGTAAACACTGCAAGTCAGAATACAAATCAAGAACTTTGGCAGCCTTTTTTGACAATTACATTTTCAACCATGCATGAAGCACATCGAAGAGTAGGAAGTGTTAAGTCCTCACCAGATGGTTCTCCCCCATCAGTGGACTTTGAAATCCAGTTGTACAAACATCTTCTCTTCGAATGATACTTAAGAAAGCAAAACAGCAAGCCAGAAACTGGAAGGAAATATTCACAGTGCATGTCTACAACAAAAGATTTGTATCCAGAATACATAAACAACTTTTACAACTCAATAAAATACTTTTAAAATGTGCAAGAGATTTGAACAGACATTTCATAAAAGAAGATGTAAGAACGGCCAACATGTAAACAAAAAGATGCTCAGCAACATTACTTACCAGGGAAATGCAAACAATAACCAAAATAAGGTAAGATTACATACCCACAAGATGACTAAAATTAAAAAGGCATCATCAAATACTGGTGAGGATGTGGAGCAATGAAATCTCACGCATTGTAAAGAAAAAGGGAAAAGGGCATAAATACTTAGAAGACAGCTTGTTAGCTTTTCATGAAGTTGCAGACATGCTTCCCATATAAATCCAGCAATTCCTCATCTATGTATCCGCCAGAGAAATGAAAACATACATCCCCACACAAAATCCTCAACAGTGTTTTTCATGGTAGTCTACTATACTAGCCAAAGATTGGAAACATCCAAAACACCCACTGATTGATGATGAATAAACAAATGGTGAACTCATCACGCGGTCGAATACCACCCAGCAAACAACCCACTTACACAGATACACAGACTCTGCTTTAAAACACCAGGCAGACCAAAAGAAGCCAGACACAAGAGTGCATGCTACCCGGTTCTCCAGGTGAGATTCCAGAGGCAGGTCACTGCTGCATCTGGTCCCGGTGGGGAGGACTGCTTGCAAAGAGGCAAGATGGAACCTTTGTGGGAGGAAGGGTATAGGCATTCTCTAAAACTTGATGGTGGCAGTAGATCCAGAGGTATAGACATTTGTCCAAACTCATTACACTGTATTCATTTACTTTATGTAAATAAACTAGACCTCAGTACAGTTGATTTAAATCAGAAGCAATGGCATGTAAGTTGGGTCAGGGAGAATAGCATTAAAGTGTTTAAAGATTCTTGCGCTGTCCAGAAAGAAGGTACATGTACTACTCCCGCTCTCCACTTCACAGGGCCTGGGACCAAATGGGAAGGGTTGGCCTCCGATGGAAGGTGAGAGCGAGCAAATCATGAGGCCAGATGCAGCCCCCAGGCCCCAGACCAAGGGCAAAGTGCCCGCTTGTGCTAAGGTACCTCAGGCCCTGCCACAGCTGAGGCCACAGGGCCACACCAAAGGGCTCCTTTCGTGCCTCCAGATCACACCCTGGCATTGCATTTATGCCACATGGGTGGGGACATGGCCAGGATGGACTGGACCTACTCCTCCAGGCACCCATGAAGAAAACCACCCAATGCCAGCAGAGCATCTGGTGTTCAGATACAGCCGGAAGCTGAGATTTAGAATCCAGGTTTCTCAAAAGCCGGGTTGCTTTTTCGCCTGTCTGGACGGCCCCACCTCTCTGCCTGGTGTAACTTACTTCCCAGGGGAGATTTCTAACATATCCACGTCCAGGTCTCCAGCTGAGATTGTTCCGTGAACTGCGTGCGCACCGACATTAGGGGTTGCTAGAGCTCCCTGGTGACCGCCATGTGCACCCAAGGATCAAGGACCACTGTTGGGGCAGAGCCCTTCAACTTTAACATGCCCAGGAAATACTAGGGGCTGTTTTTCTGAATTATGGGCGGCACTAGTTATTCACCTATCCGTTCAATAAATATCTGAGAACCTGCTATACACTGGGGATCATCGAAACTGGGAAGACAAAAGTGAACAAAACACTCAAGAATCCTGGCCCTCATGGGCTCAGCATCTAGCGGGAGATGAGTAAGAGAAAAGGTAAGCTGGGCACTACACTAGCTAATGATACCAGTGAAGCTGGGGAGGAGAGGCGAAGGGTAGGTGTCTAGGCTGCACGCTCACAGGGGGTGGTCACAGAGGGCTTCCCTGTGCTGGTGCCATTTCAGCCCAGACCTGAAGGAACACACGGGAACTTGGGCTCCGAGCACAGCAGGCAGAGGAAACCAGGCAGAGGCCCTAAGGCAGGAGGAGAACCGAGTCTCCTGTGAGCAGCTGGGATGACACAACATGGGAACCTGGCAACGACTCTGTGTTCCTGAGATGGGGATCCATAGTGGGACTGTAAGCAGATGTGTGACTTCATCACTGTGACTACTTTGCTGAAAATGGACCAAAGTCGGGGCAAAGGCAAGAGCAGAGACATGGGTTAGGAAGGCTAGGCTGACAGGATTAGTGGACAGGTACTCGTATTTTGAAAGTGAAGCTGATAAACTTCACTGAGGAATCTGAGGTGTGATGTAAGAGATGACTCCAGGATGGCTCCCAGGTTTCTGGCCTGAATGAACATTTGGAAGGATGAAGTCCTGATTTACGGAGCTGGAACAGGGCTTCAAGAAATCACAGTTTAACTTTGAGCATACTGAAACACCAGTTCAACCAGAGGTTGTCAAATGCGGTCTGGAGGCCCCTGGAAATCTCAGACTCCTTTGGAGTTCTGCGAAATCAAAATTATCTGTATGATACTGAGAGGTCACTTTTCCTTTGCACTCTAACGCGCCCTCAGGCATATACAGTGTTTTCCAGAGGCTACACGTCATGTGCTGACAGTATCATTCTGACAATGGAATATGGGCACGCATATTTTTAGATGTTTTAATTTTTAATATGGTAATTATCAACAGATATAATTCACATAAACAAAATCTCTGTGTCCTCAGTAATTGAAGAGTGTCAGGCAGTTCCGAGACCAAGAAGTCTGAGCAGCATTGTGTTGGACAGCCTAAGGGAGACGTCTAGGAGACAGCTGATGATGTGAGTGTGGAGTTCAGGGAGGAAACTGGGCCTGGAGATGTGGTCTGGGAAGCATCTTCATACAAATGAGTCATGGGTGAAATCACCAACAGAGGAAGAGCAGAAAGAAAGGGGATCCTGGCAGAGTCTGAAGGCACATTTAGGCCTTAGAGACAAGAACCAGCAAGAGACTGAGAAGGAACAGTCAGGTGTGGGGAGCCAAGAGAGCATGGCATCGTGGAAGCCAGGCAGAGCATGTTTCCAGGAGAAAGGGGACACCATGCCAGGCGTGCAGCAGGTCTGGCTGGAGGATGGCCAGGAATTGAACAGCTGGCACTGGATTCAAGAGAGGATGGGGAGGAAAGAAGTCCAGACAACACAGGAGTTTTGAGGGAAAGAGAGAAATGGAACAGTAGTTAAGGGTCAATGGGGCCCAAAAGGCTTTTATTTTTTAACATAAAAAAAAAATGACACCAGTTTTGCAAGCTGTTGGGAATGAATAGGAAAAGAAAAATACTAAAGCAGGGAAACAAGGAGAGACGAGATTCCAAAACAACATCCTCCAAAAATGAATGTCTTGTGCCCAAGCAGGTGGGGTGTGCTCTGGCCGAGTGCACAGACCGTGCGTGCCGCCACAACACCGGGCTGCAGAGCAAACGCGGTTCAGGTGGGAGCTTGTGAAGCTCTGCCTGGATTTTTAGCAAAATAGACAGTAGTTGAGAATGCGGATGGAGGTGGTGGTGGTGGTGGTGTAAGGAGACAAGGTATGAAAAACATCAGAGAGCTGTGGAGCCAATGGCTAGACATACATGTATTGACAGCATTAAATACCTGCTTGTGATCATGAATTGAAATACAACAATTACACAGGGTTGCGTGCTTTTCTCCAGCCGTGTTTATTTGCAAAGGAACAGGCAAGTAGGCAAAAAGCTGGACTTCACCGGTGTGTTTTAGCCAAGAATTAGAAGGAAAGCACCACAGGACAATGTGAGCAAGCCAGGAGCTACCATCTGCAAGGAGGAATCGGAGCTCGGGGAGCATAAAGTGGCAAAGGGAGGGGGAGCGGCTGACATGATCTGATCAAAGTAGATTCAAAGCCGAGTGGTTTCTTTTTTGCGGGGGTCGGGGTGTCTGGAAATATCAGTGAGGAGCAAGAGGGACACCTACCTCACCCTCCAGACCTTGGCAGACGAGAAGTGTAGGAGAGACAACAGCAGCACTGTGAGTGACCCGGGAGAAAGCCGAGTTTGTTAAAGGGAGATGTAAAGAAACCGCCCCTAAGAGGCTGTTGAGAATGAGCTCCAGAGGACACAGGAAAAGTTGAGGAGCAGGGGATGGTGTCAAAAAAGAGACTGCAAAGAGCTCCTCAGAGATGAGCCTGAAATACGAGGGATCACCTGGAGCTTTGGGCTTGTGGGAAGAGCCCAGGGATGGGGCATGCCACTGGTCGTGGGGTTCCCAGGCATGAGAGTGGGAAGGCTGCGATGGACGAGGGCAGAGCGCTGGACTCCGCAGTGCAGAGTTCTAGGTGCCCACTTGAGTTCTGGCAGCACAGGGTGCTTGAAGGGCAGCTTAACTCAGAGTGTAGAGGCCATGGAGCCTCCTTTGAATGGTGGCCTAGAGAGAAGAGTCATCTTACTCCAAGTGCAGGGACTCCCTCCTGACTACTCTTGAAAATTTTACAGTTTCTCTATTGTACACAATGGATTTTTAAAATCATTGGGTAGTAATAATGAAGGTAAAGAAAATTAAACCTAGCTTTTGAAATCTTGTATCTGAATGACAATACCAATTACACAAACTTTAAGCTTTTACTTAGAAATGTACGAAATATCTGAAGACTCGTATCATAGTATCAGAATGAAACTGCTGTTGAAAATACTTTCTATTTGACTCTGAGGAGAGAGCCAGAGCCGTCACTGTGTGTAAGCAGCAGGTTCAGGAGATTACTCCAAAAAACTCCTGTAGGACTTAGGGAATGCGTGTAAAATTGCTAAATAGAATGCTTCAATGAGTGTCACATTTTTGAATTTTGAAGGAAAATGTACCCAGAAAAGAGTGGACAGACTTCCTACAGGCATGCACTTTTGGGGAACCACCCACCAAATCCCTGGGGTTCCTTCAGGAACCACCAGGTAGACTGGTCAGACGAAGCTTTGGGAAGGGACAGCCTGAGGTCAGTGTGTTTAACACTAAAGCTTTTGGACATCCCACTCAGATACGCACATCCCACGTGAAAGGAGAAATTGGGATTTCACGGAGTCTTTGCTTTGTTCTTTGTGAGTGCGGCAGTGAATTCTCTGACAGTGCTCCGTGTACTCGGTGTGGCTCAGACATCAACCTAGTCTCTGTCGCCGCATGCAACAGGTTTGTCTGATGAAAACCACAGCAGAGGCATAACCAAGACGATGTTAAGGAGACCCCTTTCAACTAGCATTTGCCAAAAGTCCCTGGCAAATCACCTGGGACTTGTTTAATAGACTGTTCACCTGGCCTCTCCCCTGAGAGTCCCGATTCCTAGGTACAGTTTGGAACCCAGTCTGTGTTATCACAAACCCAACCAGGTGATGTCTAACAGATTAGTAAATTTGGGAAGTGTTACCTAGGATGATGACAAAACCAAGCAATACCCTTTTTTGGCTTAAAATAACTTCAGCCAGTTTTCTGTCCCTTTCAACTAAGTCTTTCTTGATATAGTGGGGTCTCTGGACACCTGCAACTTTTCCACAATTATCACATTTACCAATTTTTCACGGTTCTAAAGACATTAAATTCAACTTTCACTTTGAGGCAGAGCTGAGACCTGCTAAGAATGAGCTTTTCATGACTTAACTAACTGACTAGCCACCAAAATCCATAAATAAATTAATATTTTCCAGTCGTATGATTAGACTTCCTTATATTCCTTAATGCTAGGACAACCTTAAGCAACTTCTACCATTGAAATGTTTGTCTCTGGCCTCCTTTTGAAGGTCACACTGTTCTGTGTTTCTTGTCTTCTCATGCTTAGAAATCGAACAGGTTAAGGAACCTGGGCTGCTTGCCCAGAACAATGTTAACAACAATTATTAGCTCTAAGAACTAAAAGGAAAATAAAATGGTTTTCATTCATAATATGTTAATGAGGCTAAATTCAGAATGAGACCGTGTGCCACAAAGGTAAGACAAATGACTTGAGTGATCTGCGTTAGTTTAAATTACAGTTCCAGGGACTTGTGTATTGTCATTAAAGCTTACACTCATCACATTTGTAAGCAATGTTTAAAGGTGTTCCCGGGATTTACAATAATTCATTAATTTTAAGCCTTCTCTTTGCAAACGTTCCTGAGAATTCCTATAAATATGTAGATATAAAAAACTACAATTACCAACTTCACAACACCACAGACTTCTTAGTCTGTGCTTCCTTATAAGCTGTGGATACCCGTTCTTATACTACAAATATTGGAGGTGGCAGCATTTCCTTAAAAAATTTTACTCTGACATTAGAGTTCGTAAGAGACACTAATTGAGCTTTTTTTTTTTTTTTTTTTTTTTTTTTTTTTTTTTTTTTTTTGAGACGGAGTCTCACTCTGTTGCCCAGGCTGGAGTGCAGTGGCGTGATCTCTGCTCACTGCAACCTCCGCCTCTCAGGTTCAAGTGATTCTCCTGCCTCAGCCTCCTGGCACCACATCTGGCTAATTTTGTATTTTTAGTAGAGATGGGGTTTCACCATGTTGGTCAGGCTAATTTAGCTTTTATGAATGGAATTGTATGCACTTTTAAAAATTAAATGAAAAGAAAACGCACATACTTTCAGTAAAACAAGAATTACAGTTATTCAAATAAGGTGACAATCACATCAATTTTATTTTATAACAAATAGAATCATGTCCCAGTTCCAAAACAAAATAAATAGTAATGTTAATATAGAGATTTACTCATGGCCTTTTTTGTTAAAGAGTCTTAAAATGTTTCTTTGGACAATTTAAAAATTTTCAATGTTTTTTTTACTCCCATACAACCTAGCCCCCCTGCCAAATAAAAATCAAGCATATTTTCTCCTGTATCTTGTGTATAGGTTATATAATAGTACCTTTTATCTTTAAGATATGAGCTGAAACCCCACCTATGGTTGTAGTGAGCATCCTACTTTACGCCTCTTATCTCCTTTAAATTCAAAACAGGTATCTCAAAAATAAAGTTAATATAGGTTTATAAGTAGGACTTGCTCACTCCTGAAAGTACGTTTAAGTAAATCTCCAAACACATTTCAAATACTCTCAGAGAGTCTGTTTTATACTACCAAGTATCTTATCCACATTTCTTCAAAATAAACAAAAAAATGCTCACAAAATATCTATGAGAAACAAGAAGATAAAATATAAAATCTTAATTTTTACGTATAAAATAAGGAAGCCGGTGAATAGCAATGCTAGAAATAAAATGCTAGATCTCCTAATCCCCTTCCCAAGTTTCATCCAGAAAGATAACAGTTAAAAAAAAAGTAAATAAAAGCTTAAAAAAATCCCAAAGTCATTTCAAAAAGAAAAGCGGCTGCATCGTCTTCTGCAGGTTAGAGGTAGTAAAGGCGGTTTGACAGTGACAGATTTGGCTCTCTGTGAATACTCTGGCCAACAAGAAAAGCCAGCTTGTGGGCGTACTGGCAAGGAGCAGGAACACGAATGACACCCTTTAGTGGAAGGAAAAAAAGGTTCTATTACTCTAGACTTAGCCTCTTTCAATTGCAAATCTCAGTATTAACCCTAAAAGCCTTTTAAACCACAGCTATTTCATTTTGAAAAGTGAATGTCCTTTATTTGCTAAACATCAACAAGTAGAAGCACTTACTGGCCAGTTGTAATAGATGTGGCACAGCTTGTAGGTCAAGCGCTGTATGTGGTCTGGCTTCAGGCCGCTGTTGTCATAGATGACATTGTAATGTGTGGGAGAAACACTACCACTTCTCACAGCCTGGCTCACGATAAAAAAGTCATACCTGGAATTACAGAAAACACACGGATGTGCTGAAAACTAAAATTAGGGTGATTCCAGTTTCTTACAGTGAAAAGCTCTGTACCACTCTTCACTGTAAGTTACTACAGTAACCTCATCTCTTCTCACGCTGTAACGTGCTTCCTTGAAGTCCAGGAGCCTGTTATTCATGAACCATTTGGGACTGCTTATGTGTGAAAGATGTTTATCATAAAGATGATGATTTTGATTTTAAATATCTGTCATGATGCCTCCCAGCAGAACCAAGCATTTGTTACGGGCGCTAAAAACGATGGCATACTTGGCCAGTTCCTGTTTTCCACCCCGACCCCCGAACCATGTGACTGAGCCTTCAGACTCTGGAAGCACGACCTGTGGGGGCAGCGAGTGGGTCGAGCTTCAGGGACTGTTACTCCCCAAACATGCTTTTACCACGGAATCTTTTCCCCTCTTGCTGTTCCCATTGTTATTTAACAAAAGTAGAATTCATTTTAATCCCCAGGAATTTAATGCAAATCTTTAAGTGGAAGGGAACATGAAAGAATATAAACTAGTATGGGACCAAATGGAAGAACAAAAACCAAGTATAGCCATCCATTGGGAATTGGTTCCAGGACCTCCTGAGGATACCAAAATCCTCGGATGCCCAGGTCCCTAATATAAAATGATGTTGTCTTTCTATAACCTCCCATATACTTGAAAGTATCATCTTTAGATTATAATACCTAATACAATGCAAATGCTATGTAAATAGTTGTTTTACTGTATTGTTTAAGGAATAATGACAAGAAAAAGTCTGCACATGCTTAGTACAGACTTTTTTCCAAGTATTTTTGATCCGAGGTTGGTTGAATCTATGGTTGCAGGACCTACAGATAAAGAGAGCCGCCTGTAGTACAAATATGAAGGAATACGCATTAGTTTTTTTTTTTTTTCATTTTCTTGGTACCAATAAAATATCAATCCAGAGATATTGTAATTTGACCCAATAAAGATTTAAGGAAATTAACCCTGCGATTTATTATGCCCATCAAAACTAGTAAAATTAGGAAAGCAGAACTGATCTACAACAGATGGTATAGCTACCTTTTCAAAGAATGAGGAGTTAAGAAATGTTAAATGACTTGTTCAGAAAGAACAGCGAAATCATGCCAGGGCTGGAATCCAAGCCCGGCTTCCCAGCTTAGGCACAAACCATTTGCAGTGCTGGTGATTACAGATGACTTTGGTGCTCATTAAGAGCGGGCTTCTCAGTTGCAACAAAAGCAAAAATTGACAAATGGGATCTAATTAAACTAAAGAATTTCTGCACAGCAAGAGAAACTATCATCAGAGTGAACAGACAACCTGCAGAATGGGAGAAAATTTTTGCAATCTACCCATCTTACAAAAGTCTAATATCCAGAATCTACAAGGAACTTAAGCAAATTTACAAGAAAAAAAAACATTAAAAAGTGGGCAAAGGGCAAGAACAGACACTTCTCAAAAGAAGAAATTTATGTGTCCAGGAAACATACATGAAAAAGCTCAACATCACTGATCATTAGAGAAATGCAAATCAAAACCACAATGAAATACCATCTCACACCAGTCAGAATAGCTATTATTAAAAAGTCAAGAAACAACAGATGGCAAGGCTGAGAGAAATAGGAACACTTTTACACTGTTGGTGGGAATGTAAATTAGTTCAACCATTGTGGAAGACAGTGTGGTGATTCCTCAAAGATCTAGAACCCGAAATACCATTTGACCCAGCAATCCCATTACTGGGTATATACCCAAATAAATATAAATAATTCTGCTATAAAGATACATGCACATGTATGTTCATGCAGCACTATTCACAATAGCAAAGACATGGAATCAACTCAAATGCCCATTGATGAGAGACCAGATAAAGAAAATGTGGTATATATACACCATGGAATACTATGCAGCCATATAAAGGAACAAGATCATGCTCTTTGCAGGGACATGGATGAAGCTGGAAGCCGTTATCCTCAGCAAACTAATGCAGGAACAGAAAACTTAACACCGCATGTTCTCACTTATAAGCAGAAGTTGAACAATGAGAACACATGAACATGGAGGAGAATGACACACACACTGGGGCCTGTTGGGGGGTAAGGAGGAGGAAGAGCATCAGGATAAATAGCTAATGCATGAGCTAATGCATGTGGGGCTTAATACCTAGGTGATGGGTTGATAAGTGCAGTAAACCACCATGGCACGATGTAACAAACCTGTACGTCCTGCACGTGTGTCTCGGAACTTAAAATGAAACTAAAAAAAAAAAAAGAGTGGGCTTCTCCAGGTGTCCGAATAGCATCAGCAGTTGCTACATTTTAATAATATCTAGTGAAAACTCATGACGTTTTTTATACTTCATAATTCAACTGGGATTTTACCCAATTTGTTTAAGTTACTGTCTTCAGGCCAATGTCACATCTGGGCTTTGGCGTTAGGAGTAGTAGCAATGTTGGAAAGCATCGGGGGTCGTTTTGAATACGGTGAAAGAGAATCCTGCAGAAATGAATTTGCTATGTTAACATCTTAGCCTTCTTTTGTCTTTCTAGCCAATTTTTCCCCAATAGGCTAGAATCCTTCTAACCTATTAGAACCTTGTAACCTAAGCCAATGCCATAACCTAACCTAAGCCAATGCCATAACATCTGTCTGAGAAAAAGACAGAAATCCAAGATAATGTATTTCAAAATAAAAATTTCTCTCCACTGTCAGATAACAGAGCAGACTAGATAAGACTAAACTCTGTATGCTATTATCATTTTCCACCTAAAGTCGCTATAGTATTGCCTCATTTACCCAAGATTCACACAGGAGAAGTGTTCCACATGTCAACTTTGCACACAGGCCGAGACTTTATCCTCTTAAAGTCGCCTTCTTCACAAAGGTTCCAAAGCACCTACATAGAAAAACAGAAGTCCTCCCAACGATTCGCTGTCCTGAGTACAGTGTCAACTTAGAATGACTGATGGGTTGCCATCACGAACATGCTCACTGCATTAACAACACCTCACACAAAAGGGTTTTTGAGGAACTCACTAAAAATGGAACAAGTTTCGGCTGGGCGTGGTGGCTCATGCCTGTAATCCCAGCACTTTAGGAGGCTGACGCGAGCGGATCACTTGAGGCCAGGAGTTTGAGACCAGCCTGGCCATCGTGGTGAAACCTCGTCTCTACTAAAAACACAAAAATTAGCTCGGCATGGTGGTGCATGCCTGTAATTCCGGCTATTCAGGAGGCTACGGCATGAGAATTCCTTGAACGCAGGAGGCAGAGGTTACAGCGAGCCGAGATTATGCTACTGCACTCCAGCCTGGGGAACACAGTGACTCTGTCCCAAAAAAGGAGCCAAGTTTCCTGACTTTCTCACGGAATCCTCCCGTGCTACTAAGGCCATTTCCCTGTGCCTGCCGGTGCCCGCTGTAAGCTCCGGCTGGCATTCTGCTTTTCTTGCGGTCGGTGAGTGCAGCTCGGCTCAGAAGCCACTTTACTCATAAGCACCTCTGTCTCAGATAAAACTTCTTGACCTTTAGACAACTAAGTGTATTACAAATCTAAACACTTTTTACTAGAAAACAATCTGTGGATAGGTTATGTACGTAAAAAATATAAAAGCAATCTACAGAAGCAATGCTTAATCTCCCTATGTGTAGTTAATACCACAGAAAATAATCCTCTTTCCCCCAATGAAAAACTGTACTTGGAAACCTCTGTTCAGACACCAGGAAACCATGGGCTTTATTAATTATGTTTGACCAAATTAGTTGAAAAAATTAATGTTTATAAAAAATATAAGAACAAAAGTAAAATGTATTAAAATTGGTAAAGCATAGGGGCCATGCTAAAGAAACCACCACCAAGGAGAAAACAACCTTCAGCTCATCACATGGAACTTACCATTCTGGTCTGGTAACCTCTACATCAATAACTGTTCCAGGAAGTGGATTCTGAAGTCTTCCTCCAGACTGAGCAAAAAATCTGGTGTTCACTCTTTTCTTCACCACAATTACCGTTAGTCTAGGGCTTAAAAATGATGATGAATGTAACTGCATTTAGCCAGTCATATTTTCAGGGCACTCATTCATTCAGGTGTTCACATGCTCCATTTAAAAAGGAACACATCCCTCCTGGGGCGTATCATCTGTCCAGGTTGTGGAGAAGGATCAGGATCTTACTCTTGACAGGAGTAAAGACCACGGATAAACGGTGAGAGGGAAACCAAATGGCACATATGTCCTGTGACACACGGTCATGTAGATGGTTTATCCATAGACCAAACACATTACATACCAATCACACCAAAATGTTAAATCCAGCATGTCTTCAAAATTCACAATTTATAACAGTCTTCAGTGGGCATTTTCTACTGTGTAGAAAATATAATATTAACTCTAAAATCTTTGACAGGTAAGTGGATTTAAGTAGTGCTTTTCAAAATTACCGTTTCACTATATATCGGGGATACACACAGACACACACTCATACATACATACTACATATTCATATACCTTTTTCAGGAGGAGTAACTTCATTTTCATACTCGTGTTTCACCGGAGTCTCAAATGACGTTTTCCGCAGACCCCAGGACGGCCCCACACTCCTTGGCCTACCACACGCCAGATGCACCCATACTAGAGGCTGCCCTTTTTAGCCACCCATCCCCACCTGGATTCTTCAGGCGGCTCTCCTGTGTCAAGGTTCATCAGGCTTCTTGGCCTGGACACAGCCGTGCACTATCAGCTGTCCGTCCCGGCAGATCCCTGGCCCTTCTGCCCTCCCTCTGACCCTGCGGAGAGCAGCCCTGCACTTGCACTGCCTGGTCTGCTTGAGTACCTTTCACATCCTTTTCCACCCCCTCCTCCAGGCTCACTTCAAATCCTTCTGAAGCAGCCACACTTGTACACACACAATCCACGTAGTTAATCCATGAATTAGAACAGGTAGCAATTAGAACAGCACTGCCAGGTAGTAAGCACTAGATAAACATGATTATTAGCACCTCCATCTCCAACTACAACATTAGTTCCTTAAGAGGACAGATACACTTGATTTCCAATGCTGGGAAGCAGAGGGTTTTATACAGTATGGACCTAGTAATGTCTGACTCGGCAATGTTGCTGATGTTTTTCACTGAAAATTGAATAGGGCAAGAAACTCAGTGAGAGTACTTGAGTAAGCAGAGGACATCTTCAGAAATGTCCCTATCTGCCTACGCAGACTACTGCTGCCCAGCGACTGCCCGTGCTAATAGCTCTGAATATAACAAAGCCACAATGAACGTGTTGAAAATGTGTGCAGCCCTCTGTTTCAAATGCCTCTGCCACTTACAGAGATTAAGTTCAGCATAGGGCCTTGTTAGAAAGTGATGACTATCTAGGACTTCATGACAGCATCTAAAACAAGTATCAGTCTTAGGAACGGAAGGACATAAGGTGGATAAAGTTAATCCTATAACATCACGAGAAACAATTTAGCAAATATAGTAACAAAAACAGGTCACAAATATGCTGGCATGACTTTCTGATTTGTTCTTGCATCAAACAGTCTAAATCAGCTGCCCTGTGATACGTTGCTATAAAAGCTTAAAAGCAACATTTCAATTTGAAAGCAAACATTGTGGTTCTAATGATAACTATTAGACAAACATTGAAGTCCAAACTTTGCATTTTCTAAAAGTGAAGAATAATTTTCAGATATTTTACCTTTATGTACAACTTGAAGGTTTTTCCCAGAACTATCTACCATGTATTGAATACTTACTGGATACTGTGTGAAGTCCATTACGTATATTTTCATTTACGCCTTGCAATGCCTCAGTTAACTGTTCCCTTCTTCTACAAACGAAGCTAAAGCTGGGATTAACCAAACTCTGATTTTAAGACATATTGCTTTTTACCACTGATCCCTACTGCCACAGTTCACAGTGTGCAGTCTACTTCACGCAACAGTGCACTAAGTGTCAGCCCAAGCAGTCGACTTAGGTTCTCCTTCCCTGCAACGCTGTGTTCCCACTCGCTGATGGAGCTGGGTAGGCGCACCCACCAGCTGCACCAGGGTCCACTCTGCACACTCAGGACGACTGTGCACAGGTACTCATTCACTAGGGTGGCAACCTCCTTTTCAAGAGCCATTTCTGCCAGTCCTTCTGGGAATCAAACCCAAAGGACCCTAAGAAACAGAGATGACCCAGCAAGGCCAGGAGTGTGTACTCCTAGTAGCCCTACAATTCAGCTCAAGGGAATGTGACGAACTTGCACTATGACCTCTATTCATCATTTCTTGACAATTTCCTTCACTTCAGGTATGAGGAAATGACAATAAAGACTAGAAAACACTGTGTGCTCAAGTAGTAAATCGCAGGAAAAAAAGAGTAGGAAAGAAGCAGTCCAAGTCAGAGCCTCCTTTACTGCCTGCTGCACACACCACACCACACCTCCCCACACAGACAGAAAGGCCAAGTCAGAGAACAACATACAATAAGGCTTCTAAAGCCTGAAAACAAAGTATCATTATTTGACAAAATATAAGCATTAAGAGTCTTAAGGGAATAGGAAAGAACATTAACTTTCATTTCCAAAATATTAAAAAATGCGTGGTCTTTTAATCTGAAACACAACTATTTCAAAAAAGATAAAAACACTCCTGACTTTCTCTGAGACCTTCACGGCATCACATGTCATTTTAAGAAACGTCTGGGATAAACACTTATTGTGTGGGGCCTTTTAGCATTGGCCAAAGATGACTCAGAAGCCCGTTAGTAGAAATAAGGAATGACCTCTTGGTGCTTGTCCTTTTCCTACGCACCAGATAAAATCAAGCCCCAGATGTGGCCAGTGGCTTTCAGAATCCCTCCTTTCTATAATGATACAAAATGCTAAAATACAAGAATAATGGGTGTGTAATATGTATGTGCAAGCACACGAAACAGGATCCAAGATCTTCCAAATATCCTGAAAAGTTCAATCTTTAAATCTGTAATGTATTATGCACTTAGCCCTTAATACAACAGTCCCTGATTTCAAATCACTCACAGATCTGATAAAGAGGACTAGTTAACGTAACTGATTAGAATGGCTCTCTTGCGATGGTACACATTTTATTGACTCATAATGGCACTGACGGAAATGTCTGTAGGAGAGCAGAGGAAGACAAAAACCAATATGGGTTTCAAAGGAAAACAAGTGCAGCATCTGGATACCATCCTCGGCTGTCCACATTCCTTAAAAGGACAAAGTAGAGGCTGGGAGTTGTGGCTCATGCCTGTCATCCCAGCACTTTAGGAGGCCAAGATGGGTGGATCACCTGAGGATGGGAGTTTGAGACCAGCTTGGCAAACGTGGTGAAACCCCGTCTCTACTAAAAATACATAAATTAGCCAGGTGTGGTGGTGCACGCCTGTAATCCCAGCTACTCAGGAGGCTGGGGCAGGAGAATCACTTGAACCTGGGAGGCGGAGGTTGCAGTGAGCCGAGATTGTGCCACTGCACTGCAGCCTGGGCAACAGAGCGAGACTCCATCTCAAAAAAAAAAAAAAAAAAAAAAAGGGAGAAAGTAGAACTACCCCTGCCCCATGAGACTAGATGCTCGCCAAATCACCTTACTGATCAAACACTAGTCAAGTCCACAAGGAAATGAAACAAGTATTCAGTAAGCTAAGACTGTCAGGAACACTTATTTCAATAATGAATCCTGTGGACGCCTTTGGATGTACAGAATTATCAGATACTTGCACTCCAAGGCCTTAGGTAAGAAAGAAAGCTGATCAATGATTGGTAATGGTGTCTTACTGTCCCATTCTGTGAAGGAATGACCCTCTATACTACCCCTCAACACAGCCTTCTTGTGAAAAATTTCCAATAGAAACTTCCCTCTGCCCTTCCCATCACCTCAAAGGCCCTACAGTCCCTATCAAGTTAGGTTCTCCCTCATCCTTTCATCTTGTGATGCTAATTTCAAAGATACAAAGGTGCAGTTTTATAAAAAGAAAATGCTTTACAATTTGCATGCTTACTTGTAACCTCTACCAATGGATTTTAGACAATCCAAAAACTGTGGCACTTCGTAGTTCACCAGTGTTTTCAGCTGGCCGTCTCCTACGCCATCGCGGTACACGATGATCCGGCTGGGCATGTACTCATTGCAGCTATTCCAAGCCCTCAGAGCCGCTGAAACAGGCCAGAGAAGTTTTATGTCAATTCATGCCTACGACACAACTCGTCTGTTCTTCCCAAAGTCTGGGCCCATCAATAACACAGTTCAGGGTAATTTCTGGAAGACCCCAGTTTAGAGAGTAGAATGGCAACCCCACAGGTGACTAACCTTGCAGGCAGACTTTGAGCCCATCTACCAGCTCCTGTCCTCTATCCTGAAATATGCAGCGTGAGAACCAGCTATTCAGAGAAAAACACAGCTAGAATAAGAATGCAATTGTCTATCAATTTTTCCTTTCTGAATTATTCTATATTTATTTCACTCTTAGCAATCTGTCATCTTTGTAACTGCCTTAAAGACATCTGTTAACATCTCCAAATACTTTATAAAAACCTTACACAGAAGGAGCAGGATACAAGAGATCCCGTATCAGCATCACAAACTGTGTCTGTTTTCATTACAAATCAGTACCATGATTCCAGCTGCTGGGGAGAAAACAGAATTTAGCTATAATACCCAGAGGCGCTGTCCAGGTTTATTACACCTAAATACGCACAGAAGCACACTCATGGCTGTGCTCTTGAGAAACTATTCATTGTAAGTTTCACTCTTCTAAAAGATGAAAGACCTTCAGCTCCATCCGTTACCTCTAGCAAACTAATGCAGGAACAGAAAACCAAATACCACCTGTTTTCACTTATAAGCGGCAGCTAAATGATGAGAACTCATGGACGCAAAGAAGACAACAGACACCAGGGCCTACTTGGGGGTGGAAGGTGGGAGGAGGGAGAAGAGCAGAAAAAATAACTACTGGGTACTAGGCTTAGTACCTGAGTGATGAAATAATCTGAACCACAAACCCCATGACACGAGTTTACCTATGTAACAAACCTGCACATGCACTCCTGAAACTAAAAGTTAAAAATGATAAGACCTTGAAATATATCCATTACTAATGTCAACAACTAACATGCCTTCAGTTTTCATATATTACTATTCTTGGCAATTCCCTTAGTTCCAAGAAAAGCACTGAAAAATAATGCTATTATGTTGAAATACAAGTGACTGGGTAAACTGAAGTGGTTTTTCTACATCAAAATGTGAAACTACATTTCAGTGGCCAGTAAATATTATTAAACAAATACATTTTTAGAGAGAGTCACATTTAACAAGATGTACTCGCCAATACATATGATTAAAAAAAATCTGAAATGCAGTTTGACGAATACAGGATGAAAGTCATTCAAGAGCTAGGGTAGGTCATTATTTTTCTTTCCTAAATTCGTTGCTGTATATGATTGAGAAACTGGAAGGATAACAACGAAGAATGAACACTACTCCTGAACCTCCAGAACCCTGCTTTATGTCCTCACTGCCACCCACAGTAGCCCAGTCTCACTCACCGGGTCATCCCTTCATTGATGCTGGCAACAAATCCTGCGATTGACCTCCGCCCAGCTGTCATGTCATGGTAACAATCGATGCCAACGATCATCACGAGCTTCAGCTTCAATACAAATATGGTAATTTTAGATACAATGGAGTACCAGCAACATTTAAAAAGTAAATCCATGTTCTTAAATACCAATTTTAAAACGGCATCTACCAATTAAATCAAACTCACGGGGATGTCCACCCTCCAGAGCTCTCCTCCCATCTTGCAGTTCATCTGTAGGGCAATCTTTGTAGCAATGGCCATGACAGTTTGCTGTTTGCCTAAGGTTCGGGCCACCACACACTGACTTGGGGTAGGGCAATCTGTACACAGGTATTTTTTAATAGCATCGTATTTGTCCTTCCGATTACTTGACAACAGACAGACAACCTGAAAACAAAGTGCCCTTGTTACAAAGAATTAGGAGACAGATGATTAAGAGCAAGGGAGAGGACAGGAAACTAAACTCACCTGTGAAGTATCAATGTCAAGAACATGATCATTTATTTTACTATTCATTTCAGCCACACAGCTAATCAGTAGGACATTAACAAATACTGCTCATCATGTTCAACTAAATGATAATTGCACGTGAAGGAAATAAATCATGTTAAGCAAACTATGAGTCAAAACTGAATACTGTTTAAACTTGAGAACTTAAATATGCTCTATGTAACCAGCACAGAAAAATTTAGTGACAAGTGACAGGTAGACAGATTAAAGATTTCCCACAGTCTTAATTTACTCATGATTCATCTACAATTGTAACTTGTAAGCTTTAAAGCTCTGGATTGAGAATCTGATCAAACTATGAACTTCCACAGGAGGTCCATGGACAATTCTGGGGACAAAACAGAGCGCCTGATCTCAACATGCCCCTGCCCCAATTCTGGGCATCCAAGTTTAACTTTCGGGAGTTTGGTTTGTTTTGTTTTTGAGATGGAGTTTTGCTCTTGTTGCCCAGGCTGGAATGCAGTGGTGCGATCTCGGCTCACTGCAACCTCCGCCTCCCAGGTTCAACTGATTCTCCTGCCTCAGCCCCCAGAGTAGCTGGGACTACAGGTTCGCACCACCATGCCTGGCTAATTTTTGTATTTTTAGTAGAGATGGGGTTTCATTGTGTCGGCCAAGATGTTCTCAATCTCCTGACTTGTGATCCGCCTGCCTCGGCCTCCCAAAGTGCTGGGATTACAGGTGTGAGCCACCACGCCTGGCCTGAATCCAGCTTGTAACTCATTGCCATGTTCTCCAATTTATATTCCCAGATTCTTCTCTTCCCTTTTTATAGTGCCCAGCAAAATAATTTTCCCACCTTGGGTGTTTCCATTACCCAGATAACATAATAGCTATCTGCCTGTGGGATCTAAAGTGTGACATGAAGGGCTAAAATAATGAACACATTAGAAGAAGCCAATTCATTTCTTAGGCTTATGGCAACACAGATGTATTGTTTATCACTAAATCTGTCTTTGCCAACTCATTGCAATGTGGCTGTATGAAAACTCAACGGGGCAGAAGAAACTCATCCTAGCACTCGATACCCCACAATGTGCTGCTGTCTTCAGAATGTTTCCTGTGAACTAGATATGTACTTTCAACTTGTTTTTAAAATAGCCAAGGATATAAATGCCTAATAATCAGTGAAATCGCTGAACTAATTATTGTTCACATGCATGTCATTTTTCCCTTCCTACTTTACAATCATAATGACATAATAGTAGAACCTATCATAATTTTCCTTACCACTTACATCTTAATCTCATATTGTCATTCTATCTTTTGCAAGTTCCATGTTCCCTCAGCAGATCTCTGGCAATTTTATGCTACAGGTATAAAAAGCAATAGGAATTGACTGAACTTCTATGTATCACCCACTACAGTCCCAGGCTACTATGACCTTTGTATGTCAGTTTTCTAACAATAACCAACCAACTCTGCTAAAAATAAGGAGAGCTGAAGTACTTGTCTTGGAGATTTTATCAGGCAGGGCCCCAATAAAATAGATGGAATATTCAAACTGGACAAGTTGAGAGAACCTGAATAAAAGGACTACTTGTGAGACACCCTCCCCAACACCCAGGGGCTCATGGCAGCAAGAGCAGGGCAGGGAATGGTTATGGGAACAGGGCATGGGGGTGTAGAGTGCAAAGAAAGCTCTTCAGGGGTCATGGTCTTTGGCTCGGCTGTGCTTTCACTTCTGCAAAGTAAATGTCTAAGCCCTACTTTCTTCCACTATGGACCAGGAAGTCTTGAGGCCACAATTCCAAGTTCTTGGACAAAGACTGAATGCAAAGGAGATTCTAGACCAAATGTGATTAAGACTTGGACAACTCCGGAGTTCCCTGACAATGAGTCTGGCTCTATTTTGCTACATTAGGCTGGGTGTGTGGACTTACAAGAAAACTATGGCACTGCTATCATGTTTATAAAGGCTACACTCTAGATACAGACCAAAAACAACCATATCAATGTTGATAGAATTTCAGGGGTGGGAGGAGTGTTAGAGAAGAAATATAACTTAGAAAGCTTTCAAGTTGAAAACTTTGCTGGAAAACACAAAGGCAAGTTTGAGAAAAGTGTGTCAGAAGTGTGTGCAGGGGTGTGTGCATGAGAGAGAGGATGAGCAGGATGGCAGCCTGACCACGCCTAAAGCACACCATGGTGAACAACGACAGGCCATAGTCGTACAACATGCTGGTGCCTGGAATATAGAAGGCCCTGTTCTCAGTGCTGGGGACGCGACAGGAACGAGGCAGATGGCCTTGTACTAGAGAGCAGTGTGCGAGAGTGACGGACAGTTTCTAACCAACAATTTATAGAAAGCTGGACAAACAGTGAAGTCAAGACATACCTGACAGCCTAAAAAACTAGCTTGAGAAAAGGGGGGTAATTTTCCCCTGAATAATTCAAAACACTGATGGGATTGGGAAAATGAAGAGTTAACTCAGACTCGCTGAGTTTGAGGAGCTGACTGGTGGCGGCAGCAGCAACAGTGATTAACATGTCCTGGGCTACTAGGGAGGGGCCGGGCATGACACCGCCATTAAACTTCAGAAGTGCTGTGAGGGTTCACTACTATTATTACTACCACCTAAATCTGTTCAGAAAAGGAAATAAAGCCAGAAGCACTTGATGAAGATCAGGCAAATGGCTGAGCCGGGATGTGAACCCAGGGGTTTGATTTCAGAGTTTACCCTCTTAATAACTGCGCTACAGATTACAACAAAAATGAAACCACAACACACACTTGCTGCATGTCCCCACAATTTCAGATCACCAATGAAAACCACCCGTCATTAAGTGGCTGCCATCATCTAACGTCCCTGTCTCCAATTCCTAACCCTCTGCACCTCCCACACACCCACGCTAGGTAGCGAGACTCTGGCAAACAGGCATATGGGCTCTTCGGGACTCAGTCCTCCCCTCCTGAGTCATCACTCACTCACCTGGATGGGTGGGTGAAGCACACACAACAACAACACGTTTGCAGGTAAAAGGGGAAAGAGCTTAGGAGAGTGGTTGCATCCCTATCCCGACCCCTCGGGGTGATGTGGATGCATGCGGAAGCTGACAAGCTGCTGAGTGTCACTCAGGGCTCCCTGCTCTCTGCGACCCTACTCTTCCCATACCTGGCACTAGGCTGTCTGGGGAGCTTCCATGTAATTACGCAATCATACGTCTACGTGTGCCGAACAACAGCTGATTTTTACCTCTGTGCTTTTCTGTATTTTCCAAATTTTCTAGACTAAGTAAAGCCTTTGGGTCTGAATAAATTGAAGATGGCTTTGTTTTTCTCCACCCCTTCCTCACCTTTTGCAGTATGTAAACCAAACTCCTAGGTGCACAACTAAAGCTAGCATTAGCTTAGCTACTTTATGGTTACAAAACATATTTTGTGCCTAGTTTGAGAACCTATTAACATTTGAAAAAAGAACTCCAAGTTCCAAAATGTACACATGCCCCCTTTGAAAAAGCTCTTTCACCGAAAACTGCCTATATGTCAATTAGTTACTTACTATCTGGGTGTCTGCTGTGACCTTTTGCTGTAAGACTCTTAAGTAGGCTTCAGTTCTGTCATCCACTTCAATCCTAGAATGAAAGTACACAATCCAACACTCAGACACAGTAGCGACAAATGGACCGTGCATAAACACCTTCCTGTGTAACACAGGAAACGTTTCCGTATAAAACATGAAATCAAACACCGAGACTAGCCATTCATGCCAAGGGCTGTTTCTAATACAAACGAGCAATATTTTAAGCACGCAGGTTTCAGAAACTGTCTTACTTGGTTGCTTCTCCCACCCATTCTTAGTTATTAAAATATGTTTCTGTTTATCTGCATTACAGGGAGCCACATCAAACCTTTCAATTAAGATAACGTAGTTTGTATGTTTAATAGTTCCCACCCCTCCAAATGACTGCCAAGCAATTTTCAGAGCAGAAATGACTTGATTAACTTACATTATTGCTTTTCTCATTTGCATGCCCATGGCTGGTGTAACTTTAAATAGATTTTGTATCAATGAATTGGCTGCTTCATAATTTCTTCGCGTATAGATCAACAGCCAGTTATCTAGTGGCTTAACACTAATTAATGGTGCACCTCTTGTTTCTTTGGACCAATCTGCAAATTGTGGATTGTAATCAAACTAGAAGAGAGTTCAGACACACTGTAAATTCCATTGTAAGTTCTCAGTGATCAAGCCAAACAGTCTTCAATAATTCTACCATGGCATATTTTGAAACTTAGTGTACTACTTTTATGCTTGAATTAAAGGGACAGAGAAAATGTCCTCAATGGGGGTAGACTCTAAAATATATCCAAAGGATGATGGCAATTTTACTTAAAATACACTCATACTGACAGCTGCCACACAAATGCTTACTTGGACCAGGTACTTCCCTAAGTGCTTTAGTCGCATTCTCCTTAATCTTTTAAAAAATCTTACAAGTATAGCTACTCTTTCTTCATAATGAAAATATTAAAAAATAAGGCTTTGAGAGTAAAACAACTTGACTGAGGTGTTATATGCCGCAAGCAAGCTACAAAAACATCTGACAGCAAGACAGAAAGTGAAATAAACGCGAGGCACAGCACCCGAGTGCTGGTCATCACAGGGAGCAGCCCGGTGTCTTCTGCGTGTCCTGGCCACCTCCCTGCCTGGCCTCACGCAGGGGATAGCGTAAACAATGCAACCAGAATATTAAATTACATTGTGAGATCACTGTTCACAGGACATTTCAAAGGCAGGAAGGACATTTTCTTAAAAAAAAAAAAAAATGAAAATGTTGGCACTTTACAGTGCTTTAATTACACTAAAAATATTTTTAGAATACTTTTCCTTTTCTGAAAATGAAACATAAAAGGTATCATAATAATTAATATATTATCTCTATAAACAAATGATCCAGGCCAATCAAATCAGGGATTTTCCATCATTTTAGTGGCAGTCAAAATATCAACCCAAGCAGATAGTTAGGATTCTACACTTTAGCTCAAGTTATTGAAAAAAAAAAAAATCGAACCACTTTTTAGCTAAGTCTTACAGATGATTTTTGAGGACCCAGCTACAGGCTCCACATTCTCTAGGGCTTCCACGTTTTCTCCTCCTGGGGTGTACCTATTTCTGAGGTCCCGGGCTGTTCATGTGGGTTGATAGAGAGTGGATGTGCAAGGGGAGAAGAGAAAGGTGAGGAAAAGATCATTCTGGCATGGAACTCAGTTCTTCCCACTTGCTTTATTGTGATCTGACCCAAGCCTCACTTGATTGTCAACTTTAAAAACTGCCTTACTCGGAGCTTGCAGTGAGCTGAGATTGCACCACTGTACTCCTGCCTGGGGGACAGAGCGAGACTCCGTCTCAAAAACAACAACAACACCAACGAAAAACTGCCTTACTGTTTTTCCACCTTGGTGAATCTTTTCTGTTTGCAAAATTCTTCCTGAGAAGGACAGTAAGTTGGAATCAAAGCTCAAACCCCAGTCTCGAAGCTCCCTTTGAACATTATCGTTTCTGTAAATTTAACACATTTACATGCGACTCAACAAAGAGACACAGCAAGAAGACACAGTCAAACAGATATCCACTCCAGCCTACAACACACTCCAATGTCGCCGTCAGGGTGAAGGCGCTGGTGAGAATGCCAGCTGGCACAGGAGCACAATCATCTTTCTCTCATCACCTTCAGGCTTCTCTTCATGACATTCTTTAACTTAAAATTCTGATGCCCAAACTTTCTCCCCGTCAAAGGAAACCCCTTGATATAACAAAGATAGAAAAAAGATTTGACCAGAAACATCCCCTTTTTCTGTTGTCACCTTTTGCTAATGGAAGAGTTAGAAAGACTACGCACTGCAAAGTTTAACTTCATTATTTCCTGAGGAATAAGTGAGGTATAGGTAGCCTTGCTTAGAAACACGAAGAACAAGCCCACCCCAAATACTACAGATACCAAAGGAGAAAGTTACTTTCTGCCACTCCCTCAAAAGATACCCCTCAAAGCCACATAAAATACTAAACACAAAACTGAAACCCTGCCCCAGTGAAATCAATGACTTACTTATGAATGTAATCAATGAGTCGTCCCACTTCACGCTGCCTTTGCTCTGGAGTTAGTCTTGTATGAACGGCTAAGTCTTTCATCACGTTAAAATCATTACGCATTTTATCAGTTAGACCTTTAAATAAGACATTTAAAGGCATATGGTTAAAGAAATAATAATCAGGTCTAAATAACTGGAGTATAGGGTGATGGTGAGTGGGAATTCCCAGGAGACAAAGCAGTTTTAATAAAAGGTTTTCTGGGGGGAGGGAAGGGGAAGTAAAGGAATGTCTGAGGACTCCTAGGAAAGAAAGGGTAAATCCAGTGGCTTCCTTCCGAGTAAATGAAATGCAACAGTACCTGTAAGATAGCAGAGCTCAGGAATGAGCATGGCAGGCCCTGGCAGTGTCCCCCCAGGGCCCCGCCTTCTCTTGGGCTGGCTGACCAAGACAGGCTGCTTCAAGTCGGTGATCTCTTGGTTGTATTGCTGCTCAAGAGACGAAAGGGTCGCTGTTCACGGCAAATGCCTCGAGTAGCATCTCAGTGGGCAAAAAGGGTTTCATTTTTTAAAAAAATAAAGAGCTGATGCCAATAGCAAGGCTGATAATAGCTTCAGAGTAAAGTTTTAAAAAGGCATTTTTTTTAACATTCTTAAAACAGAGGTTGTGACTTCTATGCTCTACTGAGTGCCCTATCTTTTTCCTAAAAACTGTGATGGTCCAGGACAGTATGGTTCTGAGTTCAGACTTTGTTAGTCACAGTTCTCATTGCTTAATTTTTTATTTCTTGGTTTAGAAACAGTAGTCTGTGTAACTCTGCAACTTCACCATAGGATGATTCCTCTAAAACTATTCTCTGTTACTGAGAGAACTTACTAATAAAAGCAGTCTCACCGTGAGAATACAGAGGGGAAAGGAAGAAGTTCCTACGCTACAGGGCAGGTTTAATCAGAAAAAGTTTTTTATAAAATCTTGATATTTTCAAGAAGTCAAATTTCAATTGAGAAGTGTTAAGGTTCCCCAGATGCAATCACTGCCCAAAATAAGCGTTGACAATTTGTTAAACAATAAAAAATGACATTCTTTTTTTTTTTTTTTGAAGATGGAGTCTCGCTCTGTCACCCAGGCTGGAGTGCAGTGGCATGATCTTGGCTCACTGCAACCTCCGCCTCCCGGGTTCAGGTGATTCTCCTGCCTCAGCCTCCTGCGTAGCTGGGATTACAGGTGCACACCACCGTGCCTGGCTAATTTTATATTTTTAGTAGAGACAGGGTTTCAACATGTTGGCCAGGCTGGTCTCCAATTCCTGACCTCAGGTGATCTGCCTGCCTTAGCCTCCCAAAGTGCTAGGATTAGAGGCGTGAGTCACGGCACCCAGCCAATATTCATGATTTAATGTCCTCAAAAGATGAGCTCTCTGGCCTCCAGCTCAGTTCGGCAATTCTAGAACCATGACAGACTTTGTTTGAGTTCTCTTCAGTACAGGTTCTGGCTCTGTGTCTCAAAGATCCTCTTTCCTACCATATCCTGTATCTTGCCAAAAACAGATTTTCTTAGCATCCTGCTTAAATCAGATCCAGCTTTAAAAAAAAAAAACCCACACACCTTCACTGAGCACACCAGAAGAACAAAAAAACCACACACCTCCACTGAGCACACCAGAAGAACAAACCACACACCTCCACTGAGCACACCAGAAGAAAAAACCACACACCTCCACTGAGCACACCAGAAGAACAAAAAACCACACACACACCTCCACTGAGCATACCAGGAGAACAAAAAACCACACACCTCCACTGAGCACACCAGAAGAACAAAAAACCACACACACATCTCCACTGAGCACACCAGAAGAACAAACCACACATTTCCCTGAGCACACCAGAGGAACATCATCACAGCATGTCCTTAATCTGTCTCTCATCAGCAGACTAAGGGTGCTTGCATATTTCTTATTCCTAGCATATGGCAAGGTCCTGGCCACCTACTACAAGCCCTCGTGAATTAAGAAACCATGAATTCTAGCCCGTTCTTGACTTGTTTCAAATAAGAAAATTTTAAGTAGAACACTCACATCTGACCTCTGCTTCACGTAGCTATACTACCTATTTTATCACATTTTAAAATGAGGAGTCTGGGAACAGTTACCCTCCACACCACATCACTGACTTGCAAACACAGGTGGTAGAAGTGTGGTCGTAATTTCAGAAATGTGTCCTCTCTCACCCTATTTCACCCAAGGCCTTAAGGGCATGGTTCCTGATACAGAACTTGTACTCGCTACGCCCCCTCCACTTTTATATTCTTAGGTGCCAAACAGCCTGTCATTCATTCATTCATTTATTTATTTGAGACAGAGTTTCATTCTGTCGCCCAGGCTGGAGTGCTGTCTCGGCTCACTGCAACCTCCGTCTCCCGAGTTCCAGCGATTCCTCCTGCCTCAGCCTCGCGAGTAGCTGGAATTACAGGCATATGCCACCACACCCAGCTAATTTTTGTATTTTTAGTAGAGACGAGGTTTCACCATGTTGGTCAGGCTGGTCTCAAACTCCTGACCTTAGGTGATCCACCCACCTCGGCCTCCCAGAGTGCTGGGATTGCAGGCATGACCCATCGTGCCTGGCCCTGTCAAATATTTTTAAACATTTTCCTCTACACCTGAAAAAACAGCACTCTCATTTTTATTAGACATTACTGTTAAACCTTTTATTTTAAAAACCAACTATGACCTTCTCTACCAAACACCCTTCCTTCTTCTACTCTGTTTCCTAGATATTATCTTCAATCCCAAACCATCACTTACTAGTAAAACTGCATTTCTACCAGAAAATCTAAGAAGGCTTTGATTCTTTTAAATATCTTAACGTCAACCTCTTTCATTAATTATTTCTACTAAAGACATCTGATTATCCCTGATTTCCAGAGAAATCTTCCCTAGAGAAAGAAGCTGAGCTGAGATCTCAAGCATAAGCATACAAGGTGTGTCCAACAGAGGGGACACAACCCTATGTTTAGTCTAAAGGCACAGTGGGGGACACGCCATGAGAATAAAGCAGCAAGCAGGGTCTCATGGAGAAAGATCACCACACTTCACCAGACACAGGGCCACGGGTGCCACATCACTTCTGGGGGGAAGGGGAAGAAGAAGAACAGATGTGTATGAGTTGATTGATCAGAAGGTAGAGGAAATAAATACTAAGACTTGTTAAATGAATTATAAAAATAGGGCCTGGACAGGAGATGCCATTTAGAAAAGGAGAAAAATGAAGGCAATTCAGATAACAAGGTGAGTGACAGAACCGGACAAAAGAGTACTAGGAGGCAGGGGAAGGTGCGGAGATCTGACGTGTGACTCATCCACCATTTGTTTATTCAAATACCCAAGAACCTACTTAGGCATGGGGTATATAAACCATAAAATCTCTTGCCTCTGTCCAAGTTACCTTATCTGCATTGACCAAGAGCACCGAGTAGGGGCCGTGTTGAGAAGACAGAACACATTCAACACTGGCAACATGGGAGAGGTATCTTTGAGTCATCCAAATACTTAAGAACAACCAGGCAGCTAAGCTTAGACAAGTCTAGGCTGGAACTGGAAGTCTGGGGATTCTTAACATTTCATGCCTGAAGCCTGGGCAGAGGAGACTGGAAATCACCCAGGGAGTGAACATATAGTAAAAGGGGTCTGGGCAGAGCTCCTAAGTATGATAACACGTAAAACACCACTTACAGGAGGATGAGCTGCCACAGGACACTCAGTACCAGTCAGGGAAGGGGAGAGGTTCCACTGACCTTGCTTCAGGTTTAAATCACATTTTCAGCTAATGTTTCCTTTATATTTGCTGTTGATATACCAACTTCTACCATCCCTGAGAGTGATCACTAAAATTAACGACAGAAAAATGCCACAACTCATTCCTCACAGTAACCTCTGACACCCAGAGGGATCCAGGTTAGGCATGGTTGGAGTCCTCAAGGAGTAAAGAGGCTGAAAACAGTGGGAGGAAAGACATGCTGAAATGACCCCTGGCTGTTTCCATCTTGCCAGGAATAAGGTCAGCCCTTCATGCAGCGTCTCATAGAATCCCTCCCTCCGTAGTGGCTTCTCATCTTTTTAGTCACAGCAGAGCAGCTGGACAGCAGCACACAGACCTTTCCAAGGCCACTGATAAGATGCATACTTTCCATGCAAAATATGAATACTTTTCATATTTAAGCTCATTTATCCAAATTTTTAGAAACAGGAAATACTCTATTGAAAGTAGAAGAAAATGTGAAATGTTAGCAATTCAAAGACAAGTTTTGAGATTTTAATTGATAGTTTTCTAGAAATAATCTTCCTGCGCTTTTAACATATCAAATGGAATGTGACGTTCTAAGGATTTGGGGGCCAGATCTGCTCATCTGAGTACTGAAACAATGTTAGCATGCATTCTTACATGAACAGTTCAGTTTCTTCTAGTCAATAGCTGCTCTTTCCTGCTATTTGCCTTTGATGATCTTTTCAAAACTAGAATCATCTCTTTAAAAACTGTTTTAGATGATCGCCCAAAAGACTGATCTAGCCTGTGCTAACAAGCCTGTCTGCATTTTGTTAACATGTAAATCAAAAGTTAAGAGTTAACCCACAGGCAGTAGATTTAGCAGAAATGATACTGAAGGTTCAAAGATCTTTAATTCCTACCCGTCTCCAAGGTGAAATTAAATGAAATGTTGATTATGGAGGGAGAGACAGTATGGCAAGCTCTTAACTCCCACTGCTCGCCACCTGTTATCCAACCTACTTGTCCTCCATAGGCTTCAATTCAAACGTAAGCTTTCATTCTACTGGAAAAAGGGAACCAGGAGAGGGCATTTCTCATTATGTGAACTGTACCAAATAAAAAGAGGCATTTTAATAATTTGGTAATGAATAAAATTATGCTGTGATTGCCCTAACAAATACATTTACACACAGCTTTAAACGCAACTTGTTCCAAATGTGCAACAAGTGTTAGAGAATTCTACCAAAGATATTTTGGATTTCTCCTGAGATCTAACCACTGGCATCTTACCTTCCTGTAGTATTCTAAGAAGCTGACTTCAGAGCCGTCGGCTTTCTTAAAGGTGCTCTTGGGATTCTGGTCCCAGTCAATATCATCCACTCTGTATGTCTTATTGTTATACCTAGGGATCAGTTGAGATTTGACTGCATTTGATGGAAATGTGAAGAACTAATATTAAAAAGAGAGACTAGACAGCATGTATTCTCTAAAATTTCAAATCACCTGGTTATATACAAGGTTGGAAAAAGAAGGAACAGGGTTTCTTACAGACTATGCCAGATGGATGGGGGAAGTGACTAAATTACTTACAGAAAATAAAATAATTTAAAAGGATAAAAATCACTAGCTATTTGTCCTCTCCAGATGAGTTATGTCATCTCCAAAACTATGATCCTGGGAAAGCTGAAAAATACCCTCACCCTTGTTTTGTGCTATTCCCACCACTCAATTTTAAACACTATTTCTTAACATGGTAGAACTAGAAAGCCACAATACTTTGACTCACAAAAAATTATTGTGCACTTTAAAAAGCAGTCTTACTTGGTAAGAACAACTAAACCTATTAGTTCTTTGGAAACTTGTTCTTGAAATTTATGTTCTTCTGTCTGATGATAAAAGTTGAACATGAAATCCAAAACAGTCTCACTTCGAAGGACTTTATGGCTAACGTCAGTGCAGAGCATGATGCTGTTTTCATACTGAAGGATGGAAGTAGTGAAGCCAGGCCAAATCACCAACCTGTCAGACGAGATGGGGGTCATGAAGAACCTCTCCACATTCAACACATTCTGCACACACTAAGTTGCGTTTTCACTTTTATTAACTGGGTCTAAACTATAAAGTTTCTGAATGAATCAATTTCCTTATTTCTAGGATTTACATGGTTCCAGCTTTAAGACCTTCAACAACATTATAATAATTGTATAAGTTTCATTTTAAATGAATGTACTAACTTTATTCAGCTATTCATTACACTGGCCTAAGACTTTTAAAAAGTTGCCAATCTAATTGAAAGCACCACAATTATTATGATAAACTTAAACCTGTTGGGCTGCAATATTTTGTTTTTTATTTATTTATTTTCTTAGTGTCTCGCTCTGTCACCCAGGCTGGAGTTGGCACGATCTCGGCTCACTGCAACCTCCGCCTCCCGGGTTCAAGCACTTCTCTGCCTCAGCCTCCCGAGTAGCTGGGATTACAGGTGCCAGCCACCACACCCGGCTAATCTTTGTATTTTTAGTAGAGACGGGGTTTCATCATCTTGGCCAGGCTGGTCTAGAACTCCTGACCTCGTGATCCACCCGCCTTGGACTCCCAAAGTGCTGGGACTACAGGCATGAGCCACCACGCCCGGCCTTTTATTTCTTATTTCAACTTTAGATTCAAGGGGCACACGTGCAGGTTTGTGACATGGGCATACTGCATAATGCTGAGGTCTGGGGGATGAGTGGTCCCATCACTGAGGCACGGAGCACAATACCCAGCAGGTGGTTTTTCAGTTGGGCTGCAATCTTGATACACCACATTAACTGATTATTTTTATTACCTAAGGGCAAAAATACAAACAGCACTGGACAACTATGTATTCTTCCCTAGTGACAGGTAAATTACGTGATTTTTTAAAAATCCAAATATTCTGGGATGTCTCCTCATTATTCAAGTTAAATAGTCACATAATGTGATGGGCGGCATTAACAGTCACTGTAGTAAATTTGACCATTTCAAATTAGGTTATCGTCTCAAAAGTCTGTCATTAAGCCTAAGGAATATTAAACGTTCTACTTCATACAAACCTGTGACTTGGAATATCAATTGGGTCATTTGGGTTATAATAATTTCGTCCAATTTGTTGCAAATTCATGATTTTCAAAAGCCTAGAAATGGAAAGGTCAGAGAGTGAATATTGATAAGTATCTCTAATACGACAATCAGAACAGCATGTCGTTTAGAGCAGGGGTTGGCAAATTGTGGTCTGTAGCCAGGCCAAATCCAACCTACCTGCTGTTTTTTATGGCCTATGAGTTACCAACGGTTTTCAAATATCTTTGAGGTTGGAAAAAATAAAAGATTATTTCATGATACATGAATTATCTGAAATTCAGACTTCAGCATCCACCAATAGTTCTACTGGCACACAGCCATGACCGCTCACTCACACGCTGTGTCTGGCTGTTTCGGCGGTCCAGTAGTAGAGCTGAAGAGCTGCCAAGAGATGACATGGCTTTCAAAGCCTACGATGTTTACTATCTGGCCCTTTGCAGAGAGAAGTTTGCCAACCCCTCGTTTAGGGAAAAATCAATTTACCAGTTACATTAACTCAAAACAAGTATTTATCACAATGAATTGTCCTATCATCAGTGACAGTTATCTTATGACTAACTTAAAGAGGGAAATTACAGATACAAGTATTATGCCCTACTATTCTCACGAAAATTTCAGCCTTATCCAGATTGTTTCTCATCCCCCTCAAAAAACAAAAATTTTTGCAGAACACGTGTCTTGCTTTTGGATAGGAAATATGTGATATGTACACTGAAAGCAAATTATCAAGCATGCAGTATATCTCCTGTGGTGGAACAAACGACCTGAACTCTGCACCTCCTCCTGATCAAGGACCCACCGTGGGGAGAAGGAATACCAAGTTCGCAATAGCTCTCGAGGATATGAGTGTTCTGAACACAAGCTCAGACAGTATTTGAAGTCAACAGAATTAGGGAAGTAAAGGCAGGATACTTGCTTAAAGCAAATAGATGAATTTTCTATCAGTAAACCACACCTTAAGTTACTGCAATACAGAGAAACTCAATAATCCCAACCAATGCTGAAAATCTAGGAGAACTGAATGCAGATGTTCAATGTACAATTATTTCAACTTTGCTGTTTTCTTAATAAAATGTTGAAATAAAACACATACCTCCTGAAAATAATATTATAGAACTGCAAACAAGTTGGTGATGTAGGTGGAAGTTCATTTGTTAAAGTGATCGTTATCCTCACATCCTCTCCATTCCGGGTCTTACTAAAAACTTCAGTAACCTGAAGCCAGAGAGGTGGAAAACCCAAACTTTAAATCCTTAAAGGACAATTATGCCCAATCACATACTGCTTGCTTAATAAGGCAACATTGAAAACCATAAAATGTTTTAACTGGATTTTTTTTAAATGGCTCTGAGAAAAAGAGTGGCTAAGTGTATTATAACTCAATTGTAATCATCAAGTTACCCAGACAAATCTGACAATGCTACAATAATGCCAAAGTACCCTATGTGTTTATTCCAAGTCATATCAGACAGGAGACTCCTGGGGCCTCTCTAAAAGCCATGTGAGCTATCTTACATTGTGGTAGTTCTGCTTTGAAGTGGAAATCCCCCATCTCCCTTTTCCCAAATAACCTTTTGCTGTAGTCTTTTAGGTAAAAATAATATCGTTCCATCAAAAGCATGACACTTTCCAATTAGATCTTCGTGTTGAAAAAGAAGAGCTGAACGGAGTCTTCTGGCTTCCATCAGTGGGTTATAGTCAATGTGATACTGATATAAGGCCCACTGGGGACGGGATGTCAGCCGGAAATGGTTAGTGCTTAACCTTACTATAATGCCTGAAGAACCTGGAAAAGGAAGTTATAGTCAATTAACAAAATATCAAGTTTATTTTTCCTTGAAATCTTTCCTACCATGACAAGGCAGGCACAGTTCCGTAAACACAAGGCTAAGAGCAGCAGACAACATGAAAGTCCTCAGACATCTGACTTTGGAGACCACTAGTCTCTCTCTTTAGGTGAATTTCTAAAGAAGCATACATTTAGAAACAAATCTTCCTTAGACTAAGTAATTTACAAATAATTTGCAACAAAACCAACTAAATCTCTTCATGGCAAAGAGTTTTAAAAATGATCTATTAATATTTAATGAGATGACGTTTCAAAATGTGCAGTTAAAGATATCTATAACCTACTTCATCAACGCCAAAAGAAAGTGAGGAAAATCGAAAAGCCATGCAGGATCCTTGGCCAAATAAACACCTAAACTAAAGTGCCTCAATTCACTGTCCTGTGTTCCTGAGATGTAATCTCACAAAACTTATTCTTAATTAACCTACCTGTTTTTGATTCTTTAACATGGTCTAGGTTCTGCCTTGTATTCACACCAAGATCATGAAAATCTCTACGACGACCTCCTCTCTCTGCTAACGATAACTCCTGAAATCCAGCAGATATCTGGAGTCCTTAAAAAAAAATTGTGTACTTGAGCAACATAAAGCACGAAATAAAGGATGACAATATTAACTCCCATAGTGCTATTATGTGTAATCCAAAGGATACTGAGGTGTAGAAGACAAGGCATAAAACAATCCTATCAACATGTTTTAGGTATCTGCCAGCCTAACGAGAGAATGGTTTCCTAGTTATAACTTCATTCATAAAGGCCTTGTCACTGTCCTGGGCAATTGCAGATGCACCCTTTCAAGAGATGTGCACCTTGAATCAAGAGATCAAGCCAACTGGACTGTGGTGCAAGAGTGCAGGAGCATATGTTTGCTGACTGGGAAATTATTTTTCTGTATTGTAAGTCTGATAACTACCTAAAGGTCTTCATGTATTTTCCACAGTCTGTCATGATGCAATTACAACTACAGAAGTTGCTGGTTTAGAGGGTTTAAATCTGTAACCTGGATTAGAAAACTTACATCTAAAATGCAACTTCCTCACTACCTGACTCTCTTCAGAATCAGAAGAATGGATTTCTGCACCTGCACATATTCTATGACCATGACACGCATCTCATACTGGTATAGGTAATAAGGTCGTGATTAATCAGTTCATGCTTAGTGCTACAAGCTGTGGTTATAAGAACCTAAATTATTCAAGTCATTTGATTTGCTGAAATTATACAATTATCTCAGATCAACAATCTGATGTGAGCCAAAAAACAAATATGAACTTTGTAGTCAAGCATTAAAATTCCAGCTGTCAATTAATAGGCATGTTATCTTGTGTAAAAGAGATTACCAGTTGACTATCCAATAACTAACCCCTCATTCTTTAAATAAATTCTATTTTTGGAGTAATATACTTAATAGACTAAAATTTCCACCCTCCCCATGGTTAGGGATGGCCTAAGATACTTAAGCAGAAATTGCAGGATGACACTTTTGGAAAAATTCCATAAGAGAGCCAATAGCTGACATGTGACTTTTGTACTTCCTGACCCTTTGCCCTGCCCATGGAGCCTGGAATCTGGATCTGGCAGGGAGGGCTCAAATACAGAAGTTCTGAACCAAACAGAGGTCTTAATGATGGCAGTCATGAGCCCAGGACAAAAGAACAAAAAGATCAGAGTCCAGTTCTCTTCTGACCACAAACACCAGAACTGCCTACTCTCTAGACTTCCTTAGAGAAATAACAGTGGCTTAAAATATTTCAGTCCTTGCTATACTTTGGAAACCAGTTATTTAATATGAGTGTCAATTCCTTCACCTGAAAAATTGAGAATAAGCATCACAGGCATGTCAGAAGTTTTAAATATCACGTCTAAAGCACTTTACAAGGCACTTCCATGTTTGTTTCTGTACCTCATGATTTGGAGGGGGCTCTACCTAAAAATCCTTTAAACATGTAACTGTTCATACTTGTCTCTCTCAGTGAGCTTTTTATCCCAGAGGCTTGGTTTGAAGTATTGATGGCACTGGGTGAGTAACTACACTAAATCACGCATACTGAATCCAACCTGATGACACTGAAGGGTCATAAAGGCTGATATTTTTCCTTAAAAATTTTTAATTTGTCTTAAAAAAATTCAGTTCTGGACGCAAAAATCCAATTGCCAGTTTCTGAATATAAACAATGATGAAATCAGTTCTGCTTGAGATATACAGTACTGCTATGACACTTAGCCAAAGCTTGATTTTGTCACTTGATGAAGAGGACAGATTTCAGAATGGACAAGACTGGGAACCTTGCTAATTCCCCCTTCCATGCAGCTCCTAGAGTGATTTTATTTCAAACACACATCAGACCTCACACCACTGTGCTATTTAAGAATCCTTCAATGGGCCGGGTGCGGTGGCTCACGCCTGTAATCCCAGCACTTTGGGAGGCTAAGCCGGGAGGATCACGAGGTCAGGAGATCGAGACCGTCCTGGCTAACACGGTGAAACCCCATCTCTACTAAAAAATACAAAAAAATTAGCTGGGCGCAGTGGTGGGCGCCTGTAGTCCCAGCTACTCGGGAGGCTGAGGCAGGAGAATGGCAGGAACCCAGGAGGTGGAGTCTGCAGTGAGCAGAGATCGCGCCACTGCACTCCAGCCTGGGAGACAGAGTGAGACTCCGTCTCAAAAAAAAAAAAAAAAAAAAAAGAATCCTTCAATGCATCCACATCCCTTTACAGAATGAAAATCAAGGTCCAAACAATGTCTAATTAACAATAATCTGTTAAACTTATATTAATTTCTACAATACATTAGGTATTTGAGCATTTACCGTGACAAGCAATTCTCAGGTATAATCCCTAAAGAGCAGTGAGAGATGACAAAACAGGGCCTTCATTTGTTATCCCATGTATTAATGGTCACAATGATCTTTACCTCTACAGGTAGACACTACCTTGTTACAGATAGGGAACTGTTCCATAGAGTTAAATTTGCAATCCTGAGTAACCATTTTTTTAAGTCATTTATTAATGAAGACTGATACATAGAATGTTTAAGAAATTATATTTAAGTATTTTCCACAATTGATTTGTGTGTTGTGGCAACATTATAAGGAAATGTTTCTTAAACAGTTTCAGCACAAATTTTTGTACCAAGTTTTAATTCAATAAAATTTGCTGTATATGTTGAACAGAGTTGTTAAGACTTCCTTTTACTTTCTCTTCACCTTGTGACTTGGCTGTTCCTCCTGCTGTTCCTCTCTGCCGTCCACGGCCAAATAATTCCCCCTCTGCTGGTGGCGGCTGAGGCCTAGGCTGAATATAACCAGGTTGCTGACTCTGTAGTTACATGCAAATAAAGAACATTCTTTTCGTCAAGCGGTCAGACACCAGAGAAAATTTCTAGTCTTAAGTCTCAGGAATTCAACCAACACCTATCTAAATTAATAATCAAATATTTTATTCTTAAAAATAAATTTGAGAGAAGAGTCACCAAATAAAGTCACGAATCAGCTTCTAATATCCTGAGGAAACAGGGCATGATCTCCCTTGCTCACTTCCTATATCCTTCCCAGCACAGTTTTTAGTTTATTTTCAACAGCCTAGGCTGATCAAGAGTCAAAGACATTTTCTGTAGTCAGAAACGGTGAAGCACTCACGGCAGTGGAGCCCACCAGCTGCGCTGTCTCCTGACCGCGGGCCCTTCCTCTGGCTCTGGCTCGGGCTCTCCCAGTCATTGTTTTCTATTTCTGGAGAGGAAACAATCTTGAAGACAATACTCAATGGAGGCAATCGCATTTGATAATTTCTACAATGTTACTTTAAACTTCTTTGAGTTTCAAAAGTAAGCTCCCCAGGCAATTATTATGTATCCTTCTAATCTTTAATGACAGTTTTTTTTAATGTAACATTCCTACATTCAACAAACTCAGTTGCTTACCTTGCACTGGGCACTGCAGTAGGGCCAAAGGGGAAAACCTATTTTAATATAAGACTTAGTTTTTCATTTGGATTATTTATTATAAACAGACTTAGGAGGAGAAAGTGCTGAAAGAATTAGGATGCTGGTGGCTGGTTCTTTCTTTCCCATTTGGAGATACACATGTACACACACTTAACACATACTCCCATACACAGACACACACACACACACACACACACACACACACACACGGAAACAGGCACTTGTGGCAAGTGTCCCGCCAGGCCCCTTAGAAAATCCTTCTGCATACATAATGAGTCATCCTGGATCTTCCCAGAGTTCCATGTGTGGCTTACACTGAACATACCCAAACTAGTATCTCTTCTACCTCATGTCCCATAATTTCATTCTTGGTGAGTGGCATCACCATATACGTTATATCTAAATAAAAAGAATGGAGTCATTGATTTCAAAACCACTCCTTTATTTCTCCTACATCTGCCAGGACCGTTCTCTCCATTTCTTCAACATCATGATGGTACTAAGTGCTTCCTGTGAGCTGGGATCAGCTTTGGGCTCAGCTGTAACAATCTCTCACCCTCATCGTGGTGGTACACAATGTCATCAGGCTATTAAGGGTAGAGGCCTCAGAGCTCAACTGCCTGAACCCAACTCCTTCACATTTTAGACAACATGAGAAAACAACATAGCGTGTGACTCTTTGTCGAATGGTTGGAATAACCTACTGCACAAGTCAATGGTGAAGATCAAATGAGAACTCACACTGGCCTCTAGTGAGCAGTCAACAAACATTAGCCCTAATGGAAAGGGCAGGTAAAATTATAACTACACGTGTTAATACACGTTATTTACACACAGCTTTAAAAGCAACTTGAAGTCAGCTTCTTAGAATACTACACGAAGGCAGGATGCTAGTAGTGTTATCTTTTTCATATGAAGTAGTTAGATCTTAGGATAAATCCAAAATATCTTTGGTAGAATTCTCTAACACTTGTTGCACCTTGTTATCCACCTCTAACAAGATTTAAGCTGAAACAGAGAATTAGGAATTGGAAGGTAGGGTGGTACCAGTCTTTCACACAAACGGTAACAACCCACACATAAGTGCTTGAACTGGATGCAGAACCAAAAGACGTCCAGTGGGACTGGAAAGAGAAGGGGCAAGGGGAGTGGAGGATTTCATGTGGGCAGGGAGCAGACTGCTCAGGGTCCTGCAGACAGCTTGGATACTCAACACATGAGAAACCATCCAAGGTTCTACATAGGGGCAGGCGATGACATCATCTACCATCACTCTGCCTTAAATCACATTATCTTTTTCATCCTCTGAGTTTTAACAGCTTCTAAAATTCTTGGCTTCATGATCTTCACAGAAAGATAAATCTAATGCCATTTTTCAATTTTAAAAACCTCCGACTTCCTATTGTATTTTACAGGATTAAAGCAAATATTCATTGTATAAGACCCCTTACAATATGACTCTAAATCAGCAATTTCCAAAGGAGTTTACACAGGATAATCCGCTGAGGTGCCAGCATATTACAACTAATTTTAAATCTCATTTTAAACTGCTTTGTATTTATTTTATAATGTGCGCATCATGACAATGATTACGTATGCATGCTCGGCTTACACACGGGGCATACTGGCGCATGAAAGTCTCTTACTGATAATCTACAGGCAGCGTCCCCAGCAGCAGCAGCAGCACCACCACCACCACCACCAACCCCCCTCCCCCCACCCCCCCTCCCCCAACCACCACCACCAACCCCCACGCCCCATGGACCTGTACCGGAACCAGGCCACACAGCAGGAAGTGAGCCGCAGTGAGTGAGCAGGACAGCCTGAGCTCACCTCCTGTTAGATCAGTGGAGGCATTAGATTCTCCTAGGAGTGAGAACCCTACTGTGAAGTCGGCGTGCCAAGGGTCTGGGCTGCCTGCTCCTTATGAGAATCTAATGCCTGATAATCCGAGGTGGAACCGTTTCATCCCGAAACCATCCCTCACCGGTCCGTGGAAAAATTGTCTTCCAGGAAATCGGTCCCTGGTGCCAAAAAGACTGGGGACTGCTGATCTACAAATCAATCTGAAAGCATCCGCTTGAGACTCCAGCAAACACAACTTGCTTCCTATCACTATCAATTCCGTGACTCACCCTACACCGTGGCACACCCTCTGCTAACAAAGCCTCACCCTCCTCTGAAACCACAAGAATCCAGTGAACCGCTTAAGGACCAGCTCGCAGGCCATCCCTTGCTCCCTTCTCCGAAAGCCGTTTCCCCGGCGTGACCACGGTCACCCTACTACATGGTAACCTGTTTTCTCCCTCCCCACATCTCTGCACTCCATAGCTTCTCCAACTAGGCTGCGAATCACAATTGATGCCTTTGCACCCAGTCCGTCGCTTGACACCTTACAAACAACGGTGTGAAACAGTGATTAAAAAACAGTGACAAGCTGAACTCTCATCTCCAGCAGGAAATATTCCTAAAGCAGCACGTCAGTTCTCAAAGCCTGGTCCCTGACGGGCAGCATCTGGACTGGCTGGGAACAGAAATTACGGGGTGGGGAGCGGCTCTCAGCCCTCCCGAGTTAGAAGCCGACTGGAAGCAGCCCTCCAGCTGATTCTCATCATCTCCAGGGCCTGAAACCCACGGCGGCGCGCTGTGCTGGTCACTAAATACCTGGGGGGCTCAGCGCTCTACGTCCAGGTTTCCCAGCACAACTCTGGTTTTCAGCTTTATCTCCTTCCAGTTTCAAAACCACCTCAGTCTGGATATTGAATTCTTAAAGTCAGAAAGCAAGTGTGTGCTTCCAATAACCACACTCGCTGGAAATCACCTCTCCGATTCGCTACCAGCTCTGCCAAAGACGCTTCCACCTAACGTCCCTCCGGCGCTGAGCTCAGGACCACGCCGTGCACGTGGGAACCACCACCGCGCCACACGCCTAAAAACCGTTGAGCGGTACATTCTATGCGAGCGGGGTCTCTCTGGCCACAACTTAAAAACGAAAAGAAAAGCGCTCAGAGAACAGGCTGCGCAGGGGTGCAGCCGGCTTTGCCCTGGAGGCCGCCGGGGCTGAAGACGGCGAGAGCATCCATCCCAGGACGCCACCGCCCCGCCGCCCCTTTCCCTCCACAGGTGCCAAGGGCCGGGCCGCCAGCACCCGCGAGGACCCCCGGGCCTCGCAGAGCCCGGCCGTCGCGGTCGCCGCCTCACTTGGGGTCCTCCGGAGTTCCGTCCTCTTCCCAACGTCCGGCTCCCAAGGCTCCCGGGGGCGCAGCGCAGCGGCGGCGGACGCGGGAAGGGGCCCTCGCCCTCCGCAGAGATCGCGCCCCGCGGCCGCGTGGGTAGTGCGGGAGGTCCCGAAGGCCCTCCTGCAGAGCTCTCAGGTCCCCGCAGTCTCACGCACGGCCGCCAATGCGGAGACCTCCGCCCCCGCACCCCCGGCAACTCAGGCCTCAGCCTCTCACCCCGGCCCCTGCACCTGGGACCTCGCCCCCGCACCCCGGCCCCTGCACCCCCGCACCCCGGCCCTACAGCCCCGGCAAGTCGGGCCTCAGCGCTTCCCCCCGGCCCCGCACCCCCCACACCTGATACATCGCCCCCGCACCCCGGCCCCTGCACCCCAGGCTCCTGCATCTCCCAAACCTGGGACCTCGCCCCCGCACCCGGCTCCTGCATCCCCCGCACCTGGGACCTCGCCCCCGCACCCGGCTCCTGCATCTCCCACACCTGGGACCTCGCCCCCGCACCCGGCTCCTGCATCCCCCGCACCTGGGACCTCGCCCCCGCACCCGGCTCCTGCATCTCCCACACCTGGGACCTCGCCCCCGCACCCGGCTTCTGCATCTCCCGCACCTGGGACCTCGCCCCCGCACCCGGCTCCTGCATCTCCCACACCTGGGACCTCGCCCCCGCACCCGGCTCCTGCATCTCCCGCACCTGGGACCTCGCCCCCGCACCCGGCTCCTGCATCCCTTGCACCTGGGACCTCGCCCCCGCACCCGGCTCCTGCATCTCCCACACCTGGGACCTCGCCCCCGCACCCGGCTCCTGCATCTCCCGCACCTGGGACCTCGACCCCGCACCCGGCTCCTGCATCCCCCGCACCTGGGACCTCGCCCCCGCAACCCGGTCCCCGCACCTCGAGCCTCACCTCCACATCCCGGACCCCCAGCCGCCGCCCCCGCATCCCGGCCCCCGCACACCTAGCACCTCAGCCTGGCCCCGCACCTTGGACCGCTGCCCTCGCCCTAGTCCTGGTCCTTGCACCTCAGCCCGAGGCCAACAGCCCCAACGGCTCCCGCGGAGATCCCTCCGCGCCGCCGACCTCCCAGGACCTCCTTCGGCCCGCGCCCACCTCGCCTTCGGCGCTGGGTTCCCGAGAGAGCCAGGGACACGCGGGCAGCGAGCAACAGGCGCTCTTTTCCCGGGCGGATGAACACCGCCTCCCGGGCGCCGGCCTCGTGTCTGTACGCCATACGCCCAGTAACGGCGGAAAGCGGCGCGCGCCACGCCCTCATTGGCTGCCCCGCAAACGGCGGTTTCTGATGTGGCCGGGGCGGGACCAGAGGAGCCCCGCCCCACAGGCCCCGGCCCCGCCCCTCCAAGACCCCGTCTGGCCCCTCCCGGACACCCGGCACAGGCCCAACAAGCCAGGCCCGCCCCGCCCCACAGGCCCTGCCCCTGGCCCCCCAAGACACCGCCTGGCCCCGGACAGACACCCCGCACATGCCCTGGCCCCTCCCCATAGGCCCCGCCCCCATCCCGCCAAGACCCCGCCTGGCCCTGCCTAGACGCCACGCCCAGGCCCCCACAGGCCCCGCCCCCGCCCCACAGGCTCCGCCCCTGTCCCCCCAAGACCCCGCCTGGCCCCGCCCAGACACCCAACACGTGCCCTGCCCCCTCCCCACAGGCCCCGGCCAGCCCCACCCAGGCCCCGCCCTGTTCCTCTTCTGCTTCGCCCAGACCCCCGGCCTTCCCTGGCTTGACTCCTGCAGTTCCCCCAGTGCCAGCCCCCTGCAGGCGGACACGGGGTCGGGCCAGTTCCCTACTAGCTCGTGGAACTGGGCGGCGGCGCACGAAGTAGACCCTCCATAGACTTCGAAATGGTGCCCACGTGGGCACCGAGCGCCCTACTGTAGCAGTGGACTCGATCTTGGTCTGGCCTTTAACGTCGGAAGCTCTTTCACTCAGCACACAGAGATTTGAACTTTGACCCCAAAGAAAATAAAACTGCAATGCAAGTCTAAGGTGCCAGGAGGCCGTTACCTGGAAATTTAGCTTTCAATGACTTGTGCCTTGGGTGCATGCCAACGTGGACCGCAGGGGTTCTCAGCCTTCACCTGCGGGGGATCACCTGCAGGGCTGGTTAGGACACAGACCAGAGATTCCGGTCTGCAGGCTCCACAGGTGGGCCCCGCCGGCTGCATTTCCAAGGCATCGCAGGTGGTAGCGACCGGGTCTACGCCGAGCTAGGTGCCCTCCATAGGAGTTAATTTCCTCATGGAGGCAAAGTCAACAGCCACAAAACAACCGGAAATATTGTAAGATAGAACAGGTTTATTTGTCAAGGTGGAAGTGGGACTGAGGCTCACTAACTGCCTGACCTGTTATGTTCCATAACTATAAACATGATTGTAGGAGGTAGTAGAAATAGGGTCGCCTCTGCAGACAGGTTTTAAAACTGCATTTATACGGTAAACATAGTGCTTTTCCTTTTTTTTTTTTGTGAGACGGAGTCTCACTCTGTCGCCCAGGCTGGAGTGCAGTGGCAGGATCTTGGCTCACTGCAACCTCCGTCTCCCAGCCTCCTGAGTAGCTGCGACTACAGGCACCCACCACCATGCCCACATAATTTTGTGTTCTTTGTTTTGTTTTGAGACAGGGTCTGGCTCTGTCAGGCTGGAGTGCAATGGTGGGATCATGGCTCCCTGCAGCCTCGACCTCCTGGGCTCAGGTGATCCTCCTGCCTCAGCCTCCCCTGTAGCTGGTACTACAGGTGTGTGCCACCTGTAGTAATTTTTTTGTATTTCTTGTAGAAATACGAGAAATACACCCAGCTAATTTTTTTGTATTTCTTGTAGAAAGAGGGTTTCATCATGTTGCCCAGGCCGGTCTCAAACTTCTGGGCTCAAGTGATCCACCCATCTTGGCCTCCCAATGTGCAGGGATTACAGGCATAAGCCACAGAGCCCGGCCTACATATTGCTTATTATTCATACTTAAAAGCGCATGCCTGGGAATCGGGGGCTGGAGAGGGCTGAAGGCTCCCCAAGCCACCTTCCCAAATCCTACGTCTCATCTGTGCCATGAAAGGGGCAGGTTAGATGTCAGCGTTTCCCACACTAGCCTGAGTGTAAGCATCCACTGAGGGAACTTCCAAATAATACAGACTCCCAGATCACGCTGATTCCAGGAGGTCTGGGACGGGTGCAAGGAATTTCAAGAAGTAACATCAAGTTATTCTTATGCTCAGAGAAGGCTAATAAATTTGGGGCGAGGCCAAAAGGCGTTGGAAGCCAGTAGTTTGAAAGAAAAATAGCTTTCCAAAGGCTTTCGCTTTGTAAAAACTAAATGGTGCCTTTTGGAATACAATGTGAACATAACTTTTCCAAGGATTTAAGGTGTTGATGAGAAAGACATTCTGAGACCTGCCAGCAGATGGAGCCATAAAACAAGAAATAGATGTTTACAGCCTCAACTCGGGAGAAAAATACCGTGAATGCACCTTACACTATAGAAGTAACACTTTTCCCTCTGCTTTATTTTCTCTATATGCTAAACTCCTTACTTGCCTCTGCTAAAGAACATCGCTGGAGTGTCTTGGTGTGTGAAGTATGAAATAGTTTCTAAAGACATAAGTTGTGATATAGCAAGACAGAGGCAAAACCCCTCATTCTTCTGAGAGTGTAAACATCATGTCGCAAGAAGCTCACCTAAAATTTGAAAAGGAAAACTCAACGAAAATTTGAAAAGAAATTCAAGGAAAAAAAAATGTGACCTTTAAAATTTCCATGTTGACAGCACCACCAGGACCCCTTCTGGGATCCGTTGCTAGGTATAACTTCGTGCCTGACTCTGGAAGTTAAAAAATGAATAGTTACAGATTCTTTTTCCGGGAGCCGCCTCTAGAGGGGTGTACCCACCAGGGAAGGTGAGCAGAGTGCCACCAATCCTGTGGGTGCTCAGCGGGAGGTTGCTGAGGGATGCTTCGTGACTCAACGCTGCTGAAGCCCTGAAGGCTGATTTGGGTTTGCAGGGAACAGGAGGATCGGCATGGCGGAGCACGTTGGTCTGAGCACATGTGAGGTGTTTAGAAAACTGCAAGTCATCCAGCACGGGAGCAACGCCAGGCACAGGCAGGGGAGTCGTAGGGGATGATGCTGCAGAAGGGACAGACCGGGTTCTAGAAGTTGGCGAGCAAGGAAATGTGAGCATCTGGACTGCCGAACGCACCCTGTTAAGTGCTGTGAGTAAAACACACTCTGTCCTCCCATTGATGTGAATAAAACACACTCTGCCCTCCCGCTGATGGCCCAACAAGGGAAGCAGGGAGTGTGACAATTGGGAACGTGGATGCTGACCTGAAGGGCCAGTGGCTGCTTAGTCCTAGCCAGTTACCAGGAGAGAATGAGGGCTCAGATTTGCTGGGCCTCACATGATGGCTTTGGTTGTTGTTGTTGTTGTTTTTTTAATTGAGGTGAAATTCACATAACACTACATTAACTATTTTACAGTGAACAATTCCATGATATTTAATGCGTTCATAATGTTACGCAACCCCCCACCTCTAGTTCCAAAACATTTTCATCATCCCAAAATAAAACCGTCACTCTCCATCTCCCTCTTCCCCCCACTACCCTGGCAACCACGAATCTGCTTTCTGTCTCCTTTCCTGTTCATTTCATAGAAACGGGGTCATACACTAGGTGGCCGTTTGTGTCTGGCTTCTTTCACTCAGCGCCGTATTCTCAAGGCTCACCTACGTCGTAGCCCGTCAGAGCTTCCGTCCTCCTTACGGCTGGATCTTACTCTGCTGTTTGGACGGACCACATTTTGTTTATCCACTCATCCATTGGTGGACAGCTCAAACGTTTTTAAAGGGGAGCAGGAAACTTGGACATTTTCCGGTGCGTTTTTAGGAATGGCCACCAGTGCTCTCTAGTGTTGGGCAGAGGAGCATCCCAGGGAAGGGAAACAATGGAAGATACTCAGAGAACAGAAAAATCCCAAGTTACTTCATGTAAAGCTGAAAATATGATCTGGGTAGATTATGCTGGGGGTGACAGGGACTAGATGGAAAAGAAACTCATCATGAACCCTGCATGCTGTGTCCAGAGCTTTGGACTATATTCTGTAACCAATCAGTTTCCCAAGTTTTTAAAGCAGAAAACCACATACTCAGAGCAAGCTTTGACCTAGTTCCTTTCATTCAAGGATCTCAAAGCCCCTTTAAACCCATGATCCAGATTTTGTTTGTAAAGGAAGAGATGGAGTTGAAAAACAAGATCTAAGGCAGTTCCTATGAATCCCTTCAATGTAATTTTTCAGAGCATTTCCCTTCTCCCTTCAGACTCATGTCGTTCTGATTGGGCTGAATTGAAGAGCTGCCCAGCCTCTCCCCTGGCCCTGAGACCCCTGACCTAGAGGGACTAACTAGAGGGACGGCATGGCAATGGCAAGTGTACCCAAGACAGCATGCCCGGAGGTTTATCCAGGAATATTCATCCAGAGGGAAAGAGCAATGGGTGAGGCTGAAGTTCGTCTGTTCTCTTATATACAAAATGTGAACAAATCCTGAATATCACAGTCTGGCCACAAGGGGGATGTTTTGGGGTGGGCAGGGTGACGGAGGCAGGGGGTCCTGACTTGGCTCCCCAGGAAGTGGGTTCTGTTCTGTTCGCTTAAGCTCTCTGCATTCTTTTTTCCACGCTAGACGATGAGCATGTTGGACCAGATGGGCACGTGTCCAAGTGCACCCTATGGAATGTATCAGCATCGGCCTCGCCTGGAAGCCTGATAGAAATGCAGATTCCCAGGCCCTGCCCAGGCCTGCTGTATCCGGATCTCTTGGTGGTGGAGCCCAGGGATCTGCATGTCACGAGCTTGCTCAGAGTATCTGTGAACTGAGTTCAATCCACAGCCCTCTACTCCAATGCTAGCCAGACCCTGGGGCCATTGCCTCTCCCCCCACATGCCCCTCCATACTGTCAGCACCTCTGCATTGTGGCCTTTCTGCCACCCCCAACCGACTTGGGGATCCCAACCACCCACACCCAGGGGCCTGCACCAGACTGCAGAGTGTTGCCTGAGGGGACACAGTCCACAGTCATCCTTTTCTCCTCTCCTTCCCAGTTAATTCCATTTTCCACGCCTCTCATGGCGATTCCTGATCTTCACAGGCCCCAGAGCCTCTGACCCTGGTGTTCCCCCTGAGAAAATGAGGCCAGGGTTTGTGAGCTGCCCATGCCACACCTGTGCCTGCCTCATCATGTGGAGTCCCTTTAGCTCAGCTCTAGGGTCCCCCTTCTTGCTTCCTCAAAGATCCTCCTCTCTCCCAAGTTCCTCTTCTTCTTCTCAATACTTCTCTCTTCTGGGGCTTCCTCCTTGACACGTCAATGTTGTCTAGCTGTCTTCATCAATTTTCTTTATTATTTTATTTGTATATATTGTATTTTATTTTAAGACAGAGTCTTGCTGTGTCAGCCAGCCTGGAGTTCAGTGGTGCAGTCATAGCTCACTGCAGCCGCGACCTCCTGGGCTCCTGTCTCTTGAGTAGCTGGGACAACAGGCATGGGCTACTACAGCTGGCTAATATTTTCTTTTTACTTTTTAAGAGACAGGGTCTTACTAGTCATCCTCGTCTTTAAGAACGAAGCAAAACAAGGGTCTCGAAGAGATATTTGTACCCACTGTTCATAGCAGCATTGTTAAAGAGTTAATATGTGGACCCAACCCAAGTGTGTTTCCATTGATGAATAATGAGCAGAACGGGGTCATCCGTGCAGTGGGTATTACCAGCCTTAGAAAGGACGGGAATCCCGACGCACCCTGCAACATGGATGAACCTAGAGGACATTAAGCTCAGCGAAGTAAGCCAGTGACGAACAGACAAATATCATTCCACTTCTAAGAGGCACTTAGTGTTGTCAAAGTCAAGGACAGACAGTAAAGCAGGGTTGCTGGGGCTGGGGGAGGGGAACGGGGTTGGTGTTTGATGGGGACAGTGTTTCAGTTTTGCAAGATGGAAGGAGCTCTGGTGTTGGTGGTGGTTGTCTGACATTACGACATTATGAATGTATTTCATACCATTGCGCTGTACACATAAAAAGGATTAAAATGGCAAATTTTATGTTCTGTGTATTTTGCCACCATAAAAACAGTTGGGGGGGAGAAAAAGAAGTAAAACAAAAATGAATCCCTACGGCTCCTCCTTTCCTCTTTTCCCTCCAGAGTCCATCTCCTTGAAAGAATGGTTTCTTAGGCCCCACGTCCACATCTTGCCCTCCCACAGTGTGGTTTTGATTCTCAGAGGCCTCCGTGGGCTCCAGAACCCTCTTGGTTTCTAATCCCAGTGGCTCCTTTCAGACAACCTGTCTTCCCTGGGACACATGAGTGTTGCTCAGCCTGCCCTATCCATCTCAGCACCATCCCCCTTGCCCTCTGTGATACGGCTTTCTTCCTCCAGCTATAGCCAGTCATTGCAGCTACCCACAGGAGTTTGCCCTTCTCCCGCCTCCTCATGCATACGCACTGACAAAGCGGCTCTCCAAGTCCAAGTGTGGCTTGGAGCTCCAGCAGCACCGAGACCTGTTGGACATGCAACTCCTTGCCTCCCAGCCCTGACCTGCTGAATCCAAAACCCTGGGGCTGAGCCAGCCGTGTGTGTTGCCAACCACGTTGGTTCCAGTCCATTCGGGTTCACCCTGCAGTCGAGAACCACTGGGCTAAGCGAGCTCACCCTCGGAGCTCAGGAGTGACACTCAACATCCTCCCGCTGTCAGGATTCTCAGGCCTCTGCAGCTGAGCGGCCCTGGACGACTCTGGCCCGTGTTAGCCCCTGCAGTTTATATGCGCATCTCCCAGCGGCCCTGGCCCTCCCCTCCTAGCACTAGGCCCGGTTGCTTTGCCAGTGGCCTCTAGAGCAAGACATGGAAGGTCACCGCAGGAGGCAAAGGGAGAGCTTCTTAGAACAAAGTTGATTCTAAAAATAAGAAAATAAGTTGAGCTGTAATATATGTAAGATGCGGGGGACGCCCGTACCCTCCTTTGGTTCCTGCGTCTTGTGCATAATGGCTGTGTCCAGGGTGGAGGGTGGGAGCCCCACCGCATGGCGGGGTTGGTAGCCCCCATCTCTGACTCGTAGCCAGCCTCTGGTGACCTGCTGTGGCCTGGTGGGCCCCGTCAGCAGCGGCTGGGATTACTAACCCAACTCTCTCTAGACCAACCTTCACAAAAAGAAATGGTTGGAAAAGATTCCTCTGCAAAGAAATAACGGGTGGGGGGACATACGGAAAATGCAAACATCAGCAAACCCCAAGAAATGGTTAGAGCTGATACCTGCATTTCTTTCTACTCCTCCTGCAAGCTTTCGGCAGATGGAAAGGCTGAGTTATTTTCATTTCACACAGTTAAACGGAAAAGAAATAAGTATCACTCATAATTATGGTAGTGAGAAAAAGTTCTTACCAAATGAAAATGTTTATTTAATTCACTGTTATTTTATTTTTAATCTTTAATTAGTGGTGTATTTTATTATGTGCCTAATACTGTGGCATGTTGCAAATAGGTATAGTGGCATACTGCAACTAAATATAAATATATTGGATGCTCATGCTCAAAACTTTCTGTTCTGGTTGCATGATCAGAAGTATTTGGGGATTGCTAGGCTGCCAGGTCAAACCCACGTTCTGTGGTGTGGCTTGGCCCCCCTCCATCGGCCTGTCCGACTTTGCTCCTTTCCCAGGCTCTCCCCAAATCTGGATTCCAAGCTCCTGCCATAGAGAGCTTCGAAATTCAGCTCCTGGGCGCTTCCTCCATGAGGTTTTCTTTCCTTCATTTCCCTCTCTGTGGATCAGCATCCCTGCAGTGAGGGCCTCTCCTCTGTGGTTTTACCTTACCAGCCTTTCTATGTCTCTCCAATAGCATTTATCACACCACAATTGTAAGTAAACACGTACTTAACCCGTTTCCTTCATTATTGGGAAAACACGTTGAGGACAGAATCCTGGTCTTACTCAACATTGCGTCTGGTTCCTGGCATTCCGAGGGTCTCAGGAAATATTTCTTGAATACTTGAATGTACATAATAGTGTTCAGCTTTATGCAACACCTTTGCACGACAAAGTATTCACACTTTGTCCATTTCCATTCTTGTGTACCTCTCAGAACTCAGGCCAAGGGCAAAGTCACTGGCCTTTGGCATTCTTAATTTTTATATACCTGTTGTGTTCATTTCTTCTTCAAATATTGCATCCTTCTCTCTGACCATTTCCTCCCCAAGAGCTGTGTAGTTTTGTTTTGGAGTGGCCATAACTACTGGCTGTTATGCCCAAATTAGTTTGAACACAGTTTCCTGGCACCAGAGACACCCAAAGACTGTTTACTACCTTTTTTTTAAATTGACATGTCATAGTTGTACACATTTTGGGGGTACTTACAATATTTCATAGGTTCGTGCGATGTCTACGGATCAAATCGGGGTAACTGGGCTGTCCCTCGCCTCACACAATCGTTCACTGCCTCCTCTGCTCTCAGAACTCAGCATATTGTGGGGTGGCTACCACTGCCTTGAGTAACTCAGGGTTGCTTTGAAATTATTCTAAACAAATGTGGCAGCTCCAAAACCTTTGCCAGTAAATGGTGTATTTTAGACCTCAGCATGTGAAACAATCCTGGCCAAAGACATATAAGAGGATTTTGTCTGGGGTCATTAAAGGAAAAAAAAAAAAAAAAGGAAAAAACAGGACGTAACAAAGAGATGGTCTCTTCCTGCCTCTGGACTTTGAAGTATGTGGTGCCCAGAGCTGCTCTAGACCTCCTGGGACCATGACCAAAATTCCAAGAGATAAATTTTCTTTATTGGTCATGCCAGTTACACTTGGGCTTTCTGATGGTGCAACCCAGGACACCTTAACGGAAGACGCAGCGGGTCCCACCTCAGGATGTGCAGCAGGGCTGCCCGGGAGCTAATTAAATATGAGGATCTCTGGACCCAAGCCCAAACAACTGAACCAGTCCCCAGAGACAGCCATCTGAAGGTTTAAGAGGCTCTCCGGTTGATTCTGATATCAGTTGGTCAAGATCAAACTTTGAGAAACACTGCCAAATTATGTTTTCAGAGTAATGTGTTTCGAAGCAGAAATGAAATTCGGAATTCAGTTGGGGACACATTCAGTTTGGGCAAATATGCAGTTTACCTTGGTGAACTTCAGGGGTGACTGTTTTGCGGTAAACAAATGCCTTAAAATGAGCAATTCTGTTGTATTTATCCATCCATCACTCATCGGCCTCTAATCTGTACAAAGCCAAACTCTACCTTGTCCAAATTACTTTAACTGTTAGTAGAAATAATCACAAAGTTTCAGTATCTGCAGCATGCAGATAATTCACATAAGAGATTACTTTGAAAAATTATCAGATTAAGACTCATATTGCCTCAATTGGTAATACTGAAATCACATACATAGAATTAAAATTGTTGATATAGATTTCCATTTCTCCCCATGTTTAGTCACACAGGTACCCTGGATTTTGCACTGGTGTAAAATATATTTCTTCTGGAAATTGTTGAGTGTATGAACCGACCGGTAGCAGAGGTGGAACTGATTTGGGATGTGATATGCCAACCTCATCTACATTACTATTTAATTAGTCACCTATTGGTGCCTTTGAAATTTCACCCATCATCACTTCAATTCTTTAAACACCAAGAGCTAAAGGAAAGTGCCTGCAGTTTTGGTTGCTATAAATCATGTGGAGCTGTTTGACAGGATGCATCACTGCACAGGGTATGGGTTTTCTTCCTGCGCAGATCAGAAGTGTCCTAGAAATTTACACTGAAAACGGAACTTTGGGATGACAGGTACAGTGTGGTGAGCAGAGGTCAGACTCTAGTGTGAGACGAAACTTGGATTGAGTCTGCGAGATCAGTAGGATCATGAAAATTAAATGAGATAAGGTACATAAAGCGCCCAAAACTATTCCTAGAATGTCGTGTGTACACAACACACTTTACAGGTCAAGCTACGAATGGGTTTATAAGCCTGCATTATAGGTAGAGAAAGTGACAGTTACTTTGGCTTTATTGATCACAATGAACACAAAACGTTATTCATGTGATGAACGATGGTGCATGGGGAAATTGTACTATGTTAAATTTCGTTAATGAGAATGCTGGATAATGCAATCTTAATTGAGTTGAAGTTTATCTTTGTACTTCAAGGAGGGTTTCAGATGCAAATCAATCCTCCAAACAAGATTGCAGAGACAGATTTAACCAACTTAAGAGAACGACTGTTCTCGAAGAAACGGCGTATTGGATCGCACAGGAACTGCTCATCGTGAGTTACTTTTATCTGTTTCAGCAGGATCTGTATTTGCAAACCCATCATTAGCAGTTTATCCTTGTTGCCACGTATATTTAAAATCAGTCCAATTGCTTTTTAGAGAAAACATTCCAAAAGGATTAAAAAAAAAAAAATCAGTTGCCCTTTCATTTAATCCTGATTAGTTACACTTTATGCCTTTTAAAATAGTCAAAACAAATAATGATACTATACAAAGTTTGGGAAATAGAGGAAAAAGCTCACCTATAATTTCCAAAAGCTGATAATGCCTTCAAGCTTCATTTATGTATTCTTATCTGTGATTTTTCCCTATATTTTTACATATTTTCAGTCTTAGCTTATCCATACAATTTTATAACCCACTTTTCCTCTTATCATATACTAATTGTTATATAACTTTCAAATTACCATTTTGATGACTTAACTATTAACTGAATTTACCCAATGTTGAAAAACTGTCTCCTTTCGATTGGATTTTTATATTGATTCCAGATTTTCAACATTATAATCGATGCTATATTTCACATGTGCTTTTTTTTTTCTTTTGAAAATATCTTGAGGACAAATTCCCCAGAGCATGGTGCTCCATCTCAGCAAAATGTTCATTTTCATGACCCTTTGCACATTGTAAAATTGCTTTTCAGTAAGAGTGGAGCTAATCCACACTGCCACTAACCAATATAGCAGTTTTACTGCATCCTGTCTAGCTCTAGGTATTACCGTTTAGCAAGATGTGTAATCCCACTGAAGGACACAAGACAAGATGCGAACCAAGGGAAGGAGATATCAAGTTCTTGGCTGGGAAGGTGACTATCTGAAACGTTATTTCTTCTAAATTAACTTACAAATTAAAAGCTATTCCAATTAAATTTTGTACTGGACAGATTTTTAAAATTATATTTATATGGAAAATAAATTAGAATACTTATTTAAAAAAAGGAAAAAGATGATAAGCACTAGCTTTCTTATCGAGTATGAACATCAGATTCAAAACAATACAGAAGTAACACTGGAATAGATAGACCAGAAGAGAATAATAGGGAGATAAGAAATAGACACTGGCATAAATGGGACTTTGATATAGCAAAAGCCATGTTTCAATTCAGTGGGAACAAGATAGATTTTTTGATAAAGGACTGGTGCAACTAACATAGCATCTAGAGAAAAATCACATTGTATTTCTAGCTTCCACTGTATACAAAATCTAACTTTTGGTGGATTAAGATTTACATGCAAGGAATAAACAACATAAGCATTTGAAGAAAAGTTGGGAGAGTATCAATTGCAACATAGGAATTAAGGAGGTTTTTGTGACTTAGAAAACCTAGAAATTATAAGAGAAAGTATAAACACATTTACAAATTTAAAAATTTTGTATGGCACCAGGTACCATGAATAAAATACATGAAAAAATGATGTTTTGAGGCAAATACCTGCAGCACAGAAGACAGACAAAGGGTTCATGTCTATAATATACAAAGAGTTCTTGCAGTTCAATAGGACAGCCAGACAAGGATATAAACAGACATCTCATAAAGGAGCATAAGAAAACGGCCAATGTGGAGTCTTGCTCTGTTGCCCAGGCTGGAGTGCAGTGGGGCGATCTTGGCTCACTGAAACCTCCACCTCCAAGGTTGAAGTGATTCTCCTGTCTCAGCCTCCTGAGTAGCTGGGACTACAGGTGCCCATCACCACACACAGCTAATTTTTGTATTTTTAGTAGAGATGGGGTTTCACCGTGTTGGCCAAGCTGGTCTCAAACTCCTGACTTCAGGTGATCCACCCGCCTTGGCATCCCAAAGTGTTGGGATTATATGTGTGAGCCATGACACCTGGCCTCCAATATGATATTAAACCTCTCAAATAGTCTGTAGGATACAAAAGACAGTGACATCAGGGATAAAACGAAGACTGCATGTTAGAAAAGAGGTCACAATCAAAGACTGCCAATCAAAATGACATTAGACTACTCAACATCAACACTGAAAGCTAGAATTCAGGGGAGGATATATTCCACATCCTGAGGGAAATGATTTCCACCACAGATTGCCCTACCAAACCCCATTCATCAATCAAGCCCAGGGTAGAATAAAGACATTTTGAAACATGCAAGTAATTAATCACTTACTTCCCTTTCTCAGAAAGCCATTGCAGGGTGTGTTTTACATAGGCTAATAGATAAAAGAATTTCCAGGAAGATAGTTAAAAGAAGACTTGAGATGAGAGAAACCCCATCTCTACTAAACAGTAAACAGTCTTAGAAAGCCAGTGATTCTGGGAATAGTAGCAAGCCTCTTCTCATGTCTCAATGGCCAGAAATGTGTATTGTATCTTTGTATGAGCTAATCACTAGCAAGGGAGTGACATATTCCTAAAACCAGTGAGGGCCAGCCTCAGGTCCATGGTTGAATGGGAAATGGATTCAATAAAGTCAGGTTCTCCTAGGAAGGAGGAAGAGGATATTGGATGTTGGTTGGGCCATGGACAATACTGCGACAAGCACTCCAATCATATGTTGATATGTACGTGTGTGTGTGTGTATTTATTTTCCAGTTATTGATTCTCTTGTAATGAACTGTCTATCTAGCTTTGTGTCAGTGCTACACTGTTTTAATTATTATTGTTTTATAATGTGTTTTAATATCTGATAGAACTTGTCATCCACTTTAAAAATTTTTCTTTCCAGAATATTGTTTTATATTGTTGTTCTTTCTTCTAGATAAGACATAGAATTATTTCATCAAGTGGGTAAAGCTGCACATATTGGATTCAAACAGACCTGAGTTTGAGATTGGCATAAGATAGGACTGTTTATTAGCTTTATTCCTGGGGAAAGTTTCTTATCTGTGTAAGCCTAAGTTTTTTCATTTATAAAATGAAAATAATACTAGCTAAATTAGATAAAATGAACAAATTCATAGAAAGACAAGAACTACTAAAACTGATTCAAGAAGAAATAGAAAATTGGGTAGACTTATAACAAGTAAAAACTTTGAGTTAATAATTTAAAAACTACCTACAAGAAAAAAACTCAGGTCCAGATGGCTTCACTTGTAAATATAACTGCAAATTAAAAAGAGAATTAACATAAACTTTCACAAATGTTTACCAAAAAAAGAATAGGAAGGACTATTTCCCAAGTTTTTTAATGAGGCTAGTATTACCATGACAGTAAAACCAGTCAAATATTTTACAAGAAAACTGTAGACCAATATTCCTATGAATACAGGTGCAAAAATCCTCAACAAAATATTAGCAAGCTGAATTCAGAAACATATAAAAAAGATCACACACCATGACCAAGTGGAATTTATCCAAGGAATGAAAGGTTGATTTAACATCTACAAATCGACTAATGTAATACATTGTATGAATAGATTAAAGTACCCAAATCACATGGTCATTTCTATGAAGAAAAAGTATTTGACAAAATTCAACATTCTTTCATGATAAAAAACACTCAACAAACTAGCATTGGAAGGGAACTTCTTCAATCTCAAAAAGGAAATCTATAAAAAAAATCCACAGCTAATATCATACTCAGTGGCAAAAGACTGAATGTTCTCTTCTTAAGATCTAGAAGGAGAGAAAGTTGTCTGCTCTCACCATTCCTATTCAACAATGTCCTAGAGGTTCTAGCCAGGCTAATTAGGCAAGAAAGTTGAACAAAAGGCATCCAGATTGGAAAGACAGTAGTAAAACTATTTCTGCTTGCAGATAATGTGATATATATGGAAAATCCTCAAAATTACAGTAAAAATCTATTAGAACTAGAAACAAGTTCATCACACAGTATACAACATCAGTTCCGAAAATCAACTATACTTCTTCTAAACACTAGTAATGAACAAATCAGAAATGAAATTAAGAACACAATTTTGTTTATGAGCACATTAGAAAGCATAAAATAATTAGGAATAAATTTACCAAATGAACCACAAAACTTATACTCTGAAAATGAAGAAATATGGTTGAAAGAAATTAAGGAAGACCTAAAGAAATGGAAGGATATTCAATATTCATGAGTCAGAGGCTTACTATAGTTAAAATGGAAATATCTGAAATTGACCTACACATTCAATAAATCTCTGTTGAAATACAAGCTGGCCTCTTGGCATAAACTGACAAGCTGATTCTAAAATTTATAAGAAAATGCAAGAGATCAAGAAGAGCCAAAACAATTTTTAAAAAGTAGATCAAGTTGGCAGGTTCATAATTCTCAATTTCAAAATTTACCACAAAGCAACAATAACCAAAACATTGTAGTTCTGCCATTAGGATAGATATAGATCAATAAAATTTAATTGAAGATTCAACAGTTAATTCTCACATTCACAGTCAAATAACTTTTGACAAGTGTGCCAAGACCATTTAGTGGGGAAAGAATAGGTTTTTCAACAAACAATGATGGAAAAACTGAATATCCACATGCAAAAGGATGCAGTTGAATATCTACCTCACACCGCATACAAAAATTCACTCAAAATAGATCAAAACCTAGAAGCAAGAGCTGAAACTATAAAACTCTTAGAAGAAAACATAGGATTGTATCTTCCTGACCTTGGATTAAGAAATGATTTTCTAGATATGACAATAAAAACACAAACAAAATAAAAAAAGATAAATTGAAGTTCATCAACATTAAAAATTGTGTGCTTAAACAAGAAAGTGAAAGAATGGGAGAAAATACTTATAAATAATCTGATGACGGAATAGCATCTAAAAGATATAAAGAATTCATACAATTCAATAATAAAAAGACAATCCAATGAGCGAAGGATCTGAACAGAGAAAGAAGGTACACAAATGCTGATAAGCACACCAAAAAATGCTCAGTATCATTATTATCAAGAAAAATAAAATAAAAAGTACAATGAGATACCACTTCATATCCATTAACATGATTATGATAAAAAGAACAAGTGTGAGTGAGGACATGGAGAAACTGGTTCTTCTGTACACTGCTAGTGGGAATGTAAAATGATGCAGCTATTTTGGAAAATAGTCCAGAAGTTTCTCAGTGGTTAAACATAGCGATACCACAGGACCCAGCAATTCTGCTCCTGGATTTATATCCAAGAGAAATAAAAACATATATCCAAGCAAAAATGTTTACATTAATATTCATAACAATATCATAAATAATCCACCCAAGTGGAAGCAACCCAAACATTCATCAACTGGATGATGAAGAAAGTGTGGTGGACCCATACAATGCAATATTATTCAGCAGTACACAAGATGAAGGACTGCTATATGTCACATCACAGATGCGTCTTGAACACATTATGCCAGGTGAAAGAAGCCAGTCACAGAGAACCACATATTGAAAGTTTCCAGTGATATGAAATGTCCAGAGTAGGCTAACCGATAGGGACAGGAATTAGATTAGTGATTGCTTAGGGCTAGGCAGATTGAGTTGAAATGAGAAGTGACTTTTAATGTGTACGTGGTTCCTTTTGAGGGTGATGAAAATGTTCTAAAATAGTGGTGATGATTGCACAACTCTGAATATACTAAGTCATTTGTTTTATACCTTAAATTATACCCTTGATGAGTGAATTGTATGATATATATAATAAAACTACTATAAAAATGGAAATAATTGTCCATAGGGTTGTTATGAAGATAAAATGAGATAAAATTTAAAGAAATGCTGAACACCATATCTGTTGCACCCTGGACACTCTTTAAAGGATAGCTGTTACTGTTAATGCTACTGTGACACCACCGTTAAGCTCCAAGAAAAGTTCTGTTGTAATTGGTCATGTCAGAAACCTGTATGTTGATTTGGGAAAAATGGACATCTTCATGAATTTTCATTGTTCCATCCAAAACGATGGTGTTTCATTCCAATATCTGTTTTACTTTAGCTCATGTAGATCATCTACACTGGATCCTGGCACTCGATAGAAAATCCTCCTATGATCTCCGCATGGGCCCCAAGGCTCAGCCTGTCCTGGGCGCTGTCACCTTCCTTACCTTTCTCCATTGTCCCCAGCCACAGCAAACCGGACTCGGCTCCTTTCCCCACTATGAGCTCTCTCTCATATCAGGATTGCTGCAGGTGCCATTCCTTCTGCCTGGAACACTCTTCCTGCCTCCCACTTGCCCTCAGATCCAATGATATCATTGATCAGCTATAAACTTTGCTTCCATGTCCAGCATTGTTCATCATCATTAGCTTCAGCTTAAACGATGCCTTTCTTCTTTCATCATCGCCATCACCATCATAACCAATGTGTACTGAATATTTGCAGGTATCAGGCACCGGGCTGAGTGGTTAAGAATGTTACTCCTGGGAGCTAAGTGCTGCACTCATCCTTGCTTCACAGATGAAGAAACTGAGACTTGCATGGATTAAGGAACTTGTTCAAGGGCACCACACACTTAGAATCAACAGCTTGTGAGTCCAGTTCTCTTTGGAGCCTCAATGCATGTTCTTAATAGCTAAATGATTAATAAATGATTAAGCCCAAAGACCCCGTCCACGTGTTTGTATTTCTCTACCTAAATCAATACACATATATTTCAGTGCATAGTAAATTGATGCATTGCGATCATGTTGACACAATTCTCTATAGTCGATGAGTCTGTTTGAGTCTATCAATATAATGATATGATATTTGTAGATTCATATAAAGTAATTCATGTGGCTGACATGTATTCTTTGGTTCTAAAGACAGATGGCTAGATTTTTGGTTTGGTGTAGTTTAAAAATACACCCTTGATGAGTGTAATACCATAATGAAGAAGGCACCTCATTGTTTGAAAGTCAAGGTTATTAATGTATGCAAATATACCAATTTTACAGATATATATCTAACTTTTTTTTTTACATTTACATTTGGGATCTTAGAATATTTCCCGAATGTAGCCTCATTCTCATAATTATTCTTTTCATTTGGATTAGGTTTATTTCTTCTCTATGCCAATCCGTTTTGTTCCTCAAGGAGATCTGACATATTTAAATCAAGGGAATATTAATACATTCCTAAAAACTGAGTTGATAACAGTTGAGAGCTAGATAACTGATAATACTGTTCAAATTTGGCTTTTATTAATGCACTCTAGGGACAGTTGTGTTTGAGTCAACCTCCAGCTAAAATGATAGAAAACAGATGTCCTTAAAACAGGCTATGTGAAAACAACAGAAATGTCCATTCGGAGGAGAATGTTGGAATAAATTACAGTATGTACAGCAGTAATATCTGCAGCCACTAAAAATTATGTGTAGGTCTATGTTTACTGGCATCAAAAAATACACAATTTATTGTTATTGGTAAAAGATAGTTGTGAACTTGCTTGTATTATATGACCTCTTCTTAGAATATATGTCCTCTCCCCTTCCCTCCCCTCTCATCCCCTCTCCTCTCCTCCCATTCCTGTCCCTCTCTGGCCCTCCCATTTGCTCTCCTTCCTTCCCCTCCTGTCTCCTGCCTTATTCTTGGCTCCTCTACTTTTTCTCTCCTGTATTTCATTCTGTCTCTCCACGTATTTAGAACTACTCCCCGTGTGTGTGTGTGTGTGTGTGTGTGTGTGTGTGCATGTGGCATGCATGTGCATGCATATTGCAGTGAATCTATAGATCTGGAAGGTCGGATATTCTGGAGAGTAGCAGTATTCATGCTTATTTTCCACTGAATGCGTTTTGTATCATTTTTTTGTGAAAATACATTCCTTTTAAAATGATAAAAATAAAAGAACAACAGTTTATTTCCATTAAAAGATAATCAAGCAGTAGCTGTTGATGTCAGCTTAGGGGATCAGAGGTTTTAATTGTGTTTTCATTTTCATTGTAAAGGGCGGGAATCCAGCCACCAAATCAAAATCACGGTGACCCTTTGAAAGAATGACATTTAACATGTCGAGACTGAGCTCACAAAGAGGTTACAGAGCTTTTCAACCATAATTTGATTGCTCCAATATCAATATAGATGAATATTTCATCAAAACGGAGCACAGTTATGCACAGCATGGTCCCTCCTGATAGTACTGAACTTGCCCTGGGCGGTTTCCCTACAGTGAGAATTTTATTATATAGTAGCCTGCCGAGCTCTCCTGGGGGTCAGGGGGTTAAAGCTACAGAAATATGATTTGAGAATCATCTGAGCTCAGCTTTGTTGGAAAGGTAAAGAGAGGGATTCACAAAGCCTTTTTACGATGTTATTTAAATGCCCTGCGATGGGGGTGGGGTTGGGGGAGCAGGGATAGGAAGTCTAATCACAACCAAACCTGTCAACACCAGTGTTGTGTTCACGAAATACTCAGGATGCCACGTGCCCACCCCAGCCCCAACTCCGCAAAGTTCTATTTCCAGATATGGATTGTTTTTAGTTTGAAATGGTTGAAGGCCTCTCCCTGGCCTCTCCCACTTCATTAAATGCTACAAATTAAAACAAATGTCCATGAATACTGTCCTCCCTTGGTGTTTCATTTGTCACAGCGTTGGGCAACGGTGCCAGCTCCGGAGTTTTCATGATAAGACCGGGGTGGCCATGGATTTTGGGGCAGTGGCGTTACCTCTGTGCATATCAAGAAGCTGTTTATACTTCAATTTTATGCTCATCTGGGGCGACTCTGGTGGGAACTAAGCTATATCCCATCCCCAGGTGCTCTGTCTTGGAGTCCCCTTGCTGCCTGTTCCAAAGAGTGGAGCCTGTATCTTGAGGGCAGTGCTAGGTGCCAGCAACAGGCACTGGTGTTTAGGTATAGCTGGTGACATTCCAGAGAAGCTGGTGACGTGCCATTTTTTTTTTTTTTTGAGACAGGGTCTTGCTCTGTTTCCCAGACTGGAGTGCAATGGCATGATCACGGCTCACTGCAGCCCCAACCTCCCGGGTTCAACCAGTTCTTCCACCTCAGCCTTCCAAGTAGCTGGGACTACAGGTGCGCACCACCCCTCACAACTAATTTTTTTTTTTGAGATGGAGTCTTGCTCTGTCACCCAGGGTAGAGTGCAGTGGTGCGATCTTGGTTCACTGCAACCTCTGCCTCCTGGGTTCAAGCGATTCTCCTGTCTCAGCCTCCCAAGTAGCTGGGATTACACACACACACCGCCACACCTGGCTAATTTTTGTAGTTTTACTAGAGATGGGGTTTTGCCACGTTGGCCAGGATGGTCTTGAACTCCTGACCTTGGGCCCCCCTTGGCCTCCCAAAGTGCTGGGATTATAGGCATAAGCCACCATTCCCAGCCTCCTCCCAACTAATTTTTGTGCTTTTTATTGAGATGGGGTTTCACCATATTGCTCAGGCTGATCTCAAACTCCTGGGTTCAAGTGATCCTCCCATCTTGGCCTCCCAAAGTGCTGGGATTACAGGCGTAAACCACTGTGCCCAGCCTACCTGCCATTTTATATACAGTTTTCCCCAAACAAATCCACAGTTCACCTCACTGGATCCTACCAGATGAGCCGTGGCCGGTGGTTACTTGGGAAGGCTTGGCTTTGAGATTTACTTTCTTGCAGCCTGTGGTTTTCTGTTTCTGGCTTGTGTGTGTGTGTGTGTGTGTGTGTGTGTGTGTGTGTGTGTGTGCATAGTTTGGTTCACTTTCCTATCACTTCCCTGTTGCTACAATAAGTTGTTTCCCTTATATGTCATCTCAAAATAGAAATAGAACAAAGAAAACAGGACACAAGAAATCAGGGAATTTTCCAAAGGCACATTTGATGTGCAAGTGTAAACAGGAATGAGATGCCAGGGGAGATCGGAATTGTCAGCATAGACAGCTGTTAGTGGGTGTTGTCGGTGGCACTCAGGGAGATGGAGCTGTCTGCGAACTTGCAAAGGAAGAGGACACAGGAAAGGAGAGGGTGCAAGGAAAATTCCGCCTTTCCGTTGCTGCTTCAAGTTACATTTGTACTTGCAGACTTGAGTAAATGTCTGATTTATTCAACTTTACCAGTAGGAGTTAGTTCAAATACATGGGGCAGGACATTTACAAAAGTCTGGACACTTCGTCTCTGAGTGATTTTCAAGGTGTGAAGACTTGGACTCAACTCTAACTGCAGGCAGAGGAGTGGGAGACGTTCCCAGGCCACTGAGGATAAGGTTCAAGTGTTGGAGGTTGCAGTGTCTTTGCATGCTGCTGAGTCAAGCTGGATTTTGACACAGCCTGGTTTTATTTAAGAAAAGCTGGAATAAATAACAGGGTCAGGGGTGCATTCGGGTGTCAGGAGTTATGGAGAAACAACCACAATCCTGGTATTCACTCGATTTTTATCGGGAGACCACAGCATCTCCTATGCTGTGTTAAATATACTCTAGAAGATCTTGGGCCAGAAGCCAGAAACAAACATTTCTGGTGAGAGCAAATGGTGTAAAAATGGGAGGGGAATAAAGGAAAAGGAAAGGGAAATTCTCATGACACCTTTGAACTTGAATTTCCTGCTTTATTCAGCTGATGTAACTGAAACCGATGTCTCCTTTCTCCCTAAAGGTTCCACATGTGTGGAACCAGGGCATTTTCTTTTTCTAAGAGGGTAAGACTGCACGACCTCCTCTCCTTTCTAAGGAACATCTAAGGTAACTTTTTACCTTAGTGACAATAAAGTTAGCAGCAGCACATTGAAGTGTGAAGCACGGGGGGGTCTATGGAATACAATTCAATAAATAAGATCAGGGCGCTAGAGGTTGCAAATCACTTGATATTTACCATCTCGCTTTGTTTTCACAGCAAGTCTGCCGAGTCCGTAGTCTTGTGACTAGTTGACAGATGGAAACAGTGAAGGCCCAGAGAGATTCAGTCACTTGCTCAAGGCCACAGGCTGGTAAGTTATGGAACCGGGATTCACATCCACACACGAATCCACGCTCATGAAGATTCTGCCTGGCATCACGAAGTACAGTGTGAGCGTCAGCACCATTTGCTGGGCTTCCCTCCATGCCTGTATCATTTTAATGTCTGTAGTAGAGTCAAACTAAGGTGATATAGATGAAAACCAAGGAATTCACAAAGCTAGGCAAATCCACAAAGCAGTATATCAAATTAAGACAAAAGTGGATTCAATTGAGAAAAACAGAGTTAGGTGTTCCTGGCATGCAAACTTTTTTTTTTAAGTTAAATAGTTGACAAGAAGGATATTACCTGCCACTTCTCTTCTAAGTTATTTTATTTGACATGAAGCTCTCTAAAGGGCACAGAGGTTGAGTTGTGTCATTAAGCTATGCATTCTTCAAGTGTCAGATTTTCAGATGCCATAGCTTAACCTTTGCAATGCTATAGAACCTTGTTCCCAGTCAGCTAAGTTCTTTTTTAACTTTCTTTTCTTTTTTCCTGATGTTGTTCACAGGCAGCTGCAGGCCTAGAGCCCTTCTCATGAAGAGCAGGAAGTACCCAAAGCCACAGCCAGGATTAAAGAGTTGATCTAAACCTTAGATCTTAGCTTTAAGGTTGTAATGTACAGTGAATCTGGTTACATGGAAAAGGAAACAGTAATTGTTGAAGTATGTTTTCTTAAGCTACAGAATAATTTTTGAAATGTTTGCCTTTAATCCGCAGACAGGCTCGCGTTTGAGAAAATATTTTCTTGCTGCTCAAGATGAATGTGAGTGTCTGAAGTACTGGATCTTTGAGCTACATTTTGTCATTTTTTCAAAAAATAAAAAGATGACTAGTGTCATACAATAGAGTTTAAAAGATTGCTTTTTCTAGCTACCATAACTTTGGTGCCCTGGTTGTGGAATGTTGGAATGGTTTAGTTTCTCGTGCTTCTTACTTAAAATTTGAGACAGTGCCTGATTAAAGAAAAATAGTAGGGCACCCGTGAGCTCATTATACCCAGACTAGAACGTTATCTCACCATGCTTAGGTCAGAGGGTGGAAAGTATCAGGGCTCTGAGCACCACACTTGATTCTAGCTTTGCTTCTTTCCAGATCTGAGCATCTGTGCTATTGATTCAACTTTCTCAGTCTCCATTTGTTGCTGCCAACGCTGGGTACCACAAGTGATTCCCTCATATGGGAAGTGCCTGACTCACAATTATGAGGTTTGCATGCTGTAGCTATATAGTGTAACCAAAACATTAGATTGTGGATCTAATAATAGAAGCCTGCAACTTCTTATCTACCGAGAAAGCATGGAAGAACTGCTAACTCATGCCCCCATGCCTAACAACATGGGTTTCTCAACTTTTAAAGGATTAGAGTCATCTGTTGATCTTAGGAACCAAAAACTTTGGTGCAACTCCAAATAAAAGTAACAAACATATATTTTTCCACTGCTATACTAGCATAATTCCCACATGTCGGGGGAGGAACCCAGTGGGAGGTGATGAATTATGGGGGTGGGTCTTTCCATGCTGTCCTTGTGATAGAACAATCCACACAATCCTCTTTTACCGTCCTAGGATTCACAGGTGATTTTCTTCTCTTGACACTGTCTCAAGGATGACTGTAGGATGCTCAAGTTTCTGGACAGATGATGCTGCTCTAAAGCAGTGCTTCCCACACTGTCAGTGGAAATACCAACTTTGTTGTTATTTACTTCCCATATGCTACAAACTGCTACTTTTATAAAATACAACAAAGATAAATTTCTAGGGAAAAAAGTGAAATGAGAAAACACAAAGATATGCAAAATACAAGTTCATGACTAAAGCCAGTGTCAATTACCAACACCATCAAATTGCTCTGGTGCCTCCTCTGGCCTTCTGTACCAATTTCTCTCCAATGTGTGACAAGCAGTGCATGGGCTGTCTTGAGTGTGTGGACCACACTTTGACTGGCACAGTGATACGGCCTCATAGCCCTGGGTATTAATCCCAACTGTAGTACCAACCAACAAAGCATTCTATCACTTTCAAGGAACAGCAGTGGCACCTGCCTTGGAGTCAGACATTCCTGCTCAGAATGAAGTGTCTTGTGTACCCAAGATTATGTGTTCTGGATGCGCACAGATCTTGGGGGATAATATAGTTTGGCTGTGTCCCCAGCCGAGTCTCATCTTGAATTGTAACTCCCACAATTCCCAAGTGTCATGGGAGGAACCCAGTGGGAGGTGATTGAATTACAGGAGTGGGTCTTTCCTGTGCTGTTCTTGTGATAGAGAATGAGTCTCACCAGATCTGATTGTTTTAAAAATGGGAGTTTCCTTGCACAAGCTCCTCTTTTTGCCTGCTGCCATCCATGTAAGACATGACTTGCTCCTCCTTGCCTTCTGCCATGATTGTGAGGCTTCCCCAGCCATGTGGAACTGTGAGTCCAATAAAACCTCTTTCTTTTGTAAGTTGTCCAGTCTCAGGTATGTCTTTATCAGCAGTGTGAAAATGGACTAATACAGGGGAGCCGAGGAAACTGGACTCTCATCCCATCCTCAAAGTTTCGGGTCTGGTTTGACAGTCAGAGAAGAAATAACCCCAGGATGAGTATTATAAAGAAGACATGAGCAAGATACCAGATACTCCAGAGAAGTCAGGAGAGCCTTCACCAAGAAGGGGATATTTGAAAAAGGTTTTTCCTTCCTTCATTCCTTCCTCCCTCTTTCTTCTTTCCTTCTTTCTTTCTTTCTTTCTTTCTTTCTTTCTTTCTTTCTTTCTTTCTTTCTTTCTTTCACTTTCTTTCTTTCTTTCTTTCTCTCTCTCTCTTTCTTTTTCTTTTCTTTTCTTTTTTCTTTCTTTTCTTTCCTTTTTTTTTTTTTGACAGAGTTTTGCTCTTGTTGCCCAGGCTGGAGTGCAATGGTGCGACTGCAACCTCTGCCTCCCAGGATCAAGTGATTCTCCTGCCTCAGCCTCCCGAGTAGCTGGGATTACAGGTGCTCACCACCACACCCAGCTAATTCTTGTATTTTTAGTGGAAATGGGGTTTTGCCATGATGGCCAGGCTGGTCTCGAACTCCTGACCTCAGGTGATCCACCCACCTTGGCCTCCTGAAGTGCTGGGAATACAGGCATGAGCCACCACACCTGGCCTTGAGAAAGGTTTTCAAAATGGTTAGACATCCACTGGATGGATGCTGGGGGAAGGGGGTCAGTGGATGGAGCTGAGAGTTGGAAAAAGATACCCTAGTGACGCAAGATGGGGGAGCCCCAAAACTGGGGCTTAGCCTGGAAGGGTTCTTGACTTTGCCCAGGAAAGAACTCAAGGGGGAGACGGTGGTGCTGGACAGCAACTGTTATGGAAGTGGCTGTGCACAGCGGCAGAGGTGCTGCTCCTCTCAGAGCAGGGCTCCCCACAGGCAGTGTGCCCAGAGCAGCAGCTCAGAGGCAGGGCTGCAGTCGTATTTATGCCCACTTTTAATTACATGAAAATAAAGGGGCAGGTTTTGCAAAAATTTCTAGGAAAAGGGTGGTAACTTCCAGGTTTTGCCATGGCAATGGTAAACTGACATGGCACACTGGTGGGCGTGTCTTATGGAAAGCTGCTTATGCCTTGGCCCTGTTTTAGCTAGTCCTCAATTTGTTCCAGTATCCAAGCCCCACCTATAGAGTCAAGTCCCACGTGCTACCTCAGTAGGCAGGGCAAACAGTGGGTAAAATGTCCGTAAACTTGGGCAATAATTAAGACCCTCGAGGTCAAAATTTCCTCCCCTGTGAAATGGAGCCGACAATGCTTGCTTTGTGTGGATATTAGAAGTGATGATGTGCAAAGCATCCACATCTGTGCCTACGCTGTATTCACACAAATAAATGCTAGTTTGTGTCTCTACCCCCGCGTTGGTCCAGAGGCAAGGACCATGGGTGAGCAGTCATCCCCTACTCTTGGGAATGTGATGCAGGCTCAGAGATCACTGGGCATCGGGAGAATTCAGTGAGGGGACCCCTAACAGACAAATGGGCAGGGTAAGGACACCTTCAAGGGACAACAGGGCACTCCAGGATGGTTCCCCAGTGATGGGGAAGCCCTCACCTCCCACAGACCTGAAGAAGCAATGGCTTCCAAGGCATGCAGGGGATGGAAAGTGCTAAAGGCGCCTGTGGAGAATGGCAAGCGTGCCGGGTTTAATGAGAGATGTGGGGGGGGGGGGCGGGGGGGCTGTGGGGGAGTGAGTATTAAGGGATTGTATTTTAGTTATGCCTTGTGATGAGCAAGTAACACAAAAACTATAACAAAAGGCCAAATGTGTTCATTTCTCTACCAGAGTCAAAAGTAAAAGCTACTCGAGAACAGCAGGAGAGGTTCTGTCTGGCCGGAGCCAGGAGAGATGCTTTCTGAAGGAAGAGACATTCAATATAGTCCTTGAATAACCACAAAACAACAACAGCTGGCACTTCTGAGCACTTACTAGTTGCCAGGCACTATTCTAAGTAATTGGTACATATGAGCTCATTCATCCTCACAGCCCTATTAAGGGGCACTAGGGATTGGATTTGACCTCTCCAAATTTATCTGTGGAAGTCCCAACCCCAGAAACTCCAAATGTGACCTTCTTTGAAAATAGGGTCTGTGCAACTGTAACTGGTTAAGGTGAGGTCATTAGGGCGGGTCCCTCCTCCGTTGTGATGAGGGTCCTTCTAAGAAGGGGGAAACTTGGGCACAGGCTTGCATGCAGGAAGAATGTGAGGATGGAGGCAGAGATCAGGGTGAAGCCTCACACTCTCGGGATTGCCAAAGATGGCCAGCAGCCATGGGAAGCGAGGAGAGAGGCCTGGAGCAGAAGAAACCAACCTAACCCACATCTCAATCTCAGACCTGGCCTCCAGAACTGTGAGACAACACATTCCTGTTGTTTAAGCTGCTCAGTGTGACACTTTGTTACAGCAGCCCCCAGAAACTAATACAAAGGGGTCATTATCATTGTTCTCTTACAGATCAGGAAACAGGCACAGAAAGCTTATATGCCTAGGACAGTGATCCAGGGCATGGGGTCTGGGGCCAGACTGCAGGGGGGAGCCATGAACCTGCCATGTGTTTTCCAGGGGCAGAGACTGCAGGCAGGGATACCAGCTAGGAATCTGCAAGGATGAGGCCAGAAACAAGGGCAGGAGAGGGACTGGGGGGCAGCGTGGATGGGAAAGATTGTAGAGCTCTGATCGCCAAGACTTGAAGACACATTTGCTTATACACAGAAAGATGGAATCCTTCCCAGTGTTTTACAGAGCCAGCCTAATCCTCATTCCAAAACCTAACAATTCAAGAAAGAAAATAGAGATTATTCTCTTTCACAATTAAAGATCTCTAAATCCTAAACAGGCTACTAGGAAATCAAATTCAGTACTATGCTGAAAAGATAACGCACCATAGCAAATGAGCGGTTTTATTTCGGGTGATGCAAGGATAGCTCATTATTTAGAAACTTACTAATACCATTCACATGAATTGGCTAAAGAAGGAAACCAATGATCCTCTTGATACATCTGTGGAGGCATTCGATAAAACACAGAGATAGCTGAGAATAAATAGAAAGACCCTGACTTAATGTGAGGGTGAATATCCACCTTCAGCTAATAGTCAATGCTGTCCTGAAGGTACAGAGGAGAGGCATCCCCATAAGAGTAAGAATCAAGGATTTTAAATATCATTACTCATATTTGATAACCTTCTAGCTAATGCTAGAAGGCAAGGAACAGAAATAAGAGGTGGAAATAACAAAAAGGAAGAGACTAAAATAAATGAGCAGAATGCATAAGAAGAAATCCTAAAACATTGCTATGACAATAAAAATAAATGGAGAGAAATATGTATTCCTGGGCAACAATGTTGAGTATTGCAAAGGCATCATTTTCTCCAAAATCATAAATATACTGAATTCAGTTCCCGTAGTATGAATTTTGGAACTAGATAAAGATGATTCTAACCTGCATATAGAAGAATAAGCATGACAGCCAGTGTGGGTGACCAGGTAGCAGGGGGTGCCTGCCTCAGTCATGCACCCAGAAAACATGGTTCCTCAGCAACCTTCAACCCTGGCCCAACCCTCGACATGAGGCCCCGTGGTCCAGGCTTCTGCATGTCATGTACTGGGACACCAGCTGTGGCTCACTTGTGCCCCAGAGGGGGACTTCCTGTGGCCCAGAAACTAGGACCCTGCTGGCCTGAGCAAACCAGCAGACTTCTCTGCCATTCCAAAAGGGGCAAGGACAGCCTTCTCCAATGAGGTCTGAGCCCAGCCTGGGGAGGGGCCTTCCAGCTTGTCCTTCCTTATTTTTTCTATCCCAGTCCTAGAGTAGCCTATATTTTATAGTTAATCTCTTATCATCATCATCATTTACATTAAACTTTCCTTGTTTAAATCACTGTGCAATTTGTGTCTCCCGATTGTACCCAAACTAGTACAACAGGTAAGTGTGTTTTGAAAACGAACAAGGAATGACTTTACACAACAAAATTTGTGTATAATCTATCTATATGTATAGATTCAAATTATATTTGAATAAAATACTTTCAGAAGTCAAATGTGTGTGTGTGTGTGTGTGGTAATTAAGATAGAGGGGATTCGCAAGGATATGAACAGACAGGTCATTGGAACAAGATATAAAGTCAAGGAGAAGACCAAATAAGAAGAAAGATAACATTTCAAATCAGAGTTGAAGGGTGAATTGTTTATTATAACAATTTGTTTTGAGACAACTAGATAGCCATTTACATAGCCATTTAAAATAAAATTAATTAACTTAAATCCCTAACATATGACTTTCTCTGAATACATTTTAGGCAGTTTAAATATGTAAGTGTAAAAAATGAAACTAAGGAAATGCTAGACCACAATATTACATGGCTACATGTCTGTTTCCATGGTAAAAAATGCCTTTCCAAGGATGAAAATGAAATATCTTCCTTAAAAGAGACTAAGGAAAAGATTGATATTCATGACTACAGAAACATTTAAACTTTTCCATAAAATTAAAAAATTTCAAAAGCTAACTTAAAATGCAAATAACAAACTACAAAAAGTATTGTGGATAAAGTTTTAAAATTTCAAATATCTAAAGAATTCTTATAAATCAATCAAGTATAGCTAATGTACCCAGTGGAAAAATGGGCAAAGAATAGATAGTCACTTCAATAGCTAGTAATTTTTTAAAAAACAAAAACAGCATAATCTCATTATTCATCAAACAAATGCAACAACAAAGGAATTTCATTTTATGCTTATCCCATAAGCAAACCTAGAAAACAATAGCTGGTGTGTTGGCTCATATCTGTAATCCCAGCTCTTTGGGAAGCTGAGGCAGGAGGATTGCTTGAGCCCAGAAGTTCAAGCCCAGCCTGGGCAACAAAGTGAGACTTTGTCTCTACAAAAAATCAAAAATAAATCAGCCAGGTGTGGTGGCTCTCGCCTATGGTCCCAGCGACTTAGGAGGCTGAGCTGGGAGAATCACTTGCGCCCGGGAGGTTGAAGTTGCAGTGAGCTGTGATGGTACCACTGAATTCCAGCTGAGGTGATGGAGTGAGACCCGGTCTCAAAATAATAATAATGATAATAATAATATCCTGTTAGTGAGAACACACACGAGTGCAGCCTTTTTGGGGATATTTCCATAACACATATCAAAGTTCTTCAAAATCTGCAAATCTCTGACGTAGGAATTCTACAGTGAAGAACTTCGCTTTAGGAAATGGTAAAAAATAAGCTCTAAGAAGTATAGACAGAGACATTCTTTACAGCACTACTTATAATATTGAAAAATGGCTAACAAAGTTAATTCCCAATAATAGGCAATTGGCTAAGTAAAGATAAAAGGCATGGAGTGAAAATTTGTGCAGTAATTATCAATAAAGTCACAAAATAATCCTTAATGACACATGAAAATGGTTATGGTATATTTTAAATGGAAAAAAATAGCAGGTAAGAGCAAGCTGCATATGTACAAATTACACGCAATTGTTGGATAAAAATATCCAATTTTTTAAAGGGGACTGCAGAGCCAGTATCAAATTGTCAGCTCAGGAAGCACAGGACTTCTTTCTAGAGGTCCTTGTTTTGGGCTGAGTCTTTCCGCAAAGACTTTTCTGGAAAAGGCAGGCATCCCCCTGCCCGTTGACAGCCCTGAGGTTATCCTCTTGCCTAACTTCCATGGGGGGTTATAAATAGAAGACCCTCTTCCTTCAGAAAGGACAAACTCTCTCACAGATGGGTGTGCTCCTATCTCTGGCAGCCAGACCTCACAACTGGGATCACAGGATTCTTTCTCTTTTGCCATCTCAATGAGCATAGCGGAAAGTGACAGCAAATGGAACCATTGGCAGGATTGGTCTCTCAGAGGAATATTATCAAATGGGACACCAGTGGCGCTTGGTAATCAAACCAAAAGCAGCGGTAGGGAAGAGCATTTATAGGTTAGAGGAGACACTGGAGAATTAAGGTGCCTCGGGAGAAGAGTGCAAATGCCAGCTGACTTCACTAAAACATCTGTCCTTTATGACTCCTAGTTTTTAAAAGCTAATTTTAATTTGGAAGCATCACTGGAGCGCTCGGCTGAGCCCAGTAGATTCCCTTTTTGCTGTTTTGTAGATAAAATGAAAAAGTCACTCATCCCAATGAGGATCATCTTTATCACTTGTACTGAGCCAAATGAATAAATGATAATCTTCGAATCAATCAGGGTCCCAGCAGGGAGAAGAATCTCATTCAGATGGTTCCCTGGAAGACATTTTAATAGAGGGACTCCCTTCAAAGGTGGGCAAAGTTAAGCAAAACACAAGAGAGGCTGAGGCCCCGAGGGAGCAGTGATGGTAAGGAGTAGTACCCTCTCCCCCAGGCCTGGGGGGCAGGAGGAAGGAGTAGCGTTCCCAGAGCTGCAGACGGCCAGGGCCTTGGACATGGGCTTGGTAAGCGGGAGCTGCAGGTGCGCGGGGCACAGCCACACTAAGCCCTGAGTGTGACAGCAGAGGGCGGTGGGAAGAAACGTCCGACCTGTCTCTGCTCCTGCTCTCTGCTTCCTGGCCAGTGCCTCTCACGGGCCGAACCCACCTCGAAATGCAACAGCAAGTGAGTCTGAGGGATGCCATCCAAGGGACGTTGAGGAGTGTCTCCTCAACAGTCACGTCCACACCCAGTCTCAGAATGAGCTTGTTTGAGGATAGAGTCTTTAGAGGTGTAATTGGTTAAGGATCTTGAGCTGAAATCATCCTGAATTCAGGGTAGGCCCTAAATCCAATGACTGGTGTCTCTGTAAGAAGAGGACCCAGACACAGAGGAGAAGGCCATGTGGCTATGGAGACAGAGGCTGGAGAGGTGCCGCCACAAGGCGAGGGACAGAGGACAGCCAGGAGCCACCAGAGCCAAAAGGGATGAGCAAGGATCCTCCCTGGAGCCTTCAGAGGGAGCAGGACCCTGCTGCCTCCTAGATTTCAGACTTCTGACCCTAAGGACTGCGAGAGAATATGTTTCTGTTGTTTTAAGCCACCCAGTTGGGGTGATTTGTCAGAGCAGCCCCAGGAACTAATAGCAGTCATGAGTGTCAGCCTCCCATGGCACAGAGTAGGGCCCTGCAGTGGGGGCTGGAAGGGTCTTAACCAACAGTAACCTTACAGCCCTCTCCCAAGGGAAGGAAGCTACTGGATTGCTTCCATACATTGGTTGCAAGCAACAGAAATGAACTCTGGCCAGTGACAATGAAAGGAACTAAAAGGGAGCTCGCAGAATTGGGGAAAAGGATGGGAAACAAGCACTGGAAATAGGCAGAGACTCGGAAACTCAGGGGCTTGGATGCAGGGGCTATAGGGAGCAGTGCTAGAGCAGGAACTTGTAGGTCAGGACGCAAGGACCCCAGAACAGCCAACATGATCTTGTAAAAGAACAGCCAAGTTGGAGGACTCATAGTTCTCAATTCCAAAGCTTATAAAGCTATAGCAATCAAAACAGTGAGGTGCTAGCATGAATACAGACATATAGCTGCTCACTGGAATGAATGGAGAGCCCAGATTATAGACTCTTATTTATGGTCAGTTAACTTTCCACAAGGAAGCAATGACAAGTCCATGGGGGAAACGATCATCCTTTCAGTAAATGGTGAGAGACAATTAGAATTCCACACGCAAAAGAATGAAGTTGGATGCCCATCTTATACCGTATTATACAAACATTAACACCAAATGGAACACAGCCCCCAAATTAAGAGATAAAACTATAAATCTCATAGAGGAAAACATAGGCATAAATCTTCATGACTTTGGATTAAACAACTTTTTCTTAGCTATGATACCAAAAGCACAAGGGAGAAAGGAAAAAAAATAGATATGAGTTTCATCAAAATTTAAAACAGTTTTGTGCCCCCAAAATATACTGTAAAGAAAGTGGAAAGTCAATCTACAGAAGAATATATTTGTAAATCATACATGTGATAAAGGGCTTGTATCTATAACATATGAAGTACTCTTACAACTCATAAAAAGCATGCCTTTTGAACATGGAAAAAGGATCCAAATAGACATTTATCCATAGAAGACATATAAAAGGCCAATCATCATATAAAAAGATTCTCAATGTGGGCCGGGCGCGGTGGCTCACTCCTGTAATCCCAGCACTTTGGGAGGCCGAGGCAGGTGGATCACAAGGTCAGGAGATCGAGACCATCCTGGCTAACATGGTGAAGCCCCATCTCTACTAAAAATACAAAAAACTAGCTGGGCGTGGTGGCGGGCGCCTGTAGTCCCAGTTACTCGGGAGGCTGAGGCAGGAGAATGGCATGAACCCAGGAGGCAGAGCTTGCAGTGAGCTGAGATCGTGCCACTGCACTCCAGCCTGGGCGACAGAGCGAGACTCCATCTCAAAAAAAAAAAAAAAAAAAAAGACAAAAAAAAATTATCAATGTTATTTGTCATTAAGAAAATGCACATCAAAGCTACAATGAGTATTACTTCACACCCACTAGGATGACTGTAATAAAAAAACAGACAGACAATAACAAGTGTGGTAAGGGTGTGGAAAAATTGGAACCATGATACATTCCTGCTCTGATTGTAAGTGGTGCAGCACTTTGGAAGACAGTTTTGTTTGTTCTGCAAAAACATTAGCATAGAATTACCACATGATTGGCAATTTGACACCTAAGTATATACCCAAGGGAATTGAAAGCATATGTCACGTAAAAACTTGAACCTGTATGTTCAAAATAGCCCAAAGGTGGAAAAACCCCAAATGTTCACCAAGAGACAACCGAATAAACCAAATATGGTATTCTATACAATGGATTATTATTCAGCCATAAAAAGGAATACAATACATCCGCTACAATGTAGATGAACCTTGAAAACACGCTGAATGAAATAAGCCAGCCACAAAAGACCACAAACTGTAGGATTCCATTTACATGAAATGTTTTGAATAGGTAAATCTGTAAAGTCAGGAACAGGTTAATGAGGCTGTGCGTGGTAGTGTATGTAATCCCTGTAATCCCAGCACTTTGGGATGCCTAGGTGGAAGGATTGCTTGAGGTTAGGACTTCAAAACCAGCCTGGGCAACATAGTGAGATCTTGTCTCTACAAAGATTGTTTTAAAAATTAGCCAGGTATAGTGGCACATGCCTGTAGTCCTAGTGACTTGGGAGGCTGAGGTGGGAGGATTGATTGAGCCCAGTAGTTTGAGGCTGCAGTGAGCTGTGATTACACCTCTGCACTCCAGCCTGGGCAACAGAGTGAGGGGAAAAAAAAAAAAAAGAGCAGTGAACGAATGATTCTGAGTCCCAGGGAGAGGTGGAATCAATAACAACTGCTGCTAATGGAGATGCCGTTTCTTTCTGCAATGACGAAAATGTTCTAAAACCAGATAGATTGGTGATGGTTGTACAACGACATGAATCTATTTAAACCTACTGAATTGTAAATTTTAAAGGGATGAATTTTATTGTATGTGAGTTATGGCTCAATAAATTTATTTTAAAACGTCTAGCCCTTTGCGAATAATTTATTTTTCGCAATCTTGCCAAGATCTTTGTACAAAATATGTATTTTAATAAAATCATTTGTAGGTCTTGGAATTTCCCACGAGCTTCAGCTCATATTACGGTCACTTACTACACAATTGATTTTCTTCTAGGTTGGGTCACTTGTGTTTATTTTCCTGTGGGGTGTCCTCAGCAGGAAAAGGAGGCTCTTTTTTTGGCACTGTGGTAAAATTTCTTCATGTTATATTTATAGAAACATAATAAATTCTTTTAAAATAAATGGTAATGTCACACTGGTCTTTGTTTCTTTACCCTTTAAATATATCCTAGTATCCTAGCTTTTTTTTTTTTTTTTTTTACCTCTCAGCAATGACATAAAGTATTTTTTGTTTATAAACATCAAAGACTCTTTTTAAACAGGAGAATTGCTTGAATCTGGGAGGCGGAGGTTGCAGTGAGCTGAGATGGCACCACTGCACTCCATCCAGCCTGGGCAACAGAGTGAGACTCTGTCTCAAAAAAAGAAAAAGGCTCTTTTAAAAAAAATTTTATGCCATTTGCATATTGTAAATCTTTTTTAATACTTCTGTTTTACAATTAGTCAATCAGTATAATATGATCTATAACACCACATCATATAATAACGATCTCTGGGGCTCTGTAGAATATTTGTCACCATAGCTAGCAATTTATCAAAAGAATATAAATTAAAAATAAAAACTCTGCATGCTTTGTAAGTGCATGACTCATTTATGAGTGGAGAGAAATCTCTAGGATAGGATATTTTTTCTTCGAGGCTGGAATATTTAAAGCTGCATTTCACAACGAAGTTTGGTTTACACGGGTATTTACTATTTGAAAATATCTGTGGGTGGTTTTAGGCTAAAATAATCATCTATTTCCAAAACCTTGATATCAGGTTTTATATGGCAGTAGTTTCCTGCTTGCATGAACGGCACGCGTGTCTCCCTTCGGGGAGACCTGACTTTGATACTTTTGAGTCCCTTGTGTCTGAAGCAGGCGCTGATGGGTTCTTCCCATTTGGGTTTATGTCTGTGACCATTTTGCAGTTTATCTTAAAGAGGAGCTTTCAGTGAGAGAACGTGTGCTTTGCACTCCCTTCCCTGAGTCATGCTATCCTAAGTAGTCCCTGTGCTAATCATCACAGAAGGGATGCTCATATCATTTACGGCACAAATTGGGACCTCTTGAGAATGAAAGAGAATTGCTTTTCATAAGTCGCAGGACAGCAGGTGTCAGCCAGGACTGTTTGAGCAAACCAGGATGCATTGTCACACCGGTCCTGGGGGAACCCCCCGGTCCGAGACTCATCTCCACATTGAGGCCACCTGACCTGTGCCGAGCATTAAGCTAACACTTTGTGTGTGGTGCGTTTCCTGACCTCCCAAAACAACTTGATGAAGTGGGTGCCATGACATCTCTACATAGAATGAGGAAGCCATATGTAACATACATGCCTGCAGGATTCCGTCCATTGATCATGTCCTCTTTAGATACTCCACACTGATTCCTCTCCTATTCCCCCCCTCTGTCTCTCTCTGTCTCTCTCTGTCTCTCTCTGTCTCTCTCTCTCTCTCTCTCTCTCTCTCTCCTGTCTCTCTCCTCTGTCTCCTTTGCAAGCTCATCCTTCTCTTCAGGGCCATTCAAAGAGGGTTCTTAAGGAATGGTCCTAGACCACCTCGTTCTCCTCTCTCCCATCTCACTCACCCACATGACTTCACTCAACACCCATATGTGGATAACTTACAAATGTACATCTCTAGTGCAGTTAGTTAATATCTGCTTTGGGATGACTCAAAGGTATCTCCAATCCAGCATGTCACCTTTTCACTCTCATCCCGATAGCCAAGTCTTACCTATGAACCTTCTACATATCTTTCAAATCCTACCACTGTTCTCCATTTCTAACCCCACCCTGGAGCAGGCTCCTTGCATCTTTCACTTGGACTATTGTAATCACAGCCATATTCCTCCAATCTGCCCTCCACGGAACTCCCTCCTGCACAAAGCCCTCCAGTGGCCTCCCAGTACTTTCAGGACAAACACGAAACTCTGTCAACAGTGCCTGTAACACCTTGCATGACGGGGCTCTTCTTTACCTGCCCTGGCTATTGCAGATTAATTCCTTCAATCTTCCTCCGACCCCTGTCTTCTGGTTGTGTAGATCAGAGTGGCCGACAGAGGTACAGCTGATGGCACAGCCAGGACACGCACACCGGGGTTTCCATCCCAGGCGTTAAATAAGGCATTTGCATGGATGGTGTGGCCTTGCGGCTGGCACATGTTGGCATATTAGGCTTTCTCTCCCACCCTTAGCAAGTGTGACTATGAAATCCTGCTGTTTTTGTGTTCTCCAAGGCTGTGGTAATAAGTACCATAGTTGGGTGGCTTAGACCACAGAGGTGCATTCTCTCATTCTTCTGGGTGCCAGACATCTGGAATCAAGGTGCCGCGGGGTTGGTTCCCTCTGAGCATGTGAGGGAGAACTACTCTGGGCCTCTCTTCCCGGTCCTGGTGGCCTCGGGCACCCTCCCTGTGTCTTCACGCTATCTGCTTTCTGTGCATACCTGCCCTGTGTCCAAATTTCCCCTTTTGACAAGGACATCATATTCGATTAGGGCCCATCTTAACGACATCATCTCCACTTGGCCTGCCAAAGACTCTATTTCCAAATAAGGCCAGTTTCACAGGGATTGGAGGTGAGGACCTATGGGGGGTGGGGAGAGGCAATTCCACCCACAACATCTGCCTTATCCTGCAAGCCTGGTTGAGTCCAGCACTCGGGCCCTCATTCAGCAGCTCTTACAGAGTGCCTGGAACCCGTCTAGGTGATGCCACACATCGATGGACACAGCCGACAAATCTCTGCATGCAGTGGAGAAAGAGAAGGATGGAGATCCAGGGAAGGGGTGCTGTGATTTCGGATGGCACCCTCGAGGAGGGCCTCACTGAGGAGGTAACATCTGAGCAGGGGCTGGGGGACTCAGGGCAGCCGCATTTTTCCCAGAGGGAAGAGGGTGAGGTCCAGGCAGGGGAAACAGCAGCGGTAGAGATGTCCAGGCTGGAGCATCTGGCCTGTTCAGAAACTGCGAGGAAGCGTTCAGTCTGGGGCGGAGGGAGCCAGGGCAGAGGGTGCAGCCATCAGAAGGGGAACGGAAACCTGGCAGGCTTTGTGGCCTTGGAGGCGATCGTGGCTCTGACTCTGGAAGAGAGAATTTGGAAGGCTGCAGTGTTGGGGAGAGCAGGGGTGGGGACAAGAACCGTAGTGGGGAGGCCCGTGGGGAGGCGGCTGCCTCATCCAGGCGGGAATCCAGGTGGCTTGGACCCGTGTCCATTGCCTTCATGAGCCCTCTCTTGCCTGACTCCCTCCACAGCTGTCTTCCCAGCCCTGAAGTCTGGTCTCACTGCTCGCCACTTGTTTGTTGCTCCTGGCATGTGTTTAGCACACAGCGGTTATGCGACTCTTGGATGCTGGCATGCTGGTAGACGCTGGGGCTGAATGACAGGTCAGGGTTGGCCTGTGTTGGGCAGGGAGCTCAGGCTCAACTGTGGACTCTTTGGGTAGTCATGACCTGGGAATTGCAGGGCACCAAGGTCTCCAGTTCTTCCTCATGAGCTGCCAAGGAGGCTCTCCCACAGCCCGACATCCTGGACCCCAGGGAGGCAGGACTCGTGGGCGGTGCCGGAGGACGGTGGAGGCGGGTGTGTGCTCAGTGAGGAGCTGGGAGTTCACAGCTGTATGTGCTGTGGGGATGTCACAGCTGCACCGCCCCCCCCCCATCTAGAATGGCAGCTGACATCTGCAAAGGGAGATGCAGAAAGGGTCCAGGGTCCTTCTGAAAAAGAGAGCAAAGGCTCCGTCTGTTGATGCCCCACCTCCTATGATAGGAAAGTCAGCACAAGAAGGGGGCACAGGAGAAAGTCTCCTGGGAGTCTCTCCTGAGGAATCATGGACAAACAGCAGACACTGCTCCTGTCTTGACAGAGCCTACCGTCTAGAGTGCAGCACAGACATCCGGGAAGCAACCACACGCATGTAAGCAGAGCCTGTGACGAGGGACACAAAGGGAACCTCCAGGGAGAGCGAGAATGTCACACGGCAGAAGCCAAACCACGTCTGTGGATGTGGGCAGGCTTCGGGGGAGGCGCTGACTGGGCTGTGGGCTGCAGTGGCTCTGGGCTGCCGCTAGTGACACACAGGGGTCAGGGCATGAATTTCGTGGGTTGCAACCAACACGTTTTATAAAAATGAAGTATTAATAGAACAGAATGGAAAATAAACAGATTGCATGGCGCAGACTACATGCTATTTTGTGAAACTTTTGTTTCAGTTATACATACACACACATACACACACACACACACGCACACACACATAAACACACACAGACACACACATACACATATATACAAATGCACACACATACACACACATACACATATACACACAATACATGCACGCACACATGCACATATATACACACGCACATACGCACATATACACATGCACACACACATACACATAAACACATTAACACATACATACATGCACATGCACACACACATACATACACACCCATACATGCTCATAAACACATACACATATACACATATACACACATATGTACACACATACCCACATAAACTCACACACAGGTACATACACACACACAGAGACACACATACACACGTACAAATACACACATACACATATATACATGCATACATGCACACACATACACATACCCACATATACACACATAATGCGCACACACATACACACATGCATACACACAGACACAGACATGCAAACACACATGCACAAACACAAAACACATACGCACATACATGTACATATACACAAACACACACATACACACATGCACATATACACATACACATACACACACACACACGCACAGTTGTGATAAAAATGCTTTTCTGACCATAAGCTGCACTCCAAAATGTTTGGAAAATGCTGTTTTGAAGGAAGAGTGAGAAGGACAGGAATTGGGATGGGCGCAGGGACAAAAGGCACCGTGTGTAGAGTGGACAGGCCACAGGCTGTGGGGCAGCAGACAGGAGGCTGGCACAGCCAGGGCCACAGAGGAAGGGAAGCCTCTGCCAGGCCAGCACTGCAATCCCAGGTGGCCTGAACTCCTCACAGCAGCAGGGCCGGGTGATGGGAAACAGCAGGAAGAGCCACAAGGAGGGGCCATCCAGGAAGGAGGAAGGGCAGGGCTGTGCAGACATGCAAAGGAGGCCGATCAGAAACAGTGGGGCAAACCCAGGGGGTGAGCAGCCAAGACCTCAGAGCCCTGGCAGCGGAGGAGCTGGTCACTGAGTCGATGGAGCTGCCTGAGAACACAGGAGGTGAAGACAGTGTGTGAGAGATGGTCATGGAGCTCGGGGGCTTGAGATGCCGAGGCCCCTTTCTCTTTGAACAGAGAAACAGGTCCTGAAACCTAAATCTCCACCTCCCCCATCTCCATGGAACTAGCTGAAATGTTGGCTTTACTTACTTGGTAATTTCAGTGAACGCTTTTTGCCACGATGGCATTATTTTACCTAAGTAAGTAACCCCCACCCTGTAGCCAATTTGGGGGGTATACTTCCTAATTAAAAACAAACAGGTCAATGGGTCGATTTTTAAAACTCGGTTCTGGTTTTACCTTTTCAACTACATCTCAAATTCAGCCATGACATTGCCACACAGCTGCCCTTGGTGGAGGTCAAATAACAGCCACCGCCTCGTTTCTTAAGCATTTAGGCTGTATTTCACTGATTCAAAGACTAGCATCTTTCATCTCTGACGTCTACATGGGCTTTGCCCCCAATGGCGTCTTAGAATTGCTGTTGGGCAGGTCACTGTGGTGACATGGTGGTCATCACAGCCTGCCCAGGCTCACGCGTGGTCGTAGCTGTTCATCAGTGACTTATGTATGCTGTCAGCACTACATGTGTTGAGTTTAGTCACTGTTGAAGTGTTATAAAAAAAAAATAACACTTTGGTTTGGTTTTGAAAAGCAGGCCTCAGTAGGCTATCAAAAAGGCAAATAGTTGTCTTAAGAGGAATGACTCCAATTCCACATTTTTTTCTTCCAAAGCAACATCCAAAGGCTTTAGGGAATCCAGGAAGACATCCACAAATAGATGAAGCTGAGATTTGAGCACAAGGATGAGCCCTCACGTGCCAAGCAGTGCCAGGCTTGGCCAAAGGCACTGCCCTGGCACTCAGAAGAGATGAGAGAAACTTCACAGCCAAGAGTGGTGGGGTAGCTGGTTCATGTGCCACAGGAGATTATAATTAAGACATTGTGTCAGACTGTATTTGGCAGGGACTTTTCTTCCTTAGTGTTATTTTGCAGTGTTAAAATAACAATCATTTATCTTGCTCACAAATCTTCAATTTGCGCAGGGCTCAGGGGGACAGCTTGTCTCTGTTCTGTGAGGTGTCACCCAGGGCTGCTTGCCTGGGCGTGAAGGATTTACTTCTAACTTGGTGGGAGTGTGGCCGGTGCTGAGGGCTGGTGGCCTTGGTTGCTTTCCACATGGGTTTCTCCAAAGGCTGCTTTAGCTTCCTTACAACATGGCGGCCAGGGCATGAAAAGAGCAGGCATCCTGAGAGAGGGAGTAGAAAGTGACAGGGGGTCACTCCCACCATAGTCTACTGGTCAAGCCATTATAGAACCCAGTATCAAGACATGGTTCCCCAAGGTCATGTCCTTTGCAGCAACATGGATGGGACTGGAAACCATTATCTTAAGTGAACTAACGCAGGAACAGAAAACCAAATACCACATGTTCTCACTTATAAGCAGGAGCTAAACACTGAGTGCACATGGACACGAAGAAGGAAACAGACACTGGGGCTTACTTGAGGGTAGAGGGTAGGAAGAGGGAGAGGATTGAAAAGGTACCTATTGGGTACTATGCTTATTACCTGGCGACAAAATAATCTGTACACCAAGTCCTTGCAACTCTCAATTTACCTATGTAACAAACCTGCACATGCACCCCCAAACCTAAAATAAAAGTTAAAAAAAGACATGGTTTCCTGTCTGTTTTTAAAACATACTGATCTATGATTCACATGCCATAAAATTCACCCTTTAAGGTGTAAAATTCAGTGGCTTTTATTATATGTACAAGATTGTGCAACCATCACTGCTATCTAATTCTAATATGTTTCTATCACCCCCCCTCAAAGAAACCCCATACCCATTAGGAGTCATTCCTCACCTCTTCCTTTTAGCCCCTAGAAATGACTGATCAGCTTTCTGGGTCTGTGGATCTGCATATTCTCAACATCTTGTATACATGAAATCATATGATCGGTGACGTTTCTTTTGGTGTGGCTTCTTTCACTTGCCGTGATGTTTCCAAGGCTCATCTGTGTTGCAGCCTGTGTCAGCACTCTCCTCTTTTTTATGGCTGAATAACATTCTATTGTAGGGGATATCACATATTGATTATCAGTTTATCAAGATAGACACTTAGATAGTTTCGACATTTTGGCTATTACAGAGACGCTGTGAACATTTATGTACCAGTTTTTGTGTGGCCACAGGCCTCCAATTTTTTGGGGTATGTACCTGGAAGTGAAATTGTGGAGTCATATGATAACTCTATGTTTATTTTAATTTGTTTTAACTTTTAATTTAGGTTCAGGAGTACATGTGCATGTACATGTTTGTTATATAGGTAAACTCACGTCATGGGGTTTGTTTTACAGATTATTTCATCACCCAGGTACTAAGCCTAGTACCCAACGGTTCTTTTTACTGCTCCTCTCCCTCCTCCAAACCCCCACCCTCAAGTAGGCCCCAGCACCTGTTGTGCCCCTCTTTGTGTCCACGTGTTCTCACCATTTAGTTCTCACTTATAAGTGAGAACATATGGCATTTGCTAAGGATAATGACCTCCAGCCCCATCCATGTCCCTGCAAAGGAAATGATCTTATTCTTTTTTCGGATGCATAGTATTTCATGGTGTATATGTACCATATTTTCTTTATTCAGTTTGCCATTGGTGGACATCTAGGTTGATATCATGTCTTTGCTATTGTGAGTAGTGCTGCAATGAGCATTCACGTGCATCTGTCTTTATGGTAGAATGATTTATATTCCTTTGGGTGTATACCTAGTAATGGGATTGCTGGGTGGGATGGTAGTAACTCTATGTTTAAATTTTTGAAGAACTGACAAACTATTTTCCAAAGGACATGTACCATTTTATAATCCTACCAGTAATGTATGAGGATTCCCATTTCCCTACCTGCCTGCCATCACTTATTATCACTCTTTTTGATTGTTGGCATTCTACGGGGTATAAAGTTGTATCTCATTGTGTTATTGATTTGCATTCAAATAGTGATTAATGATGTGGAGCATCTTTTCAGGTGCTTATTGGCCATCTTTCTACCTTCTTTGGAAAGAATAGAAAAATGTCTATTCAGATCTTATGGCTGCTTCTTAACTGGCTTATTTGTCACTTTGTTAATGACTTGCAAGAGTTCTCTATATGTTTGAGATATGAGTCTCTTATCAGAAATGCAATTTACGAAAACTTTTTCCCATTACATGAGTTGTCTTTTCTTGATGGTGTCCTTTGAAGTGCATAAGTTTTTAACTTTGACGTTGTCCAACTTATCTTTTTCTTTTGTTTCATACGCTTTTTGTTGCATATCTAAGAAGGCATTGCCGACTCAAAGTCATGAAGATTTACCCTTCTGTTTTCTACTAAGAGTTGTATTGCTTTAGTTCTTACATTTAGGTCTTTGATCCATCCTGAGTTGATTTTTGTGTCTGGTTTGAGGTAGGAATCTCACTTATTTCTGTGGATATCCAGTTGTCCTAGAAACATTCACTGAAAAGACTATTATTTTCCCCAGTGAGTTTTCTTGGCACCTTTCTTAAAAATCAATAGGCCATAAATATGAGGGTTTATTTCTGGACTCTCAATTCCATCCCATTGATCTCCATGTGTATCCTTGTGCTATTACAATGCTGTGTTGATTACTGTAACAGTGTACCAAGTTTTCAATTCAGAAAGTTTTTTTTTAAAATTTGTTTAGACTATTCTTGGTCTCTTGCATTTCAATGTGAATTTTAGGATCATCTTATTAATTTCTGCAAAGAAGCCAACTGTAACATTGATAGAGATTACCTTGAAGCTGTAGATCAATTTGGGGAGTATTGCCATCTCAACAATATTAAGCCTTCCCAACCATGAACATGAGATATTCTTTCCATTTATCTAGGTCTTTAAATGATATTCTAGACAGTGTACATACCTTGTACTTCTCTTACATTTATTGCTAGGTATTTAATGCCTTTTGATGCTATTGTCAATGTACTTGTTTTCTTAATTCCATTTTTGGATTGTTCATTGCTAGTGTGTAGAGATTTTTTTGAGTTTTACATGTTGATATTTTTGTCCTGCAAACTTGCTGAGCTGATTTGTGGACTCTATTGGTTTTTTTGTGGATACCTTAGGATTTCTTTTTTGTTTGCAAGATCATGTTATCTGTAAGTAGAGATAGTTTTACTTCTTCCTTTCTATCTGGAAGCCTTTCCCCTCCCAACCCCACTTCTTATACAGAAGAATGTCAAAATACTTGGGGTTCTGTTTGAAAACTGTCAACCTAATTAGTAGTGGTATATAATTAATGGTGGGCCTTAAAATGGACGGCATCTAAGATTTGAAGACGTATAGTTGATACAACTGGTTATTTTAAATATAGCTCATTTTACTTTTCATGTTTCCAAGAGATAGATGCTATTATAGTTTCCATTTCACAAATGAGGATCCTGAGGCACAGAAAGGCTACACCGCATACTGGAGGTGATCCTGTTGTGAGATGCTGGGGCTGGGATTTAAACCAGATCATCTGGCTCTAGCTCTTGTCCTCTATTGATCTCTAAGTCATCACACCCAATCCACTGTATTAGATAAGGTACGCTGCCTGTGAAAGCAACCATCATTTCCCCAGCAACTGTGTCTTCCTCCTCAGGAGAATAATAACACTTCTCAAACAGCTTGCGCTCCACTCTTGTAACATACATTTACGTTTTGATGAATAATGGATATCCTGCCTGGTCACTATGAAATTTGACTTTGCCTTTATTGAGGCCATCTCATTCTCAAATTTCCTTGTGAACTCGTAGTGTTTGCCAAGTCATGCTTTTGCCATCTTTGGACTATTTAAGTTGTTGCCTTTAAGATGCACTTGACTTTAGGCCATTTTCAGATGATCCTCTGGCTTGGGTGGAGCTCTCTGTGCTGGGAGAAGAAAAATATCCCGTGCAAGTTGTTGAGGCTTGTAACCTTTTTTTTGTTTTGTTTTGTTTTGTTTTGTTTTGAGATGGAGTCTCTCTCTGTCGGCCAGGCTGGAGTGCAGTGGCACAATCTCGGCTCACTGCCAGCTCTGCCTCCCAGGTTCACGCCATTCTCCTGCCTCAGCCTCCCGAGTAGCTGGGACTACAGGCGCCTGGCACCATGCCCAGCTAATTTTTTTGTATTTTCAGTAGAGATGGGGTTTCACCGTGTTAGCCAGGATGGTCTCGATCTCCTGACCTTATGATGCACCTGCCTTGGCCTCCCAAAATGGTGGGATTACAGGAGTGAGCTACCATGCCCAGCCGAGGCTTGTAACTTTTTACAGTATATCTCCTGCATAAAAAACTTTTGCGGCCAGGTGTGGTGACTCACACCTGCAATCCCACCACTCTGGGAGCTAAGGCAGGAGGATGGCTTGAGCTCAGGAGTTCGAGACCAGCTGGGCAACATAGTGAGACCCCTCGAGACCAGCTGGGCAACATAGTGAGACCCCATCCCTACAAAAAAATTTAAAAAGCTGGGTGTAGTGGTGCACATCTGTGGTCCCAGCTACTCAGGAGGCTGAGGCAGGAGGATCACTTGAGCCCAGAAGTCAGAGGCTGCAGTGAGCCATGTTTGTATCCCTGAACTATAGCCTGGGCAGCAGAATGAGACTTTGTCTCATAAAAGAAAAAAAATCATTTGCAATTAGACTCCTGAGCATGGAGTGTTTGTTTTAATCAGCACCATCTTGGTATCAAGTCTAAGAGACTGCAGATATTTAAATTACTAAATAAAAGAACTGTGGATTCTCTTTAGAAAGAGCACAACTCAATTCTATAATTCCAGGTTTATGTTGACAATGTCTAAAATTTTAATGTTTTTCTAAAAAAATGATTTTTCTATGGTACTGGGGAAACAAACGAATGTCCAAAACTGAGCCCTACCAACAGATATTGCAAGTATCTGTTAGGAATTACACTTGTCTCCACAAAACAAAAACCTGACTCTAGTGGCTTTAGCAAATAGGGGTTTGTTTTGCTCACATAACAAGAAGTCATGAGATGGAAAAGCCTGGCTGATGCAGCAACTCCACTATCTTCCCGCTCCACCCTCCTTAGTGCATGGCTTTCATATATGTGGTGACCTCGTGGCTGCAAGGAGGCTGCCACACCTCCAGACCTGCATCTATTCCAGGCGGGAAAAAGAAGGAAAATCCCAGATGGAGGCTAAAGAAATAAACCAAACCTTTATGGCATTATCAGTCTCTATGACCTTTTGAAAAATTTTAAGGCAATGTTGAGCTTTTAAGGCAACGTTGATTAGCTTCAGAAGGAGTGTAGAAGGTAGGCAATTCATAGAGGCTTAATGCCAGATTGTGAGAAACTCTTTAGAGTACAGACAATGGCAGAACGCAGCTCTATTTATTTACTTGGGGAATATAGAAGGAAATGTCAATATTTATGTCAGGCAAACATGAGCCATCAGGAAGGTAGAGAAATCATTATTACTTCCCCTTGTTCATGGCACATGGGCCATGTCCCATAAATGTACAAGCAGACTCTCACCTCAGGTTCTGCCAGTGCTTTCCCTTTTGTCTGAACTGTTTCTCCCTGGGTGTTAGTGTGGCTCATTCTCTCACTACCTCTGGATCTCAGTGCATGCTGGTTACTGACCTGTCACCTCTCAGCTCCAAACCTACCCTCCAATGCTCTGCTCAGCATTCCTGGGCTGGCCTCTGCAGAGAATGCTTCTCCTCTGCCAACCAGTTATGTTGGGCAGGGGCTCGGTGCTAGAGAGAAAACACGAGGTTCAAGAAGGGCCTCCTTCTACCTCTTTGCTTGCTGTCCCTGTTGCAGCCACCCCAGCAATAGCACTGTCCAGCCAGGGACACTTCACCCCAACATCAGCAGTGAATCCAGCTTCCAGCTTCTTTAGCACTCCCAGAAGCAGCTTCTGATAGAACAGAAGTGGGGCTCCTCCTCAAGCTCGTTAGGTTCCTGCATTCACTGGATAGCACCCCCTCTTCAGGGACCTGAGCCATGGCTCCAAGGGCTCCTCCTCTGAGCTTCTAAGTGCTGATCACCCATCTCTTCCCCTGCTCCCCAGCCTAGGGTGACAGTAGTATCTGCAGTTACCATTGCTGGGTTTCTTTCTGTTTCCTTTTGGCTGTGTCAGTCCTCCAGCACCCATGTTACCCATTTCCTGTATTAGATTCTCTCTGCTGAAATACCTGCTGTGACCTCTGTCATAGGGCCTGAACCTAGACTGATACACTGCTCAAGTGACACCTCTGCAAAGAGGCCTTCCCTCATTACCCAGTCTTAAGTAATACCCAATTTGTCACTTTGTCCCCCTGACTTTTTTTTCATAAAATGTATCTCCACCTCACATACACATACATATAAGCTCCTGTGTACCATAGACTGGGTGGCTTAAAGAATAGCAATTTATTTCTTACAGTTCTGGAGGCTGGGAAGTCCAAGATCAAGGCGTTAGCCTATACATTTCCTGGTGACGGCTCTCTTCCTGGCTTGCAGATGGCTGCCTTCTCACTGTGTCCTCACTTGGTTGACAGCAGAAGAGCTGGTTCTTTGTTATCTCTTATGATTAGGCGCACCAATTCTATTCTGGAGGCCCCACTCTCATGACCTCATCTAAACCTAATTACTTCCCCAAAACCTCATTTCCTGACACCACCACATTGGGGGGCAGGGATCCGACTCAGTCCACAGTAGATTCTCTTTCCCTTTAGTGATTTCTGTTGAATGACACATTCTGTTTTCTTTCCCAGCTTTTTATTATTATTATTTTTTCACTGTTGGATTGATTCTTGCAGATGCTCTAACCTCTCTACAAATGAATGCATCTCAGGGCAAATGACATTTCCCTGCAGATTCAATTAGTTATGAAGGAAAGTGGGATCTGACAGCAAGAGTTGGGATAAGGCAATATGCCAGCTGTTCATACCCACATTCTTGATTATTCTGCAGAATAGATTCATTTTGAAGTCCCTTAAAAGCATTAATACATCACAAGGGCATAAATTCTCTATTTCTCATGTATCATAACCTCAAAAAACTGAATTCTTATTAATTTTTTACTTTGTCTTTCTTGATTAAAAAAAAAGGATGCTTCTTTTTAATCCTATAGGCGGAACGTAAGATATGTGTTCAGTATTGAAGTGGGTTATTCAGTGTCCTATTTGAGCAACCACATTTGAAATGATAGGCTTTTCATCATTTCAGTGCTTCAGATAAACAGTTGTCTATTAGCAGTGAGGATACAAAATAGGGCAGAGATCCAACCCTGCCCTCAAAACACTTACAGTCAATATCAGTCAAGGTTCTTAATGTCAAGCCACAGAAAGCCACTCTGGCTAATTTAAGCAGAAAAAGGATTTACTAATTTAAGCAGAAAATAGTTATTGGTAAATTAATAAAGTTAGAAAGTAGAATGGTGTTTTGCCAAGGGCTAAAGGAAGGGAGAATGGGGTGATTGTTTAATGGGAAAAGAGTTTCAGTTTTGCCAGATGGAAAGGGTCCTGGAGATGGATGGTGGTGATGGTTGCACACTGTGAATGTATTTCATGCCACTGAGTGGCTAAGATGGCAGATTTTGTGCTATGTGTATTTTACCACAATTTAAAATTAAAAGATATTAAACAGCAAATATAATTTCTAGGTTAGCCAGAGAACAAGGCTTTGTGGGTTCACATGCAGGAGCATGATGTGGGCTCCCACAGTAGAAACAGACACTGCCATCTGTCCTGAGGGCTTCCCCACCAGGACGACCTCTGGAGGCCGATCCATTGCTTGATCTCTCAGGGTGGATCCCATGCAATCTCTCCTTTCCTCCACTAGTGACAGGTTTAAAATCTCCAGTGCATATCTCTGATGGTCAGAGCCTGGGTCACCTGCCTGCCAGCAGCTTCAGGAGAGTGTGGCATCTCCATATCTCCAGTGGGAGGTAGGCTTTGCTAGATCAAGTGGGAGACTCCCTGGGACTAAGACAGGGGTCAGAGCAGGTGGATGTAGCAATTATCAGCACTCTTCACCAAATACTTTCACCTCCCCTCTTCTTGCCCCTGGTAGGGTGTACTTTCCACTTCCTTGAGAGCCATAGCAGCCACATGACCTGCTTTGGTCAATGAAGTATAAGTGCAAGTGGCTTGCAAAACATCTGGCAGAAAGCTTCAAAACCAGTGCTTGGTTTTCCCATGTTTTCTCTCTTCCCCTCTGCCTTAGAAACCCCTCCACAATCCAGATGAGTCTTCTCTGCCAGGTCCTAGAATGGCTGCAGACAACTCTCAGTGAATTCGTAACACAAAGTATAAGCATTTGTTCTTTTAAGGCACTGATACTTGGGGCTTATTTGTTACTGCAGCATAACCTAGACCATCCTGACTGATACAAGAGCTCAAAGGAATCACAGTGTTTGCTGAACAAAGAGTAAAAGCTTCAAGCTGGCTGAAAGACTGTTAGAAACAAGCTTTTCCTGGCAAAGAAATGTTAGCTGAGCAATGTGTCATTTTTAGTTATTCCACATGATTAATTTGGTGATCAGTGTGAGTGTTAGTTGTAACAGTAATATTAGTAGCCTGTCAATGACTCTTCTTTCTCAATTTAGAATGCAGAGGACTTTGAAACTGTCAAATTGTGTTCAGTGAGGACATGCTCACGGTTCCTATGATACAATCCATTTTACTTGGGACATAGTGTTTTCAGCCACCTGGTGGGAATGACCTCACTTTTACAGGTCAGGCCTTACTTGCTTTTAGGTGAGCATCCTTCAAATTAAATTAGTGGTTTAGGATTCATCGGGAGGGTCCTGGGAACGTCAGCAGCATTTCCTCATTTACCCTTTGATGTGGGAATTTCCTGTGCCCCTGAAGTCCTTCCCTTAAGACAGAGTTGCAGAAAGAAACACAGACACGCCCGCAGAGGGGGCATCTGAATGCCTGGCTGGCTGTGGGTGTAGTGAGGGGCAGCCCACATGGGCACAGGCCATCTCCCTCTCATTTCCCACCGTTCCTGCTTTGAACGCTGAAACTGGATGAAGGCCAATTTAAGCAAAGCCCGGCACATCTCTGCAATTGATCCTCTCAAAGTGGCTGGCGTGCAGACCTAAAGGCCGTGGAGAGACAGCGGGTAAATTTTTTAATAACTCCCTGGGTTTTATGTCCGTCTCCCATCCTACAGATGAGAAGACTGAGACAAAGATAGGTCAGGAACCTTTGGCCTCATATTAGAGCAGAATTTTTGACCCAGGCAGTCTCTTTCAGGAATCTGCAAAATACAGTGCATGTGTGTATTGCAAAAATACTTTTGGTTACACAGATACGGTGGTCTCTCCAGGTGTACCTGTATTCACACACAGCACCGCTGTCATGGGGGTAATTTTGAATTCAAAGGACAAACTGAATGATGTCTGTATAAGTTTGAGTGAGAGATCCCGAATCTCTAATATGTCATATCATCATCAAATTTTTCTTTACACTATTTTCACACTAAGTTTGTCTTTCTGTTTTTCTGTGCCTGAGTGAATGTAATGGGTTGACAAAACCAACACAGGACAGTGTCACATGTTGTTTCTATAAACCATCATCTACAGAGGCAGCGCAGTGTGGGGTGAAGTCACGTGCCCTGGTTCGAATCCCGGCTCTGCCACACGGTCCTCAGCTCTCTCAGTGCTTCAGCTTCCTCATCCATAAAATAGAAATAATATTATCAATCTCTTCAGGTTGTTCCAAGAGTTAAATGAGTTAATCCAAGTCTATGGTTCTTTCTTGGCCTACATCCAACAGCTCTGGAAACCTTACACTTTGCAATAAGAAATGAGGCTATTTATAGCCTTATTACGATGACACAGTGTGAACATACATAATTTCACTACAGAAATCTGACTGTTATTATAAGACACTGCCCAAATTTCAAAACACATCTGGACCTAGGGAGTTTGGATAAGAGGTTGAGGAACTATCTATGTGAAGATACATATAGAAATAGATTTTTAAAAAGTACACACACACACACACACACACATAAACACAGATCCATGGCAGCCCATTCCAGTTTGTCCTCCGTAGCCTTGCCTACAATCTAATCCAAACACTCTCTAAGAGTCAAAACTATAATTTTTATTTTGTTCTGGACAGCAGGAGGGAGAATGGGTGATAATGGCTTTATATGTTACTGTGGCTTACGTGAACATCTGTGTTCTCTAATAGGGATCTTCCAGAAATAACATCTCAGCACATATGAGTAACATTCTGGGGTGGATACCTCCGGTACTTGGTGGAAAGTTCAGGTGATGAGTCAGTCTGGCCCCAGTCTCTACTCTAATTATTCTGGGGAGACAGGCAGGCGTGTGGGGCCAGAGTGCTCTGGCAAATTCTAATCACCAACCAGTTATACCAGTCCTACAAATTTATATCTTGCTTATGCAAAAAGTTTATCACTGGGGGAATATTCTTTCAGCTTTTTCAAAATACGAATTTTAGACTGTCTTGTTGCAAAAAATTGCCACACCTTAGCAGCACTGATAATCAGAAATTCTTAAATCTGAATATTTTAGGTTATAGTTTTCTCGATAATACCAGTAATTAATAGAGAATATTGTAATACTTGATAATACTAGTAATCACAAATAATCTTTAATGTTACCATGAAATTCTTAAAGCACATAGTCAGATTTTAGCCAGAACATTATATATATTCATATATGTGTGTGCATATATAAACATATACTATAGGTAATCTATATTATATAGACCATGTAAATTGTGTCTATAATTAACAAATGTTTAAAATGAAAACGAAATGTTAACTATATTTCACTTGTATAAAAAATTAACTGATCCACAAAAGTACAAGCAAGCAAAGGCCACGCAGACTGAAATACGCTAGCTCTCCTCTGTGCCTTCCTTGAGGGCTCAAGACTCCTGTGACCGATCATAAACAAGAGGTATTTTCATACAAAAACTTAATTTGAATGCTATTCAATACACTAGCCTCGCGAACGTTTAAAAGAATGGTCGTATTTATGGGCACAAAATCCAATTTCACTAATTTCTCTTAATATCCACCCTAGAGGATTCATACCCAACTGTTATTTCCAGGGAGAGAGACAAAGGCGAGAAAAGGTCGGGGGAAATTGCACTTAATGTTTGATTTGATTTCTTTGGATAGAGATGCAGGTACTGCTGTACAAATTTCGCACACACACACACACACACACACACACACACACACACACGACACACGAATCAACATCCGTGCCTTACGTTGCTTTCTGTTTACCTTCACAGCAACCTTCGAGATGTGTGAGTTTAAGCAGATGCAACACCCTTTGACAACAAAGACGCAGCACACTGGGTTAAAGTGGATTGAAATCAGACATGTCACATTTTAGGAGAGAATGCATGCAAGTAGGGCATTAGTCCAATTCTTTTGTACTGAGCATTTCAAAGTTGAGACCCAGTGGGTGGGGCAAAAATAAATCAAGCCCTCCTATGGCGAGAATGTACACGGACTCCAGCATCTCCAATCTGACCCTATCTTTTGCTCTCCGGATTGTCAGCTGCTTTGGGGGTTGTCTGATATATGCCTCCTTTTCTCACTTCTAAGACTTTTTAGCTGGGAGTGTGTTTGAAAACACTTCAGAAAAAGGATGGAAAACACAGTGTCTACTTTGAAATGCGTTCCTTTGTTAAATCCCTCTCCCAGGAGGACCAGGCTCCCAACACCTGAGGGCAGCCGATGACTGGCTCTGCTCTCCCCGGTGACCTCACATGCTCCCAGCAGCTCCAGCACAGAGCTCTCGTTCTCACTCAGCTATTATAACAAAGTTGTACAAGAAAAGAAAAAAGTCCTTCGTCCCATCCTTAATTGGGCACTCTTTAGAAAGGAGATGCTGGGGAATGTTTCTAGACATCTGACGCTTATAAGGAATTCTACATATTATCCGAGGGTAGATACGAAAAGTCTTTTCTTGACAAATCATCCCAACATTTAAAAACATTTACCTCCAGAAAAGCATCTGAGTATTTTCTCTTAGACGACATTCCTCAACGATAACCTCATTGTGAACAAGGATGTAACGCGTGGTGATGGTTACAAATGGTAACAGAGCTTCCAGTAAAATGTGCTCTATTAGTAAGCCCTCATGGTGTTTTAGCTCAGCAGAAACAGAAAAGAAGGCTGATTTCCCTCCCTACATTATATTATAAAAACTTTCAACCATACAGAAAAATGGAAAGAACTGTAGAGAGAACTCGTAATGCCCACACTGAGACTGTGCACCTGGCATTCCGCTTGGCCTGCTTCCTCCCAGCCTCTCATCTCCCCATCCGTCCAGTCATCCATCAATCCTTCTTGGTCTTTTGCTGCCAGGAGCCTAATTGGAGCTGTCGGCGGCTCTGTCTCTGGGAGGGGACACGATGATACATCTCCATTGGGCCTGTCTGAAGAGCATATGGAGGACACACACCCTGGCTGCCGGAAGAGGGCACTGTACTCTCCCAGCAGCAGAAGAGCAGACCCTTCAAGGATTGGATGCTCCTCCCTGTCTTGACAGTGGCCTTTTCCTCATTAGGCTCCTCCACCAAGATTCGTACCCAGCTTACAATACTGCAATATAGATCTTATCATCCAGCCAGAAAGAAACCAGGTATGCCCTGGGTCCTAGGCAGACATCGCTTTAGAACCTCTATGCTCTGTAAAAAGGGGCCTCTTTTATATACATGGAACATACATCAAGTGTACAAATCTTTTTTTTTTTTTAGATGTAAAAAAATAAAGAGGCTGGAGTGCAGTGGTGCGATCTTGGCTCACTGCAACCTCCTCCTCCCGGGTTCAAGCAATTCTCCTGCCTCAGCCTCCTGAGTAGCTGGGATTACAGGTGCCCACCACCACACCTGGCTAATTTTTTTTGGTATTTTTAGTAGAGACGGGGTTTCACCATGCTGGCCAGGCTGGTCTCGAACTCCTGACCTCAAGTGATCCACCTGCCTTGGCCTCCCAAAGTGCCGGGATTACAGGCATGAGCCACTGCACCTGGCCAACTGTACAAATCGTAAGCGTTCAGCTGAACGAATCCCTGCGTCTGTATGCATTCACAGAAGTACCACCCAGTTCCAGAGAGAGCAGGGGTTTCCAACCCCTGGGCATGGACTGGTACTGGTCCGTGGCCTGTTAGGAACCAGGCTGCACAGCAGGAGGTGAGTGGTGGGCAAACAAGCATTACTGCCTGAGCTCCACCTGCTGTCAGATCGGCAGTGGCACTAGATTCTCACAGGAGTGCGAACCCTATTGTGAACTGCACGCTCCATAATTCTTTGCTGTGGGGCAGTCCTGTGTACTGTGGCATGCTATCAGCAACCCTGGTCTCTACCTACTAGATGCCAGTGGAACCCTCCCAAGTTGTAACAACCAGTAATATCTCCAGGCATTGCCAATTGTCCCCAAGAGAAATTGTCCCCAAGATAAATGGACCCCAGTTGAGAACCACTGACATCAGCAATATGAAAAACCAGAAAAGTCAAAGATCCATGCATTATCTGCCTGACATTCACTCCATGTTTATGGTTTACCATCCTGGACTCCAGTGGGTCCTTGTGAGAATCTAATGCCTGATGATCTGAGGTGCAATTTTCATCCCAAAGCCATCCCCCCACCTCCACCTCAGCCTGTAAAAAAAGTTTCTTCCACAAAACCAGTCCCTGGTACCAGAAAGGAACACTGAGATATAGGACATTTCCAGCATCCAGAAGTCTCCCCTGAGCCCACCCCGCAGGGGAATCACAAATCCGACCCCGAGACCCTGAGTTCGTTTTGCCTGTTCTCCAATGTCACATAGGTGGAATCGAATACTCTGTGCTCCTTTGAGTCTTCTCCAGGACTGCCTGCTAGGTTCATACACATTGTTGCTTGTATTAGCAGCCCAGTCTTTTAAATAAAGGAAATATTAAAACTTAAAATGAGGAAGACTAACAGAATTCTGATTCTCCCAGTGGTGTCTACTTGGGTGCTGTACTCATCTGTTTTCATGCTGCTGATAAGGACATACTTGAGACTGGGCAATTTACCAAAGAAAAATATTTAATGGACTTATAGTTCCACGTGGCTGGGGAGGCCTCACAATCATGGCGGAAGGCAAGGAGGGGCAAGTCATGTCTTACGTGGACGGTGGCAGGCAAAGAGAGAGCTTGTGCGGGGAAACTCCAGTGTTCAAAACCAAAAGAGAGAGCTTGTGCGGGGAAACTCCAGTTTTCAAAACCATCAGATCTCGTGAGACTTGTTCACTGTCACAAGAACAGCATGGGAAAGACCCGCCCCCATGACTCAATTACCTCCTGCTGGGTTCCTCCCATGATATGTGGGAATTGTGGGAGCTACAATTCAGAATGAGATTTGGGTGGGGACACAGCCAAACTATATCAGGTGCCTTTTTTCAATGTCAAATTTTTTCTTTTCAAATAAATGTATGCATTTGTTGGCACCCCAAGCCTGTGTTTTCTCTGCCTTCAGAGAGGGAGACCTGTCTCCAAAGCCCGCCGGAGTCCAGGATGGTAAACCACAGATGTGGAGTGAATGTCATTCAGATAATGCATGGATCTTTGACTTTTCTGGTTTTTCATCTTTGTTTATGTCAGTGGTTCTCCACTGGGGTCCATTTCTTTTCCCAGGGACAACTGGCAATATCCGGAGATATTACTGGCTGTTACATCTTGGGAGGGTTCCACGGGCATCTCATGGGTAGAGACCAGGTTTGCTCATAGCATGCCACAGAATACAGGAGTGCCCCCACAGCACACAGGAGCCCCCCCACAGCAAAGAATTATGATGCAAAATGTTAGAATGGTGCAAAATGTTGAGAAACCTGGCTTATGCCTTTTATCCATCTCTAATGGATCTCTTTGAACCTCTATCTCTTTGAGCTTGATGTGCACCGAAGTCTGGCTCAAGCCCTGGTCTACCCTGGAAAGCCTCCTCTGAAGGCCGATTGGTGGCTCTTAGCCCCTCCCAATGGGTGAGACAATAAGACCCTTATCATTTACCATGGCCAAGATGCTAAATCAGTAGTTCTCAACCTTTGATGTTCATTAGAACCACCAGGAAGGGGCCCCAGCATCTGAGATTGGTAAAAGTTCTCTAGGTGACTCTAGCGAGGCTGAGGTCAAAAACCAAATCTCTGGCCCTTGCTACTCTAGGCATGGTTGAAAGTGTGGCAGCCCCGTCACCTTGTTCCAAATGCAGAATCTCATCCCCCAACCCGTGCACGCACTTTTGGAACCAGAATCTGCATTTTGACTCCCATGCCCGTCAGACATGGGAAACTCCACGCTGGATGATGTAGCCCTGCCTCTCTCCAGCCTCACCCTCAGCCCTCTTCCAGCCTATTCCCAGCCTCAGCCATCCTCCCTGGGGCTTCAGTGCCATCTTCCCAGAGGTGCTGCCATATCACCCCCACCCGCCCCTCCCACCTCATTGCTCTGTTTGCTCCATAGCTCATGTCACTGTCTGAAATTACACTTTTTTTCTGGGTTTTTTTTTTTTTTTTGAGATGGTGTCTCCCTCTGTCACCCAGGCTGAAGTGCAGTGGTGTGATCTCGGCTCACTGCAACCTCCGCCTCCCAGGTTCAAGTCATTCTTCTGCCTCAGCCTCCTGAGTAGCTGGGACCACAGGCACCTGCCACCGCACTCAGCTAATTTTTGTATCTTTAAGTAGAGACAGGGTTTCACCATGTTGGCCAGGCTGGTCTCAAACTCCTGACCTCAAGTGATCTGCCCGCCTCGGCCTCCCAGAGTGCTGCGATTACAGATGAGAGCCCCCGCGCCCGGCCTGAAATTACATTTTTATTTGTTTGCGTGTTTGCTTTCTGTCCTCCATCTCCTCCCAGGTAGCCTTCACTATGGCAGAGACTTTGCTTGTCTTAGGAATTATATTCCTAGCATGAAGAATAATTTTGCTGTTTAATTTCTGAATAAATGCTGCTGCAACTCTTTGACATTTAACGATTAATATTCTTTTCTTCTTATAGACCTCGTCTCCCCAACTTGATTAGGATCTTAACTCCAGGAAACATCTTTCTATTGATGGGCGTTGCTCTTGAGTGCCTGGCCTGGAGGCTTCCTGTAGGCAGTAGATACACAATAAGTACGTATGGATGGTGAGCAAGATTTTGTTGATTCAGGTCATTTTTTAAATAGTAAATACATTCAACGACCAATCTTCCACGGTGAGGGAGAGCGTGTGCTGTGACTGAAAGCCACATGTCACCACCAGTCCCATTTGAATACTGATCGTCAGCGCTGTGAACTAAAGCAGAACTAATACTTTTACCTTTCACTCTTCTCCTGACCCCATTTGCCAAGATAAAGATGGAAAGACCCCGGCATTGTCCAGTGGGAGGGAAAAATCAAGCTCCGCAGAACTTTTCTAAATTGGATTAGCATCTCCTGCCGTATGCGCTTATTTATTCAGGGAATTTCCAAGTCAGTGTTGCAGACATGAATGTGGCAGGGGATTGCACGCTTTCAGGATGAAAGTATTTGGGCTTCCTAAGTGCGTCGACGAGAAGAGACCAGTTACCTCACGTTTCTTCTTATTTTATCTTTAGCCTCTAAACATAGCACACAGTAAATCGTCTTGGACATCTAGGGATCCCTTTCTTCAGATGATTATAAAGACTCAGCTGAAATTGTCGTTATCCTTATTTCACGGGGAGGAAAACAGAACTGTTAAGCTCTGCCTCTTGCTGCTGATCAGCCAACTGAAGCCAGGTGGCGGGTGTGGCCCAGGAGGCACGACGACTCCACGGTTCTCCAGCTATGTGGCCATCCCCAAGAATCACACGGTTTCCAGACACTTAAGCGTGTGTTCCATTCCCCACCTTACAGCCCATCTCTCATCTCATCAACGCTTGGAGGAAACAAGGAAAAAATCGGTGCAGGAAGTCCAGAGAAGGAATCTCAACTTTTCACTCTTTGCTCAAGCCCCGGATTACGTCTCTGAACAGCCTGAGCCTTAAACAAGGGTTTAAAACAGCAGAAAGACAGATGGTAAATGCAACCCCGCCCGTTAGGTGCTATTCGAAACACAGATGGTAAATGCAACCCCGCCCGTTAGGTGCTATTCGAAACAAAAACGCCGGGGGTGGGAGGTCTGCCTAGGAAAAAGCCATCCAGGGTGGTGTCCGTTCAAGGAGCCCCTCCAGAGGGAAGAAAGGGGTGAGAAACTCTGTGAAAAGTGTTTGGGGGTGGGGGGATGAAGAGGCCTTAAAAGGAAGCTGAGCGCTTTGCTGCCTGGCGGTGGCGGTGCGCAGCGGCTCCCCCTGCCGGGGAGTCGATGAATAGCGCTGCAGCGTCAAGCTGGGCCCAGGCTCGGGGGCTGGCAGGCCAGGCTGAGGCAGTGCGCGCGGGGCTCAGCCATTCTAAACGCAAACGAAGGGGGACCCTTTCCACCCAGGCCCAAAGCGGGAGGATTAGAACAGGGAGTTCAAAGCTCTAAAATGGCTTGTTCGTTCTTTCTTTTTTCCTCCCCACCCTCCCCTTTATTTTTTAAAGGGGCCAGAAATATGGCTGGTTATTATCCCAAGTGATTGCTACAAAGAATTTCGAAATTAAAAGATAAGCACGCCGAGGAAGCTCAGTAATTTTCATAAAAGGGGACTTAAAACAGATGTGCCCTCTTTAATCGAAGCATGCTTGAAAAAATAGGAATGCATTTTTAACATAGCAGGGGGAAAATCACATGGCTTCGCATTTGTCCCCTGAGAGTTGCTGTGTGTGGATATCTGTGGGCACGGGGAGATGGTACTAACGCGCTAGGGCAGCCGCAAATGGCGGGTGAACGTGCTTTCATCTTCCTGGCCCTGGGGTAAATGACCAGCCTCTGTGCTCCAGACCTTTTGCTAACTAGATAATTTATTTATTTATTTTTTTAATTTCTTAAACAATCTGCCATCCAAAATGTGACGATGGCATACAAGCAACAGACCATTATTTGCAAGGAAACCCAGATTTTGTCAACAACGTAACCCTTTTCTTCCTCTTTGCAGGAGACGGTTTTTCCGTGTTTTCTTTTTGACAATTTGCACAAAGCAAATTCACTCTTAAACAAGGCTGGTTTGTTTTTATTTCAGGTTGTTGACATGTCAGCCATTCAGCTTTAGCCCCAATTCGTCCGTTCACCAGATGAGGGTAGCTGTGTGTCAATTCTTACCAAAACAGGAGTGTCACGTCTACTCATTTCCTGCATGGTGAGAAGGAAATGAAAGTGCTCGGTCTGAGATTCCCTGAGAAGAGAAACCAAAGACCGTCAGACCAACAACAGTGCTTTTAACCAGTGAAAGAGGCAAACATTGAAGCATATTTAGGAGTAGCAGGGCACTAAAGCCAGCAGTTGCTTGATTCTCTGTTGCCGTTTAGCTGAGCGTGTGTCCCACACTCCCTAGCGGCTTCCCAAGTGATGCAGAGACTATTGGTGGATACTTTTGGTTGTTGTTACTTTAAATGTTTCCTTTTTATTTTCCATAAAAACGATTTAGCTCATCTTTCTCACTGAAAGTAGGCAAATAAAACCCCAACTCCATGCCTTGGCTATAGTAGATAATAAATATCAGCTGACTTTTATTGCTTGAATACTTTTAGAATTATTTCTTTTCTTTTTTTTTTTTTTTTTTTTTGAGATGGAGTGTTGCTCTGTCGCCCAGGCTGGAGCTGGAGTGCAGTGGCACAATCTCTGCTCACTGCAACCTCCACCTTCCAGGTTCAAGCAATTCTGTCTCAGACTCCCAGGAGGCTAGGACGACAGGTGCGTGCCACCATGCCCACCTAATTTCTGTGTTTTTAGTAGAGACCGGGTTTCACCATGTTGGCCAGGCTGGCCTGGAACTCCTGACCTCAGGTGATCCACCTGCCTCAGCCTCCCAAAGTGCTGGGATTACAGGCATGAGCCACCCCGCCCAGCCTCTTTTCCTCTTTTAACTTGGAAATTAGGCTTTTCAAATCCATTTCCACCAGACCTCATAATGAGACATTTTACAATCTCGGGTTTGTGGAGACTTTCTTTGAATCACCTCCTTTCTTCACCTCTTCATCCACACTTCACCTAAAACTGAGCTAAAGAAACAGCAATGGTCAAAGGGAACATAACCTTACCTGGGATGCTTCAGGTCTGTGTTTATTTTGGTTTTACAAGCATTAATTTATTCTCTGGGCATCTAAATTTTTCTATTTTTTATTTTAACATGTAAGTAATTATCCTTAAATAGATACTACATTGACAAGATAGCAAATTTAAAACGTAACAATTTCACCCCAGAACAGTAACAGCTTATGGACTGCCATTCTCATCAGTGGCTAGGCCTACTTCTGGAGATTATTTTCGTCCATATAAGAAGATATGTCTGGGCTGGGCATGGTGGCTCACGCCTGTAATCCCACCACTTTGGGAGGCTGAGGCAGGCGGATCATTTGAGGTCAGGAGTTTGAGACCAGCCTGGCCAACATGGTGAAACCGTGTCTCTCCTAAAAATACAAAAATTAGCCAGGTATGGTGGCACATGCCTGTAATCCCAGCTACCTGAGAGGCTGAGGCAGGAGAATCGCTTGAACCCGGGAGGTGGAGGTTGCAGCGAGCCGAGATCATACCACTGCACTCCAGCCTGGGTGACAGAGTAAGACTCTGTCTTAAAAAAAATAAAAAAGAAGAAGAAGATATGTCTGTCTGTCTGTATATACCATTTAAAAAATTCCTCCAATAGTGGCACACTCTACCACATAAACCTTCACCCTAATTTTGCTCTGCATTAAAAAACTTTTATTTCTATAGGTTATTGGGGAACAGGTGGTATTTGGTTATACAAGTAAGTTCTTTAGTGATTTGTGAGATCTTGGTGTACCCATCACCCAAGCAATATACACTGAATCTGATTTGTAGTGTTTTATCCCTCACTACATTTTTTATCATGCCACACTCTGAAATTATAATTTTTAGGAATTGTTTTGAACATGTAAAAAATATTGCATAGGTGACAGAGGAATTAATGCTCATTGTAAAAAACGTGAACAATATACAGGGTATAAACCCTGGAGGCCTCCCTGCTCTCTCCCTTCCATCCCCACAGCAGGTCTTCTTCCCAAGCGGCTGGTGGTCAACACCCTGCTGTTTATCCATATCCCCCCCTGCGCCTTTTCCTCTCCATTTACTTGGATTTGTGTAAATGTGTCCATAGAGAGCAATCGTCTGTGATTTTTATTTTCTTATGTAATGATTTGTTCTATGGATCATTTCTTGGTGGCGCAGGTGGATCTCACTCCATCTTTTTGCTTAACTTTTATTTTAGGTTCAGGTTGCTAGGCCTCTTTCTGGAGATTAGTGTACGGGTTTGTTATAGAGGTAAACTGATGTCACAGGGTATTGTACGGATTATTTCATCACCCAGAGACTAAGCATAGTACCCTACCCAGTAGTTATTTTTTCTGTTCCTCTCCCTACTCCTACCCTTCACCCTCAGGTAGGCCCTGGTGTCTATTGTTCCCCTCTTTGTGTCCATGAGTTTTCATCATTTAGCTCCCACTTATAAATGAGAACATGTGGTATTTGGTTTTCTGTTCCTGCATGAGTTTGCTTAGGTTAATGGCCTCCAGCTCCATTAATGTTCCTGCAAAGGACATGACCTCATTCTTTTTTATGGCAGCATAGTATTCCATGGTGTATATGCACTGCGTTTTCTCTATCCAGTCTACTGTTGATGGGCATTTAGGTTGATTCCATGTCTTTGCCATTGTGAATCTCACTCCATCTTCCTAATGCCCCAGTGTATTTAGCTATGGGAGATTGTTCTGTTTGGGGACTTGCAAACCAGCATCTAACATTCCCAAGGCAATTACCAAGAGTCACCTGAGTCCAGCTCCTTCCTAATCATGGTTTGTATGTGTATATGTTTGATCATTCCTGTTTAATTCATAGTTAACCAAAATGGTTATTCAGTTCATCTACAATGAAGTAGCAAAAGAGAGCTAGGCATTTCTCTTGGTATTAAGAGTGAATCATTATAGTTGCCATTTATTAAGCAATTATGATGTTCTGGGATTTTTAGCTACATTCTCTTGGTTCCTCACCATAAACCTTCATGATAATATTAATGTCCACATTTTATAGAGGTGGGGGCTGATATGAGGAGTGATTAAGTAGCTATCCTGTGTTGACCCAGCTGGTGACCGGACTTGAGTTCAGGCACCTCTGACATTCCAGTCCAGGCTTTCTTCACCATTATCCAGTGACTCTTAAAATTTTCAGGAAAGAATGTTACTCAATGTCCTTGGGTCGAGTCTTTAGTATTTTAACTCTCACAGTTGAAACACATCTCTTTTTTTGAAAGTTTTTCCTGATATGTAACGTAAGGCTCCCTGCATCCAGCTGAACTCTTCTCAGCAGGGAGAAGGATCAGCTGAGCGTACGACATCATCACAGCCATCACTGTCCATCACGACACCGAGTGTCTTGTACATTCCCTTATCTGCTATGTGGCATACTTGGACTTAACTGCAATTTGACGAACTTCCAGACAGAAGCTGGTCCCGACGGCTAACACTTGCAGTCTACCGAAAATGAGAAGAGGCCCCTCCAGTGTTTTGGGTGGGAGAGGTGCTCACGGAACCCAGGCCACAGCGTTATCCTGGGATGCCTGGCGAGCGGCTAGGAGGAAGTTAAAGTGGCAAACCACGTGCAAGGCAGCACCAGAGAGTGGATGACCAAGAGGCTGGATTTGGGGGCTGGATTCCTGGGCTGTATTTGGGCAAAGGACTTCCAGTCTCTAAGCTGTTTCTCTTACTGCCTTGGAGGTAGTAGAAGGAATTTATGAAGCAGCCAGGTATAGTGAGCTTTTACATATTAAGAAGTTCATCAATATATTCAATTTTGTAGCTTACATTTCATGAAAATTGATAAATTTTAATAGTTTTAAACTGATGGGGTCATGGTTTAGAGATGGTTTCATGCACGAGCCCCACGTTACAGCCTCCTCCCCTCTGGGGAGGTGTGAAAAGTGTCATGGAGAGGGTGATTCAGTGTCCTCAGGGCCAGTCAGGGTGGAAACAGACGGTCGAAGAAATAAAAACATCAATCAAGGACTGGATTCTATCCTATGCTTCAAATTCAGCAAGTTCAGAAACATGGACCTACATTTACTCCTGTCCAAAGCAAGCCCTGTGTGGGTAAAATGCACGAAAGGGCAGAAGGGACCGGTCATCGGACTCAGCATGAACTGTGTATGATGTCATCCTTCATCCAAATCTATGTATGTGAGGCACACTTTGATTGTGTTTTAGGCAGTGTGTGTGCTCAAGATCTCCAATTCTCAGAGAAAAAGCAGGTGTATTTGCAATTCCTTACCTGAATGCAAGCTCAAAAAACATGTGTTTTTGACCTCTGGAACCCAGTGGCTAGGGCTGAGCTGGACCCACAGTGGGGGCTCAGGAGAACTTGGTAAGACACGTGCAGGTCAGCTTCCTCCATGGGAAGGGTTTCATCTCTTTCTTGCTTTCTGATGTTGTGGGTTGACTTTGGTAATTGCCAACTTCTTAGAAGAAATGGGATGCTTAGAAATGATGGTTTTTATCTAGAGGGGGTGAGGATGCTCCTTTCTGTTGAAATGGCCATAAAGTAAACGCTATAAAGGATGTGTCTTCTCTCAGATTTCCAAGGACCAATGGCTAGTTGGCTTTGGTGCTTTGACTATGTCACCAAAGTGACTCATGATCTATTCATGAAGTTCAGCAAGTTGAATAATGATAAAGCACAGTTGCTATGCACCTGCTGTGTGCATATCCCCTATTTAATCCACACCATGAGCAAGGTACCATTATCACCCCATTTTATAGAAAGGCATAACCTGCCCAAGAAGGATGGGGAGAACTTGACCCCAGCGGTCTGGCACCACTGTACACATCTAACCACAGAACCCTACAGCCATTCTGTAGCAGAGATACAGAACGATTTGTCTCCACTGTTGGAAATTGTATCATAAAATATCAAATAAGAAATAAATAAATGGATGTTCATGGACAGGAGGGCTCAATGTTGTAAAGATGTCAGTTATTCTAGACTTGATCTATATATTTAATGCAATACCAGTCAAAATCCCAGCAAGTTATCTTGTGGCTATCAACAGACTGATTCTAAATTTTATATGGAGTTGCCAAAGACCCAGAACGATCAACCCAATCAATACTGAAGGAGAAAAACAAAGTGAGAGGACTGACGCTACCCAACCTGAAGACTTACTACAAAGCTACAGTAATCAAAGCTGTGCAGCATTGGTGAAAGAACAGACAAACAGATCAATGGAATAGAATAGAGAGTGCAGAAATCAGCCCACGTAATTATAGTTGACTGATCTTTGACAATGGAGCAAAAGCAGTGCAATGGAACAAGATCATCTTTTCAACAGATGGTGCTGAAACAATGGGTCATCCACTGTAAAAAATGAAGCCAGCCACAAACCTTACACCCTTAATTCAACACAGATCACAGACATTTATAAACATAAAATGCAAAACTGTAAAACACCCGGAAGAAAAAGGAAGAGGAAACCTAGATGGCCATGGGTTTGCTGATGACTTTCATATATAACGCCAAAGGTGCAATCCATGAAAGAGATAATTGATAAGCTGAATTTACTAAAATTAAATTTCTAGGCCAGCTGCAGTGGCTCATGCCTGTAATCTCAGTATGTTGGGAGGCTGAGGAGGGCGGATCATTTGAGGTCAGGAGTTTGAGACCAGCCTGTCCAACATGGTGAAAACCCATCTCTACTAAAAATACAAAAATTAGCTGGGTGTGGTGGCAGGCACCTGTAATCCTAGCTACTTGAGAGGCTGAGGCAGGAGATCACTTGAACCCAGGAAGCGGAGGTTGCAGTGAGCTGGGATCCCACTCCTGCCCTCCAGCCTGGGCGACAGAGTAAGACCCCATCTCAAAAAACATAATAAATTAAATTAAATTTCTGCCTTGCAAAAACAGTGTCAAGAGAATGAGAAGATATGCCACAGACTAGGAGAAAACATTTGCAGAAGAAACATTTGATAAAGAATGTTATCTAAAATATACAAATAACTCTTAAAATTCAACAATAAAAAATGAATAACCCAATTTTAAAATGGAAAAAAAAGTCATGAATAGATATCTCACCAAAGAAGATAGGCAGATGGTAAATAAGCACCTGAAAAGATGCTCCACATCATATGTCATTAGGGAACTGCAAACTACAACAACGAGATAGTACACATGTATTATTATAAAATGGTGCAAATCCAAAACATTCACAACGCAACGTGCTTGCAAGGATATGGAGCTCTCATTCATTGCATGTATTTTCACCTGGGAAGACCGTCATGCTCCTTGGTATTTACCCAAATAAACTAAAGACTTAGGTGCACACAGATGTTTATAGCAGCTTTATTCATAACTGCCAAAACTCGAAAGCCAAAGCCACCAAGACATCCTTCAGTAGGTGAATGGATAAACTGTGCTACATTGAAAAGATGGAACATGATTTTGTGCTAAGAAGAAATGAGCTATCATGTTATGAAAATATGTGGAAGAAACTTACATTCATATTACTAAGTAAAAGAAGTCAATCTGAAAAGGCTACGTGCTGTATGATTCCGACTATGTGACACTCTGGAGAAGGTAAAATTATGGAGATAGTAAAACATTCAGTGGCTGCCAGAGGTTGCAGGGGAGGGAAAGATGGATGGGCGGAACACAGAAAGCTTTTAGGGCAGTGAAAGTACTCTGTATGATAATAGAATGGCAGATACACATCATTATACACTTGTGAAAACCCATAGGATGTGCAACACCAAGAGTGAACCCTAATGTGAACTATGGACTGTGGGTGATACTGATGTGTCAGTGTAGGGGAAATGATTGTAACAAATGGACCGCTCTGGTGTAGAATGTTGATGGTGCCTCTGTGGATACAGAGGGTACATGGGACCCATCTGTACTTTCTGCTCAATTTTGCTGGGAACCCAAAACTGCCCTAAAAAATAAAGCCTATTAATTTAGAAGAAGAAGGAGGAGGAGGAGGAGGAGGAAAGAAGGAGGAAAGAAGGAAGAAAGAAGAAAGGAAGAAGAAAAGAAAGAAGAAAGAGGAGAGGAGGAGGAGGAGGAGGAAGGGGAATGGGAAGGGGAAGGGGGAGGAGAAAGAGAAGGGGAGGAGGAGGAGAAGGAAGAAGAAGAAGGAGAAGGAGAGGAAGACGAAGAAGAAGGAGGAGGAGAAGGAGAGGAAGACGAAGAACAAGAAGAAGGAGGAGGAGAAAAGAGGAGGAGGGGTAAGGGGAGGAGGAGGAAGAGGGGGAGGAGGAGAGGAAGGAGGAGGGGAAGGAGGGGAAAAGGGAGTGGAGCAGGAAGAAGAACAAAAATCACAATTTATTGCAGATTTCAAAAATCTCAACACAGCCTTCAGAATCAGCCACGTCTGAATTTAAATGAGGCTCTCCCCGACACTTTGTCTCCATGAATCTTTATTAGAAGAAAGGGAAGCGGGCCTACACTAACACTTTGCATTTCTGTTGCATGGATTCACCATAATGTAGATGGGATTCTGGGTACGGTGGCTGGATTCTGCAGGCATCAGTCAATATCTACAATATTGGAGTCACCAGGTGAAAGCACTCACACCCTGGCCCATTCATGGTCAGCCCTAGTTTTGAACTCACTCAGCAACGACCTGCTCTAACCTGCCTACCTGCCCAAATCTAAACTGTTGGATAAATCGCTTTGCTAAAAAATTCTCATAGTTGAGCAATTTGACCATTAAAGGTCTCTGATCTACGTGTTCTTGAAAGAATTTTTTTAAAAGAGCTTTTTCATGTATCTACTATATTATTCAACTGTATGAATATATTTTCACAATAATGTTAGGCCATTATTTTTAACATGTATGCCTTTTTTCTGGTCTGACCAGCATCATGGAAGGAATATAAGGGTTTAACTATATGGCAATCACTAGAATTATGAAAATGTTAGTCATGCTCTAATTAAGATGGATATAATCTTCAATAGTATAAGATCTGTAAACAAATTTCAAGATCTATCACTTTGATAACCGTGGTTACTTATTTATTCTGTGTTCATACTTTATGAAATTTTGAAAAGACTTCAAATTATGTCAACGAGTGATCATTAAAAACAAGAAAGCTTTCTGTAGCTTAGATTACTAGGATTTTATGGTCAATTTATATGAAGTTACATTATGCAGAAGATGAAAATGTTTTGAGACTGTTTATCTGTAACAGATTGCTTTATAATAACTGTTTCTAAAGGAGAGTATGCTTCATAAATCACGGCAAGCATGTGATATAACACAAATCAAAGGAAAACAGAAATAAGAATACTAGCATTTCGTTCTAGCTCTTAACGACTCTTTGACCTCTGGCAAGGCAATTAATATTTTTGAACCTCAGTTTTCTTATCTGTAAATAATAGTGTCTGTCTAGTTTCCAAACTCTGAGGATGAAATGAGACAATATTAATAAAACCCTCAACAAGTATAAAGCATTTTATATGGGTAGAGTATTATTATAATTAATGCAGGAAAATACCTAAGCTGTGTGAACAAATATGAACTTAGCCTTTGGATGAATCCTGAGTGGCTGACGGAGCCCAACTTTAAGACTAAGCCCAGCGTCCATTTGCTGGCTAGAGGCCACACACGTGTTCTAGTGTGACAGGGCTGATGACAGTCCTGCTGAGTTTCATGGCCTTTCATGATCACTCATTTTTATCTTCTGAGTTACCCTACATTTTTTTTTTATCTTTGGGACTTTCAGAGCTCAGATGAACCAACCAACCAGAGTTCACCTGCCTTGGCCGATCAGGGCTCAACTGTATCAACCAATCAGGGCTCAAATGCATCAACCAATCAGAACTAAGCAAGTTTCAATTCTTCATTTGCATAAACAGATCTGATTGGGAACCTGGGCAGGACATTTCGCTTTAAAACCTGAGCCTTCCTTTTTTTCTTTGCAACACACCTTCATTTTATAGGAAAGACTCCATTTCCCCAGTTTGCAAACTGTTCACTGGAATAAAGTCTCTTTCCTCCAAATTCCTTTTCAGAGAACTTTTGTTCACACTTGTTTAGCAAACCAATTCATTTTCTTTCTGGGCTTTACTGCATCTTAGTGGTGCCTTGTTGCCCTTCTAGCCAATGGAATGTGAGCAAACAGACACAGACACTTCCAGGTGAGGCTGACAAAGCTTCCAGGAGATCTTCCAAATTGGCTGTGCCCTGCCACCACCAAGATGTGGAGAGTCAAGGGAGCACTGCCATTCAAGAAGATAAGGAGCCACTGGACTCTGGGAGCCAGTCCTTGAGGACAGCTGTCCAGGAGGGCTGCCCAACCAGCCACCTTCGCAGCACTTCCATGAACAAAAAGTACACATCGACTGTGTCCAGCCACCAAGGTTCTGGGCTGTTCTATCCTAACACAAGCAATGTGAATTCTATATTATACACAAATTGCATAATTAAAACATTTTTAACTTTCCTTTGTCAAGAAGAAAATAAGCTGCAAGTATCTGGTCTTTATATTTTACATATGTGATTTTTTTAAAAGACCATAAAAATAGAAATTCCTGGCCAGACGTAGTGGCTTATGCCTGTAATCCCAGCACTTTTGGAGGCCGAGGGTGGATCACCTGAGGTCAGGAGTTCGAGACCAGCCTGGCCAACATGGTGAAACCCCGTCTCTACTAAAAATACAAAAATTAGTTGGGCGTGGTGGCAGGCGCCTGTAGTCCCAGCTACTCGGGAGGCTGAGGCAGGAGAATCTCTTGAACCTGGGAGGCGGAGGTTGCAGTGGGCCGAGACTGTGCCACTGCGTGGATGACAGAGTGAGACTCTGTCTAAAAAAAAAAGAAAGAAAGAAAGAAGAAATTCCCCAAGGGCATTGTAATTTAGATTCTGAGAAGGAGACAGACAAAAAAAGAGTTCATTTACCTTTGCTATTTGTAAATCTCTTTTCATTTATGGGTTTTTCCCAATGGAGTAGCTGAGAATGCATTTTTTTTTTTTTTTTTTTTGCTTATGATCTAAAATCTTAGAAATGTAAACTACTTAGTAAACTCAGCCAATGCTTGTAATTCTGACACTCAATTCTTACTTCATAATTTTGAAATTACTTGAGTGCTCAAAGATTGTGGCTAGTTAGTTAGTTGGTTGATGAGTTGGGTGGTTGTATTCAGATTGGCCCGGTAATTGTCTACATATCACATGAACTCTCTGCTCATATTTTCATAGCTAAAAACAGGGATTGGAGCAAATCTTATTTGTTGAATGCTCTGGCCAACCACTGAGATGTGTGTGTGTGTGTGCGTGTGTGCATGTGTGTGTGTTGTGTGAACAAGAGAGTTAATGGAATCCACTCCTAGTTTCCATTTCAAACAGGGTGAGAACATCTGACCTTATTTGATAAATAATGGCACCTTTAAACATTTCTATTATCAACTGTCTGCAGTAACAAAGGGAATACTATTAGAAATGTTTAAATAGTTTAGAGCGATAAATATAATATGCACCTACAAATGTGCAGATAAATAAGGTTTTAACTAAAAAATTTCTATCATGACTTTGAAAAGAAATGAAACAGCCTGTACTAGAAATCTCCCAATTCAATTAAATATTTTATTATTAACGGAAAGCCCATGCTGGGAGTGTGAGAATGGGTATTATTTGAGTATGAAAGTTCATAGACATTTTGGATGTCCAATTTCCCTTTCGGTGTAAGGGCAGGCATTAAGAAACTGGATCCTCACTGAGCAATGATGGTTGAAGAGGGGAACCTGTGCCAGGTTATGCCAATAATTGCCAGCCCCCCAGGATTCTAGCTCAGAAATTTTTGTATGTTCTCAGGAGACAAAAATGAGTGATCATCAAAGGCAGTCGAACTCAGCAGGACTGTCATAAGCCTGAAGTTACAACTTAGACATGCAATAGAAAATATCATCGGTACCTCTCCAGTGCATCGCCTGTAGTAATTAAAAACTTGATCCCTGCTGTTTTATCATCTCATTAGCAATGGGGGCACACAACTTTTATCCTTGTTTGTCAGGAATCAAACATACCAGAGGAACTCTGATTATAAATTGATGAAAGTAAAGTTAAACTTTTAAATAAGAGAAGTGACTGTTCACAATGTTTTTTTTAAAGCTGATTAAAGGGATCTAGTTTTTTCTCTTAAGAGTAATCTCTCTGTCCAGCCTAGAATTGTAGAGGTCATCTCCAGGATTGCTACATGTGACACGTTTTATAAAGGGGGTTTGCTTTGTAAGCCATTCTGATTTAAAATAAATATCAGCCCTGAAAAACTTCCTGAAAGCACAGATGCAAAGAGTGTCATCCTTTTCAAGCCTTTTGATGAAGTTGAAACACCTTCTATCCCTCTCAGTTATGTGTATTATAACGCCTTTTATTCAGGGTAACTGACTGGCCTCACCGTTTAAAAGCCCAGGCAAGCTTTCTGCTTGTTTTAATAACTTGTTTTTCACAGAGGACAGGTGAAGGACCTGGGGACCCTTTTATGCAGCTAATTTCTCCAACATTTGCCTCCAAAATGGAAGTTTTTCATCCTAACCTACATTGTTTCCTTTGGGTCCAAAAAAAAAAAAAAAAAAAAAAAAAAATCCAAACAGGTAGAGCTGTATTTCTCTACGGTACTCGAATTCTAATCTACACTATAGAACAATTGGGAGGTTCAGATTTGAAGACAGAACAGCTTACTGTACCTTTCGTCTTATGTTAAATGCCCTTCACCCATAATTAACAAATTGCCTATGCATTTAAAGCATACTGCCGGAGAGACTTCTAAGAACCGTGTTCTCTGGCAGGTGCTAGGATATCGAGAAATAAAATAGAGCTCCGGTTCGCCTGCAACTTTAAAACTTTCTTCTCATCCTGCCAAGTTGCTTGAGGAATCATAGTCCAAACAACTTAAGGAGTTAAAGATAAATAAATAAAAGCGAGATATTCTTAACCTCAGGACTAATGTCATTTTGGGTCAGACGGTTCTGTGTGGTGGGGGCCGTCCTGTGCACTGCGGGACGGTGAGCAGCCTCCCTGGCCTCCACCTACCAGCTACCTGTGGCCCCCCACCTCCAGTGTAACAACCAAAAATGTCTCCAGACATGGCGAAATGGCACCGGGAGTCAAAACTGTCCCCAGCTGAGAATGACTAGAACAATGTGTATATAGCATATTACCATGTGTGTGACACACACGTGATTGTGAACACGGAAGCCATCCTGAAAACCAACGTGCTTTCTGATAGCATCAAAAGTCATTGCCTCTCCTAGGTAAAGGAGAAGAACAGGGGAGAAAAGGCAACTTATTTTCTCGTTATACTCTTTTGTACCTTCTAAATCCTGTGGCCTGTGTGGATATTACCCATCCCAAGCAAACACCCAAACAAATGAACACATAATTCAAGCCAGGAGTTCCCACTGAGGTCAATAAGTAGAGAGCTAAATTAATAAGTCAACCAAGTGCATGAATGGGTAAGTCAAGATACTATGCCGAGGCATCCTACAGATGAATGAACTAATTGAACCTGATGGCCCAGTACAGAACTCATCAGAATTATTCTGTAATAGTGAAATGAAAGAGTATGCTTATATACAGTGACTTAGGTGTTTCCGATTTTATTATCATCAGCAACACCAATAAAGAACTATTCTCCCATTCCTTCCAGAAAATGAAAGCTTTCTCAGCCTTCAAAAGCCCTGCAAAGTCACTTAAGACTTTTAAGCCTCAAGACTTCCTTGAAGGAGCAGGGTTTGCCTCATGGCACGGGTTTGTGTTTATAATGCCAACATTTGCTCTAATGAGCAAAAAGAACCCTTCTCATGGGGCAGCTGCCCCCATGCCCCAGTGAGGGTGAGGCCAGTGTCCTGTCCCAGGTAGAAAGCAGGTCCTGGCCGCCCCATCAGGGGCATCACAGAGTGCCTGGAAGCTTTCAAAAAGCTGCCACCAAACTGGAGGTCACGATGTAAGTGAAATAAGCCAGGCACAGAAAGACAAATATCACTTATTCTCTCTCATGTGTGGGAGCTAAAAGAAATGGATCCATGGAGGTAGAGAATAGAATGATAGATACCAGAGTGGGGAGTGTGTGTGTGTTCGGGGGCGGTGGGGAGATGAAGAGAGGTTGGGTAATGGGTATAACACCCATTCGATATTGGATGGGTATTGGATGCATATGAGATTAGTTATAGTATCCATTACTAATGGGTACAGTACTCATTAGGAATTGGTATGGGTACAATTACCCAACAGTTAGAAGGAATAAGTTCTCATGTTTGATAGTACAATAGGGTAACCATAGTTGGCAGCAATGTATTGTATATTTCAGGATACCTAGAAGAGAGGACTTTTAACACTCACAGCACTAGAAATGATAAGTGCTCAAGGGGATGTGCAGCCTAAAACCCTGACGTGATCATTACACATTCCGTGCATGTCGCAAACTACCACAGGTACCCCATCAGTATGTGCACATATTATGTATCCAAAAAAAAGTCATAACTGTTCCTGCTATCCCTCCCCGTCTTAAAAGCTGCCTAGAGTGAACACCAGCCTGCGGTCATGGGCGGGCCTGGCTCTGGATCAGACGCGGAGAGCCAGCCTGGTGTTGTAGGAAGAGCTGTGAACTAGGAGCCCGGAGACTTGGCTCTGTCACCAGCGGAGGGCGATCTTGGTAAGAAGGTTCATTTCCCAGGGCCACGTGGATTCATCTCTGAAGCAGAGACAAGTAGGAAATTCTACACGCGCCATCCAAGGTCCAAAGTGCTACATCCCTTCCTCTTTCCTTTTAATAGGTGCTCAATAAATCTTCATTTAAATGAACAGAAAAATGAATGAATGAATGAATGAATGAATGAGTCCATTGTCATCAACTTTTTAAAAATAATTGCAACTTTTACTTAAAATTCAGGGGTCCATGTGCATGTTTGTTACATGGGTCTATTGCGTGATCCTGAGGTTTGGGGTACAGTTGATCCCTTCACCGAGGCAGTGAGCACAGCTCCCAACAGGTAGTTTTTTCAACCCTCGCCCCCTCCCCTCCCCGGTAGTCTCCAGCACCTACTGATTCCATCTTTATGTCCCCGAGTGCCCAATGTTTAGCTCCCACTGATAGGTGAGAACATATGGCATTTAGTTTTCTGCTCCTGCATTAATTATCTTAGGATAATGGCCGCCAGCTGCATCCATGTTGCCGCAAAAGACATGATCTTGCTCTTTTATAGGACAGTGTAGTATTCCTTAAGGTGTCTTCTTAAAAGAAGATTTCAATAACCAGAAAAAAAAGTGTCTTCTTCCTAAAGCTAAATTGAAAAATACCTAATTAAGTCAATAACATGACTTAAAATTCATTATCATACTGAAAACACTTTATCACACAGGAAGTGCCTTTTTCATTTTTGTAAGGCCATCTTTCAGAATATAGCCTTTCACCTCAATGATTTACGGATATGCAGTATTAGAGTCTCATCAAAATCACGGGTAACATGAGGATTAGAAATGTCAGATGTTAGGAATAACAGAATCAGAATCAAAATATTCTGAGAGTCCATAAAACTTAACAGAGAATTGCAGTCAGTTCTGCTTTAACACGACATGTGCGCACCTGAGAATGTCGGTGCTATGCAAAATCATGCAACGCAAATCACAGGGCTGGTAAGAAAAGCGGGATTGGGGCACAGCGCTCAAAAGCACGTCAGTGACACATTTGAGAAAAAGACGGAAAGCTAATACAAATTCCAGCGTGGTTTTACACGTGTTCAGTGGTTAAGAAATAACATAAATACCACCATGAATATGGCTCTTCACCCAGAGGGAACCCCGAAGATTGCTCACGGGAGTGGGTACTGGAAGGACTATAGTCCGCGGGTTATTGTGAAGCGGTGGAAATGGCATTATCTGCAATTGGAAGAACGGAGTGTCGGCAGGCGTGGATGGAGTAGTTCCTAAAATCTCAGTGAACTGAAATCGTTGGTAGATGTTTGAGGCGTGGACATGTGTGGGTTTTGTACATTTCTTTGCTGCTCTGTTCAGCCCATGCAATTTTCTGTATTCGGCTAGTGTTTATCACAGATGAAATTGCCCATGAGCAAATACGACTTTGGGGCTGAGCTCAAATCGTTCCCTACTATCTCAACTGCATTGGAACAAACGTGTATCTTCAAAACAAGAGTTGCAGCAGAACTGCGTAATATTCTGCACTTAGGATAAAATAATATTGTTAGAATAATAGGCTGGGCGCAGTGGCTTATTCCTGTAATTCCAGCACTTTGGGAGGCGGAGGCGGGTGGATCACCTGAGGTCAGGAGTTTGAGGCCAGCCTGCCGACATGGCAAAACCCCATCTCTACTAAAAATACAAAAATTAGCCGGGTGTGGTGGTGGGCACCTGTAATCCCAGCTACTCAGAAGGCTGAGGTGGGAGAATAGCTTGAACCCAGGAGGCGGAGGTTGCAGCGAGCCGCGTTCTCACCATTGTACTCCAGCCTGAGGGGCACAGCAAGACTCCATCTCAATAATAATAATAATAATAATAATAATAATAATAATAATAATACTGCTAGGTAACATTAGTATCAGGCATCAGGCCTACTCTCTGCTGGGCACACTGCCCAGCACTGACATACATTAAACCTTCTTCATCCTCACTCCCTCTGTGAGACAGGCGTGGTTATCATGATATCATTTCATCACGGGGAAAATAAGGCACACAGAGGTTGGTGGGATGAGCTGGGAGGTGATACAGGGAGTTTTTCCACAGAATCGTCACTCTACTGCGAATAGGCAGTGTTGTTTCAGGGACTGTCGTGTATTCCACATGCTTCAGCCGTGGGCTGGGACTGTAACAACGAAAAAGCAACGGTGTCTTAGGCAGCTCTAGCGAAACTTCAACATAAGGAAAACAGGAAGCAATAAGCCCTCTCTCTGTCTCTCAGGACATACCATCCTGGAGTATTCAGTCCTGTTCCGGGCACCACACTGCTAAGGAGAGGGGTATAAATAAATGGGATTTAAGGGGATATAAATAAAACCATGTTCAAAGGAGTGTAAACAAGATGGCGAAGGAATTTAAATTCATGTCAGATGAGACGCTGTGAAGGAACTTAGGATATTTAGAAGAGAAAAATGCAGCCACATGAGAATTTTCTTGAAATGTTTGAAGGGTTAGAACATGTCGAGACTATTAGATGTCCCTGGTGTGTTTGTTTTCCCTTCATGGACCCATGGAGTTGAACAGGATGGGTGTGATAATGGCTAATGCTCACCGAGTGCTGAGTCCCAGGTGCTTTGCATGTAGCACCCAGGTTACTCCTGGCAGGGGCCTTGTGACGTCGCCTCTGATCGTCATCCCCACTGTACAGATGGATACATGGAGACAACAGAGATAGGAGACTCGCCCATGTCACGTGATGTGTTAGTGGCAGAGCAGGGGTTTGAACCCAGGAAGTTTGACCTGAAAAGTTACATTCATCACCCCTAAGCAGAAGAAGGTATAGGGAAGCCAATTTCAATTCCACATAAGGGAGAGCTTTCTAGAAATCAGAAGTGCTTTAGGACAGAGCAAGCCACTTCTGAAATGTGTCAATACCTGGTCCGCAGAGCTTTTCAAGCACAGGTTGAATGACCTCTTGATGGGGATACATAAAGGAGATGTAAGAACAAATCAGATAAGATTAGCTTTAAAGGCTCTTTCCAGTGGGTTTCTGTGGTTCTAATAGGGAGTGTTCAATGCATGGTCTAACAGTGTAAATGTAAAAACAAACAAACCCACAGCAGCCACGCCCAGGGACCATGCTGGGTTTGCTAACATCTTCATTACTCAGATATTTCTGCATAGGGTTTTGCAGTCACTGAATCTGAATTTAAAAAAAAGATCAATTTCCATTTTGAGAGATGTAAATTCATTGTGTGGCTCTGTAAATATATAATCTAAAGTGCAGTGAGTGTTAAATGTATGTTTACAATATCTTTGCCCTGTGGAATCTTGCAGGTATCAGTTGAAGGACCTTTAAAATAGTCCCTCCCATCTTAAAACAAAGCACTCCCGCCAAGTGATTTCCCTTCAGCCATCGCATAATCGCTTTTCTGCCTTCGCAGTTCACTCCTTGAAGACGCTGTGTAGATTCCCGCCTCGGCTCCCTCTCTTACCAGTCTTCACTCAACCCGCCTCTGTTAGTGAACCTCTGGCTTCCTCCCCAACCATCCTCTCCCATCACTGAACCCAATGGACAATCTTTAGTCCCTGTTCTTCCTGGTCACGCTGTCGTATCGGAACCATTCTTCTTTTTAAGGTGCTCTGTTTTTGAGTTTTTGTTTGGCATCACACACTCTTGGTTTTCTTCTCACCTCTCTGGCTACTCATTCCTAGTTTATTTTGCTGACTCATTTCTTTCACCTATCTGCTAACATTGTCTATCTTCACAGTTCCACCATTTTTATCTTGTTGACTTATTTGACACTCTCCCCATCTCAGTGTTCTTTGAGTGTTCTTCTGTTAACCTTTAAACAACAGGTGCCAAAGGGTCCTCTTTGGTTCTTACTATAGCAAACGGGACGATGTGGTCTCCTTCCACAGCCCCAGACACCAGTCATTGAGGATGACTCTCAACTCATGGACTCATACGACTCTGAGCTCCAAAGTCATGTATCCAGCTGAGAACTGTACATCTTCTCTCAGACATCTCTGGATAACTCAGCAAGTCCAAAAGGGAGCTCTTTCCTTCCCTGCCGCCTCCCTCCTCTTTGTTCCTTATCCTGGTCCATCCTAAAATCTGTGAATCATCTCTACTCTTCCCCCAGCCCCTCTACTGACCCAAGCATCTGGTTCTGTTTATTCTATTATCAGACCCAAAGGCCTCTCAAGCTGGTGCACGTTTTCCTTCCTTATCGCCATTGCTCCAGCTACAAATCTCTTCACTTCTTTATTGCCTGTTCTCTGCTTCTCTCTCCAAGGTTATCTTTGCTACCAGATGCACAGACTCTTCACTCCAATCACTTCATACTGACATTTTTTTCGGTCCCTGAAATTTGTTCTTCTCACGTGCACACCAGCTTTTGCACATATGGTTTCCTTTGTCCGGAATAGTTAAAGTGACTTTTACTTTTTGCTTGGCTAAGTCATGTTTACTCCTCAGGTACCAGTTTAAATGTCATTTCTATGTTAAACTTTCCAACTTCCCTATAACATGCTCTTTTACACATTCCCATCATACCCTATTCTTTCGCCCAATAAAAAGAATTTAATGTTGGACCTTCTTGTTATGCCTGTTTATTCATTTGTATGTCCACTGCAATTGCTAATTTCATGAGAACAGAGACAGTCTTATGGCTAGCACGCAGTAGGTTCTCAGTAAGTGTTTGTTGGATAAATATGAAAATTGAGATTCTATGCTGTGTTTTCCAGCCAATCAACTTTTGCTTACCATTAGCTGTTGTACATGACTTCATGGCTACATATATAGAAGTCACGATATTCAGAGTTTAGGCATGAAGCTAGTCCTTCATACATCTTCCCTATGTTTCATAAACTTCATCTCAGATTTGCATGATGTTTTGGTTCATTAGCTTTGCATTTTAGATTTGTTTTTATGGAGCACATAATAAGACTTCATGGCAGTGAATTTGTTGAGAAGTTGTTGAAAAAGTAATTACATCCCGAAGAGTTTATTTTCTAAAGCCATGAATCAATGGAATTTATTCATAGCTTAACAATGGGGAGATGAACCTATTTATAAATTACAAAGGATCTTTCCATTTTAAAGGAAATACTGCACAGCCTTTTACTCAAGAAACATTTTGCATGTATTAAAAAGTCATAAAAATACGGTACTAACAGAAGACAGGTAGACTATTTCGGTAATTTAGTCAATGAACAGTTTCCTTTTAAAATTGAATCATACCTAGTGCCCATTCACCTGTGGGGAATGCTGGTTAAATTCTTCAGTAGTGGTGTAGCTTTCTAGGTTAGAGTGGTTTTAGTCGACAAAGAAAATCGAGATATGACTTCCGTGTCACAGACAGTTGCTGTATTAAAGAGCTCCTTTGTATATGTAATAACATAGAAGACGTTTTAAGCACTTAGAGAGTTCCACATCTAAGATAGCAGTCCCTGTAAGACTAGATCTAACTTACCCTATTGTAATGGAGCAGAAATACATGAGACATGATTTTGTTTGAAATATTGGATCATTTTCCTTTGAGTCTGTGATTTCTGAGCTACCCCCACCCTCCTGTGTGACTTTAATGCAGTCTCCCTTCTGTATCCTGGTGCCTTTCCAAACCAGGCAGGTGTGAGAACAGTTCTGCATGCGTAAGTCAGCTCCCCAAGGAGACCGTTTCAAAGCAAAGTGACTTTCTTGATCCCAGGGAAGATAATATTAAAGAATACAGTGACCAGACCAGGAAATAAAGATACACTGAATTTTGAATGACTTTGCAGACCTAAACATTTGTAAGAAGAAAAAGAAAACATCGAAAGTGAGTAAAATGGGCCATGGGAGAAATTTAAAAGTAGATAAATCCACCGATAAGAGCATACATTTCCTTTGCTCTGCCTTCCAAAGGAGCTTCTGATGCAAAACTTCACGCCGGTCAAGAAAAGGAGGCCAAGAAAAGCTTGTGCTAAAACTCTTACAAGGCTGCCTTTTAAAAGAAACTTTACTGGCCAGGTGTGGTGGCTCATGCTTGTAATCCCAGCACTTTGAGAGGCCAAGGTGGGTGGATCACCTGAGGTCAGGAGTTCGAGACCAGCCTAACATGGTGAAACCCAATCTCTACTAAAAAAAAAAAAAAAAAAAAAAAAATTAGCCAGGCGTGGTGGTGCAAGCCTGTAATCCCAGCTACTCGGGAGGCTGAGGCAGGAGAACTCGGGTGGCAAAAGTTTCAGTGAGCCAAGATCATGCCATTGCACTTCCAGCCTGGACGACAGAGTGAGACTCCATCTCAAAAAAAGCAAAACCAAAACAAACAATAACAAAAACAAAAAATACTTTACCGTATTGCCTCTTTTCATCTGCTAATATAAAAAAGACAAATGATCTCTCTACTGCTCCAAAAATATGTGTGCTTAATACAATCTCTCTCAATGCAAGTGTTTACACTTTCCTATCCAACTGCCTCCCTCTTGTAGAGTCCCATTCTTGACTCAACCGTGAGCATGAAAAGGCGAACGCTCCCCCCGCCCTGAACACAGCATTGATGCAGTTAGGATACAGGCTGAACTGCTCCAAGAGAGAGCATAAAATAGAGGCTGCCCCAAACAAGAGACAAGAAAAACACTTATTTCTATCTCTCCCTGCGGGACAGAGGGGCGATCTGGGGTGGGTCCTTGTCTTCTATCCCTGGGCCACCAGCTGCACCAGCTCTTGCCATTCCTGGCCAGGGCTAAAGGGAGAGCTCCGAAATAGAGTTTCTAGCTGGGTGCACGTGTCGAACCTGGGGATAACTGAGGATAAATCCCCTTGGCTGCCCTGCACTCCATGCTTTGGGTGAAGCCCACTCAGCCCCACTCTGACAAATGTGCCTCTCAGGAGGAACAATCGTTTGTCCCCTTCCAGGGCACTACTGGCCAATATCTACTGCTTTTCCAAAGATTTTAGTGTTTGTAATCCTTACTTATAAAATTACAGGTCACATGGCCCAGGCGTCAACTACTAGTGAATATACAGCTATTCATTCATTCATCAAATGTTTACTGACCACTGGAAGGCAGTGAGGGACAGAACACACAGGTAGCTGGAGGAGCAGGGGCCAGGCAGAGGGAGCTGCTTGTAGAGCCTCTGGATGGCGGTGCCTGGAGGGTGGAGGAACAGAGTGGCCTGGAGGAGCAGGTGATGGAGAGAAGGGAAGCAGACGCCCTCAAGAAGGTAGTGGGAGATCAGGGCACTGGGAACCTTGAAGGCCATTGTCAACTGAAAATCCTCTACTCTGGTGGCCCTGGGAAGCCTTTGGAAGGTTTGAGCAGAGGTGTGTCTTGATTTATCTTTAAAAAAACATCTCATGTTGCCATGTTGAGAATTGGACTAAAGGTTGCAAAGATGGCAATAGAGAAGCGGGTTAGGATGCAATTGTGAACATCTGGGAGGAGAGACGGTGGCTTGCACCAGGGCAGTAAGCAGCAGCAGGGGAAGGTCACATTCTGGGTCTTTTGAAGGTGGAGCTTATAGGATTTGCTGATTGTTTGGATGTGGGTTTTGAGCAAGACAGATGAGTCTAAGAGTTTTAGTCCAAGCAACTAACTAGGAGGATAGAATTAACCACCAACTGAATTGGGGGCATTGTAGGAGAAGCATGTTTGGGAGAAAGACCAAAAGTTTGGGTTTCAATATGTTAGATTTTTCTTAGATTTCCAAACACAGGTGTTAAAGAAATAGTTGAATACGTGGGTCTGGAGTTCAGGGAAGTGGTCCAGCCTGGAGAAGAAAATTTGGGTCTGGAGTTCAGGGAAGTGGTCCAGCCTGGAGAAGGAAATTTGGATGGATTGGGGAGTAGCTCGCATATTGGTGGTAATCCAGGTCTTGACAATTGGACATGTCCAGTGAGTGCCCGATGTGGGGCACAACTGTGCTTCCCCTTTGCTGCGAGGTGGGGTCCTGGGTCCGGTTCTGACCAGGCTCACACCGTGGTCAGGTCCTGTCACACTTCCTTTCCCTCTGGCATGGAGCCTGGCCACGTGTCAGCAGTTCTGTTAACCTACATCCCCCCCTCCCCGAGGGCAACACGGGGCAGAACTCCCCCGGAGATCCATGAGGAGCCTGGAACCTCAGCAAGAAAGGAATCTTGTTTTTTCAGTCATGTTGGGTTTCAGTTGTTTATGATCTCAACTCACCAAGTCTGCCCTGGCTCTGGACATGGGTATGGTTCAGATGCTAGGTATAGTAGTCAAATTATAATGTAGGGAAATGGATAATTAGGGATTTATTTTTGTGATTTCTTTGACATACAGTTTGAGCCAGGAAATATTTTCATTTTCCAAACTGAGATGGAAAGAAGTTAACTGGAAGTTAAGAAAGTTGGTTATGGCTGGTGTAGTGGCTTACGCCTATAATCCCAACATTCTGGGAGGCCGAAACAGGGGGATTGCTTGACCTCAGGAGTTTGAGACCAACCTGGGCAACGTAGTGAGACCCCATCTCCACAAAAATAAAAAGAAAATTAGCCAGATGTGGTAGTGCACACCTGTAGTCCCAGCTACTCAAGGAGGCTGAGAGAGGAGGATCGCTTGAGCATGGAGATTGAGGCTCCAGTGAACTACCATTGCGCCACTGCACTCCAGCCTGGGCAACAGAGCAAGACCCTGTCTCAGTGAACTACCACTGCGCCTCTGCACTCCAGCCTGGGCAACAGAGCAAGACCCTGTCTCAGTGAACTACCACTGTGCCACTGCACTCCAGCCTGGGCAACAGAGCAAGACCCTGTCTCAGTGAACTACCACTGTGCCACTGCACTCCAGCCTGGGCAATAGAGCAAGACCCTGTCTCAAAAAAATAGTTATATATCATGACTATTTCACTAGTAGCACAGAATGGCTTATCCATAAGATCCTTGAAGGTTCGGTGCTGTCTGAGTGCCTGCCTCAGTCTCCCCCAGCTTTGGAAAGCAACTGGCCCCTCTTCTAGTGGCCTGCTTTGAAACATATTCTATTATCTATATCTGTATCTATATATCTACATCTATATTTACATCTATCTCTATATATCTGTATTCATAGATTTTCTTACTAAATGCGGCAATGATGTCAACAGTTCACTTTAACTGAGTGTGTACTATGTGCTGGCCCTGTTCTCTATTTTGCACATTCACAGAAGCCCTGCAAAGAAACTACCACATGCTTTAGAGTTCCCAGGTGCTGGAAGAAGGCACCCCAGAGCTGCACCCCCAAACCCCGTGGCAGGCCCTCAGCAGACGAGGTTTGCCTTGCACCACCACTCCCTCCTCCTAACTTATTTTTGTTTTGTGGTTCTCTCCACAGAGGTAAGCTATTAGAAACATTTATTTCAGCCTACATACATGATGTTTTCTAAAAACCATAACATTCTTCTTTCTAAACTCAATGCTTTGGACAAGCTAACATTCCCTGCCACTGTTCCCCATTGTGTTTTACGGAGGCAGCAGGTGTTTGTGACATGCAGATGGGGTCTTGTACTCTCTCTCAATTAGTCCCCACAATAACCCAGGAAGAATGTTATTCTCACCATGGGCCAAGTGGAAGCAGAGGTTCTCAGACTGTGAGCAGCCTGCCCAGAACTCACCAGGGATGACGATGGAGCCAGGACCCAACCTGATTTAATTTATTCAGTAGGTTGAATGACGATACTTGCAAAGCAGTGAAAGTCGAGGGTTTCAGAGGCTGTTAACTCAGTGATTCTGGAGCCATCTGGGGATGCTGGTGAGAGGTGACAGCGTGCTGGCAGTCCTCAGAGCCCTCGCTTGCTCTCCGCACCTCCCCTGCCTGGGCTCCCACTTTGGCGGCATTTGAGGAGCCCTTCAGCCACCCACTGCACTGTGGGAGCCCCTTTCTGGGCTGGCCAAGGCCGGAGCCCACTCCCTCAGCTTGCAGGGAGGTGTGGAGGGAGAGGCGCGAGCGGGAACCGGGGCTGCGTGCGGTGCTTGCGGGCCAGCTGGAGTTCCGGGTGGGCGTGGGCTTGGCGGGCCCCGCACCCGGAGCAGCCGGCCAGCCCTGCTGGCCCCGGGCAATGAGGGACTTAGCACCCGGGCCAGCGGCTGTGGAGGGTGTACTGGGTCCCCCAGCAGTGCCATCCCACCAGCGCTGAGCTCGATTTCTCGCCGGGCCTTAGCTGCCTTCCCACGCGGCAGGGCTCGGGACCTGCAGCCCGCCATGCCTGAGCCTCCCACCCCCTCCATGGGCTCCTGTGCAGCCCGAGCCTCCCCGACGAGTGCCACCCCCTGCTCCACGGCGCCCAGTCCCGCCGACCACCCAAGGGCTGAGGAATGAGAGCGCACGGCGCAGGACTGGCAGGCAGCTCCACCTGCAACCCCAGTGCGGGATCCACTAGGTGAAGCCAGCTGGGCTCCTGAGTCTGGTGGGGACGTGGAGAGTCATTATATCTAGCTCAGGGATTGTAAACACACCAATCAGCACCCTGTGTTTAGCTCAAGGTTTGTGAGTGCACCAATCGACACTCTGTATCTAGCTGCTCTGGTGAGGACGTGGAGAACCTTTATGTCTAGCTCAGGGATTGTAAATACGCCAATCAGCACCCTGTGTTTAGCTCAAAGTTTATGAGTGCACCAATCGACACTGTATCTAGCTGCCCTGGTGGGGCCTTGGAGAACCTGTGTGTGGAAACTGTATCTAACTAATCTGATGGGGACGTGGAGAACCTTTGTATCTAGCTCAGGGATTGTAAACGAACCAATCAGTGCCCTGTTAAAACAGGCCGCTCGGCTCTACCAATCAGCAGGATGTGGGTGGGGCCAGATAGGAGAATAAAAGCAGGCTGCCCGAGCCAGCAGTGGCAACCCGCTTGGGTCCCCTTCCACAGTGTGGAAGCTTTGTTCTTTCGCTCTTTGCAATAAATCTTGCTACTGCCCACTCTTTGGGTCCACGCTGCTTTTATGAGGTGTAACACTCACCGCGAAGATCTGCAGCTTCACTCCAGAGCCCAGCGAAACCATGAGCCCACCGGGAGGAACGAACAACTCCAGACGCGCTGCCTTAAGAGCTGTAACACTCACCGCAAAGGTCTGCAGCTTCACTCCTGAGCCAGCGAGACCACGAACCCACCAGAAGGAAGAAACTCCGAAAACATCTGAACATCAGAAGGGACAGACTCCAGACGCGCCACCTTAAGAGCTGTAACACTCACCGCGAGGGTCCGCGGCTTCATTCTTGAAGTCAGTGAGACCAAGAACCCACCAATTCCGGACACACTGGGACCTCTGGTCACCCTATCTCTGGATCTGAAGTACTTAACCCTGACTTGTTATGGCACCAATAGGCAAGGCCAAGCACCCACTTACTTTAGGAAATCACATTTATGGCGTGTTTCCTAAAAGGCAAACGTGTCTTTTTTCCCCAATCTCTGCCTTCCTCATTAAAAGTAAACCAAAGCTGGGCATGGTGGCTCATGACTGTAATCCCTTCCAGCACATTGGGAGGCTGAAGCAAGAGGATCACTTGAGGTCAAGAGTTCAAGGCCAACCTGGGTAACATAGTGAGGCCCCATCTCTACAAAAAAAAAAAAAAGTAGTTGGGTATGGTGGTACCGAAGAACCACTTGAGCCCAGGAGTTGAAGGCTGCAGTAAGCTATGGTCAAACCACTGCATTCCATCCTGGACTACACAGTGAGACCCTGTCTCTTAAGAAAATGAAAATAATGAAGTACAAAAAAAAAAAAACAAACCAAGGAATGGACATGGAAAAACGGCCTTTCAATATGGCAGGACATTGATAATGGCCTTCAGAAACCTCTGCTGGGCTTCCAGCTCTGGCCTCCTCCGCAGGTCACCACACCCTCCCAACAAACACAGACCTCGGCACTTGCCAGGAGGGACAGCTTGCCCTGCCCCTGCAGCCGCAGCAACACAGAGCCAAGGCCTAGCCACAAAGCCCTGCCACTCACTGCCAATTAGTTCTGTTTTCAGTATAAACAGAACTGCCTTAAAGAAAAATACAGCCTCCCAGAGCGCAGAACTCTTTATCCCCCCATTCGCAAACAGGTGAGGGATTGTCCGCTCACTCACTCTGCAGGAAAAGTGGGACACTTGGCTTGCTTTCCTGCAAACTGCATTTTGAGGAAGGCCACCAGGAGCCCTGATGCCGAGTCACAGAACAGGCCTGACTCTACAGAGGCGGAAGGCGGAGAATGAACAGAACAATGATTCTATTCTCTACCCTCTTTCTGGCAGATTTTTTTTTCCTGTGATGGTTGTTGGAGTCTGTGACAAATAGTCCACAACCACCGCGGATTGGCAGAGCCGCCGCGAAAGGCCTCTGCGCCCAACACAAAGGCATCTGTTACAGGTTGCACCTCCCATCAATGAGCGTCCGACCCTTATGCTGTCTTTGTTTAAAAGGAAAAAAAAGATCCTACTTAAGCAAAAGTAAACCACAGCCTGATACTGTGCCAACTATATTAACCAACTTCTCTTCGGAGCCTTTGAAGTTGGCAGGGGGCAACATGCTTGTGGTGCGAGGAGAGAATGATACTTTAAGCGATTCCTTTTCATCCCTTTAACTTAATGAAAGATTAATGGCCTTGTTATTTTTGTTTCTGCTCCTTTTTTTCCCCTTTAATATCCACCCCCACCACCCCCACCACCCCTGCCATTGAAATTGAAAATCCTTCCCGATCGTGGTTTTCTGGATCAGTGGGTTTTGTGAATACAACTCCTGCCCCTTCGTTACCATCCGCAAACTGGGTCAATGACTCCAAGTCCAAAACATCCAGGTGTCTTCAAGGAGGAGGTCCCTGGTGGATGAACAGGTGGGTGGCAGCCCAGGAGAGCTGGATTTTCTTCAAACAAACCCCACCTCCTTTGAGTCAGGCTGGAATGCCTTGGCAGGGAATTATTTATGTTTTTCCTTGAAGATGCAGTGCGGTGTTTTTGGCACCATTTTGGGAGGCGGGCTGTGGACTGATCAGGAGGTGGTCACATGTCACAGGCCCAGTGAATCCTGCTGGCGGGGAGGCAGGAGAGCACCAACACAAAGTTGTTCAGTCAGCAAGAGCCTTCCTCTCCCACCTCAGCCACTCCATTTTCCAGGCTTGTTCTCCTCCCCGTCTTTCTCTTGCTGCTGAACGCTAACTCCATCCAGCAACCGCAGGTGCCAAAAAACATAGGTGTCGTTCCGGATACCAACTCGCACTACCCTCCCCACCCATATTCAGTCAATTAGCAAGACCTGTTGGTTCAGTCTCCAAACATATTTCAAGGACAGCCCTTGCTATTCATGCCCTCTTCCACCCAAGCACACACCACCTCACACCTTGCCTGGAGGTCATTTGGAGTCAGCATCTTCTTTCTTACTCTGCAGCCAGTGGGACCCCTCTAAAATAAACATTGTGCTACTCTCTTGCTTAAAACCATCTGTGGACCCAGGATTCTCTTAGAGGAAAATGCCAACTCCCTCCTGGGGGCTGGAAAGTCCTGTGTGACCTGGTTCCTGCCCAGCTCTCCTGGGCTCCACACAGTCCTCTGTCTTCCCTGGGCCCCGTGAGGGCTTCAGCATCAATGCCATCCTCACCTCCTCACAGGATGGGCTTCTGTGGTCATCCCAGCCTCAGGAAAGTGCACCCTCTGAGACCCACAGCATCCACACACCATCTACAGCATCCTCCTCACCCTGCCTCCTTGTGCTGATGTTACCTCTATCCCTTTACCCCTGTTTTATTTTCTTCTAAACATTCATCTTTATCGGAATGTATTTGCGACGGATGGCCCAGCCCCTTCTATGGGAATGCCAGAGCCGTGGAAGCAGTCATGGTAAGTTGGACTTACCTGCCCCCTGGTGACTGATGAGTGCCCTCCTTGTGCCGGGCACGTTGCTGGGTGGTGATCCGGGCCACCTCCCTCTATTCATGGGGAACAAATGGCATTTGCCTTCATGGTGGCCCTAGTATTCAAAGCACCATGTGAAAAGAACAATTCAGTAGCAGAGCCCCATTGAAGACTCCAGAAATGGTCTCAACTATTTGGCCAGCTACATCCAAGAAAAGTGGATGCCCATATGAAGACACCAAGGAGATATTTAGAACATGGCCAGAAGTCCCAAGCTCATTCAGTTGGATAGAGTTGCACATTTCGTTTGTACCTGGCCAGCTTCTGCAAACTCAGAGATTGATTACTAAGTGAAACTCAACAGAACAACCTAGAGATTATGTTACCTAGAATGGGGTAGTACCCGGTTACTCACTGGTTCTGCTAATTCAAGAAAATTCTAATGATATTATGCAAGGCAGTAAGAGGCTGCATTTATTCAAAATTTCTATTGCAGATGAATTCCATAAAACCCGGGAAGGCTCAGCTCCTGGTGAGAACCCCCAGGTGGGGTGGAGCTGATGAGACCCCCCAGGTGGGGTGGAGTATATGCCTCTCTGCACCTTCTCAGACCTGACTTGTACATCCCGTATTTCATGTGGATCTTCGATAGATAATTGTCTTCCAGAATATTTTAAAACCTCCTCTAGGGCTGAAAATGAGTCTTACTCATCCCGTAGTAAGAACTTGGTGAGTGCTTGTTTATTCTAAGATCTGTGAAATCCTGTAACTCAGTGTAAGACCCTCCCAGCAGCAGAGGGATAAGCAAAAGGCAGCCAGGCACCGTTGTTTTGCTCCTTCGTGGGCACAAATATTGCTCACGTAATTATAATTTCATGTATGTGATTGAAAGTTTCTGACACATACCATGCTTACCCCAGTTCTAGCTACATCAATGATTCTCACATTTTGGTCAGTTGTATTTTAAAAACTCTTAATTCCAGTGAAAATGTATGGTAGAGAATTATTTGGGTTCTATGATTCTTTAGCTTGGGATTTTCAGACCCATTTTTAGCATTTTATGGCTGACTTTCCTGCCAATCACTAAAATGGAAGAGTATTGGGCTGAGCACACCTGACACAGACTGTCCCAAGAAAGGGCTGTTGTCTCGTTTCCAAGCAAACAACAGCCATGTTGCATAAATGCTTAAACCCTGTAGTTGGAAGAATTTAATGAAGACAGACCCTGATGCACGACATTAAATACATTCCCTTCTTTTAATAACTCAAGTTGATTTCAGATCGGGAATCACAGTCGTCTAATACTATGAAAATTAAACAGAAATTTTCTGCCATTACACCAAGCAGCCTGCTTAATAAATCAGTAATGAAAAAGAATAATTTATTATGGCTTGTGAATTCTGACAGCTCTAAAAAGATGTCCTTCCTCTTCCCCCAGAGGGAGAACGGAATTTTCTTTTTACCTTCAATACACTGGCATTAAGCATAATTTCTCTGTCTGTAGGACTTTACTACTGAAGAGTAGAAGGGATTAGATTTTTACATCACAACCTATTTTAAGCAATTATAATCCACAAGTAATCTTCCTCATTCATCCCCCCTGGGGCGAGGAAGATGTAAGAGACTGTTCTGGGGCCTCAATTTGGATCAGTGTTTGCATTCCTACTAGCTGAATTAGCTGGGATTCTGGAGTGTGGAGCCCATTTATCTCAGACGCTGTGGGAATGTGGGCCTCACTCACAAAAGGAGGTTTTTGCCAACTGAGTGCCATTAGTGCAGTCAAATAACATATGACCCCCATCCTTTGCCCTCAGACATGTCTTTTGGTCTTTGGCCTCCTTGTGCCAGTGCAGGAAGAAACTTCTCGCTTTGTGGGAAGCCATTTGGGAGTTAACGACCTGGCTTTCCTTCAATCCACTTACATTTCTGGTCATTCTCAGCATCAGGGAGTTGTGCACTGGAGTCTGTTCATACAGGCTTTTTTTTTTTTTCCAGGAATTTTGTGAGCCAGTTGTAAACACAGAATTATTAAAAATTAAATTACATAAATGTACATTTAAAGCAATTGTATTGGAAATAAAGGTAGAAGAGAACTCAGCTTCAATGCACTCCGTGATGACCTGTGCTCCTGAGGCTCACTGCGTGGAGGAAACGCTCGCCGGGGGCTGCAGGCATCTCTTCCCATCTCCGTCTGGTGAGTCATGTTGGTAACTTGAAGTTGCCCACGATGGGAGTATTTACACCATGGAAATTGGCAAACATGACAAATCAAGTGTGTTTATTGTATTTATTGTATTCTGGTCATTTTGTTTTCCTGAAGAGTTAATTGTTAAACCTTTACTAGCACACTGCTGGCAAAGGGGGAGGGGATGGATGAGAGCAAAGACATTCCTAGGCTTAAAATTAGCCATGGGAGGCTAGCACCTGCCTCTGAGAGCCACTAAAAGTCACTTATTTATTTACAATCTCTTTTATTTGTCCAACAGCTATTGTGTCCACAGCACTGGGGACATGGCCATAAGCAAGGCAGATGAGGGCTCTGCTCTTAGAGAGCTGACATTCTCATGGATTAAGCTCAATGGGTCTGACAAATTGACCAACGTGTTAGAGAATAGGGGGCCAGGTTAGACCAGATGGCCAAGGAAGGCCTCCCTGAAGAAAACTTGTTTTATTTCCTTCGTACCGCTTATCAAAATTAAAATATGCTTCTTTCTGTGTCATCCTATTGATGATCTGCTCCCCATGCCCCCAAGCCTTGAGTGTGTGCCCCATGAGGACAGGGACTTGTCTGTCTCACTCTCTATCCACAGGGTCTGCTGAGTCAAAGTGAGAACACGAGGCACGATAGATATTTGTTGAATGCATTAAATGGGACTTGAGCTGACACCTATGAAATGAAAATTATTCCTGGGAAGAGGCAGGATATGAGAGGCCCAGGCAGTGGGAATGGCACCTAGGAACCTCTGAGGTGGCAGAGGTGGCCACAGCAAAATGGAAAAGGAAGAGTGAGGTTAGACCAAGCACGCTCCCACAGGGGAATGGTTGGCAGAGCCCACGGTTCTCCTCTTCCTTTCCCATTCCTTCATCTCTACGTGGTTCATGGGGGAAAAGGCCATCAGCTTTACCTTCCAGTCCAGTAGTTCTTTCTTCCGCTGTATCTGATCTGATCTTCAATCCGTCTGAAGCAGGGCAGGCGAACCCCACACTGGGCTTAGCCCGGGAAGGATTTTGGCTGTGCTTAGGAGCGAGCTGGTGGTAGGAGGAAGCAGCTTTATGGAGGTGCAGGGTAGCAGCCCCGTGACCACCACACCACAGCAGAGCAGGGCCCACAGGCAGTGCCTGAGAGCAGCAGCCCAGGGCAGTTCTGCAGCCATATTTATATCTACTTTTAATTCCATCCCAGACAAGGGTGAGCTTATTCAGAAATTTCTAGAAAAAGGGTGGGAACTTCTGGGTCGTTGTCTTGCAAAAGGGGCAGTAACTTCTGGGTGTTGCCATGGCAATGGTAAACTGACATAACACTGGTAGGCGTGTCTTATGGGTGTTCCCATGGCAATGGTAAACTGACATTGCACTGGTGGGCGTGTCTTATGAAGGGCTGCTTTCACCTCCTTCCTGTTTTTCAGCCAGTCTTTGATCTGGTCTGGAGTGCGGACCCTGCCTCCAGAGCTATGCCCCGCCTCCTACTTCACATCCGTTGACTGTTTTATTTCCAACACTATTTTTTTAATCTTAGAATTTCTACATGCTTCTTTTGCAAATCCACACATTTTTAAGGTGTTCTATTCTTTTATAGTTTTCCATCCCTTTCTTTATGATCATTCTAAAGACTTCTGGGATAAATAAGTTCAACCTTGACATGATATATTATCCTTTTAATGTGTTACTAGACTCAGTATGCTAATATTTTGTCTATTTATAATTATATATAAGATTAGCCCATAACTTTTGGGCATAAGACTTTGCGATTGTCATATTTTTTCAATGATTATACCTCTGGTAATCTGAATATTCTTCTTTGGCTTTTTACTTTGAATTCATTGGTCTAAATTAATATTGCATTTTTATATCCCTTCCCTTTTAAACTTACTTCATCCTTGATATCCCTTTTGTAAACAGCATGTAGCTGAGTTTCTATTTGTACCCAAGTTGAAGGTGTCTTTCCTTTTATAGGGGAATTGGGTGAATAGTGTTTATTATCTCATGATGTCCTTACATGCTTGTATTTCTGTTTATTTTATGTTGTTTCTTTTCCACGTTTTGTTTTTTAAAAGTTGAGCTAAGCAAGTCTCATTTATTCCATTTAACTTTTTATAAACAACTGCTTTAGTAGTTATACATACTAGTTATATTTTTCTAGAGGTAATTTAAATTTTTAACCATCATATTCAATTTTAAATTTTTATTAATGTCTAATATTAATCAATAGCTTCACCCCACCAAACAAGAGTCTGGGCACACATTCAGTTCCGTCTCTACCACCTGTGGGCTCTCTGGGGTGCGGTCTCCTTCACCATCTTCATAGCCAGTAGCTCCTGGTGGAGCACTGGACACCAGCCCAGACTTTGATCTGATTCACCCAATCCCAACTGCTCATTTTCAGGTGTTTCTGGAAGTTTTCTCTTCTACTGATGGCATCGTTATTGTTTTCTACAGATATTTAGATATTTTTAAATATATATTATATTTTCCTGTAGTTTCTGGGGATTTGGAGCAAGAAAGGGAGGCACGTGTTAACATGTTTTTTTGATCAAACATCCTTTTTGAGAGCACTTTGTTGGTTTTAAAATATTTAGATAATTAATCTCTCTACTGTTTCCTTATCGATGGCCTTGAAAAATAGGTATTAGAATCTCAATTTTAGAGACAAGAAAATTAAGGAGCAGGGACATTAACTAATTTGTGTAAAGATATCCCTCTTGGTAAGGAGAAAAACGAGGGCTGGAAAACAGATTTTTCTGATATTTAAGCTCATGTTAATTCTGCTCTGAAAGGTGTGGCAGTTTTCTTTCCCCCTCCTCCTCCTCCTTCTTTTTCTCTTGTTCCTCCCCCTCCACTTCCTTCTGCCATTATCATTACCATCATCACCATCACTACCACCATCATTATTACCATCATCACCATCACCATCATCATCACCACCATCACCATCATCACCATCATCACCACCATCACCATCATCACTATCATCATCACCATCACCATCATCACATCATCACCACCATCACCATCATCATCACATCACTATCATCACCACCGTCACCATCACCACCATCACCACCATCACCATCATCACCATCATCATCACATCACCATCACCATCATCATCACCACCGTCACCATCACCACCATCACCATCATCACCACCATCATCACATCACCATCACCATCATCATCACCATCTTCACCATCATCACCATCATGCTCACCATCATCACCATCATCATCACCATCATCACTACCATCATCACTACTAGTTTCTTTACCCCTAAGGAACCCGTGAGTCTCTTGGAGGGCAGGGACCACTTTTTACCACCTTGGCATTTCCTGTACCTACTGCCTGGCCTAATGCCCACATTTGTAAATCTTTCTTCAATGTTTGTTTCTGCCTTTTGAATTTTAGCTTTCTGTGAGCAGATTTGTCTTGTTTACTAACATTTCCCATAGTGTCCAATAGATGCCAGGGACAGAGTGAGTATTCAGTAAATATTTATTCAATAAACGAATCAGTGTTTCATAGATGCTACAACCTACTACGATATAAAAATGAGAATGTAATTTGAAGACAGAAGGTAAGAAAAAAAGCTCAATTAGAAATTGGGTTGTTATGTAAACCTAAAATATAAAAATTTAGTTTCACTAGTATAACACCATGACAGGATGATTTAGTTAGTGATCTCTAAAATCATCACAGCTGAAAAACATCTTGCTCTATATTCACTACGTGGTATACTATGAAGCCTCCTTCTGTGCATTTAAAAAAAATAAAGACCTATCACTTGGACTTAATTTTTCCACTGCATTTCATCATGTTAAATGTCTGGCCACTGCATTACTACCACAATGGGAATTGTTACTAGGAAGCTTAGATTCAAATTAAGGTAGTTCCAAGGACTTTATTAATTAGCACGTTCAAAAAGCATCCGTTGAGTTTCTCCAGGATACCAAATATTATGGGCAGTGCAAGACCGATAAATAAATAAGATATAGTTCCTGTTATTAACATCTTTACATGTCATCGGTGAGGAAAATGTGGCACCCTTCATGACTGTGTAAGTCCTCTTATTGGGGAAGTTCTCGGCTTGATGGGGGAGTCTTGTTTGCCCAGCTCTTCACAGGAAAAGGGCTTGGCATTAACATGACCTCACTGGGTTTCTCTCCAGGTTTCAACTTGTGCCTCCTGGGAGTAAAGCTGTACACCTTCATTATGCAACCTCGTCCTGCACCCATCAGCCCCCACCCTTCATACCTACCCTTTTAATCTTTCAAGAAGTGAAAAAAGTTGGCTTAACCTCAAACATCCTTTACACCAGGAGAAATGTAACGATGATTGATGGTTATTCTAAATGATCTGGGGTCGAGGATAATATTTAATTCTGCTTTGTGTCCTCTTTGGCGGGTGGTAAATGTTGGTTACATGAAAAATATCGCCCTTGTCCCCAGGTGGGGACCATGAGATTTCTCTAATGCAAAGTGACTATTTTTCCCTTTGTGAGTTATGAGTATCTTGCAGGGAAACACTTTGAGACTCTGCAAGTATCCTGTTTCTCATCGAACTTTCACCCACTAGTTTCAGCATCCCTTGATGATTATTGTCGGAAACAATTATGACGGTAATATTGTTGAATGGTGATTTGGCAAATCACCTTTACATGTACATGTAGGGTAATCTTAAAACAAAATTAAATCTAGAGGGATTCTGTGCAGGAAGAACCTGCATAGAACATTCATCCAAATTCCTAGATGGGCTAATTAATAAAGTCCTTGGAACTATCTCAATTTGAATCTAAGCATCTTAATAACATTGTGGTAGCAATGCAGTTGGCAGACATTTAGGACAAAAGAATGATGCAGAAAAGTTAAATCCAGGCAATAGGTTTTTATTTTTAAAAAATGCACAGAAAAAGTCTTCACAGTTATCCAGGTAGTGAATACAGAGCAAGACGTTTTTCAACTGTGATGATTTTGGAGATCACTAAGTCATCCTGTCATGGTATTTTACTAGTGGAATTAAATTTTTATACTTTAACTTCATATGACAGTTTCTTTTACATGTGACCATGCATTGCAAAAAACCTTACCTTCATGACTCTTGTACCTTTTAGCTGTATGACCTTTTCATGTTCCTTATATTCTCTGAACTTTATTTTACTTATTTGTAGATTGGGAATAATAATAGTAATTGACTCATAGGGGCTGCCTGAAAATTAACTTAAACAATATGTGTAAAGTTCCCAGATGAGTTTGTGATAAACAGCAGATATTCCATCAAAGTTTGCTATGAATGTTGTTGTATTTACCAACATTTCTCAACACTGATGGGATCTTAAAACAAAATTCAATCTTGAGGGATTCTGAGCACGAAGAAAGAAGATGTTGCAATGCCATCCTGAAGTGAGCAGTAAAGTTGTTCACAAAGGCAAAGACCGCAAATCCCTGCCAGGGAGCGGCAGGCTCCTCCTGAAAGGACTTAAAGGCCGCTGGGAAAGCCGAGGGACTCCAGCTTACATTTTTTCCAGCTCCTCAAAGCACACATCTGTGGGCCCTGATAGAGGGACCCTGCTTGCTTTCTTCTGTAGAGATAAGAGATATGCCAGAAATCACCCCTGTGGAATTATTATGTGAAATTGGGAATTAGGCCATCTGACGACTTTCTTGTGAAATGAGAGCATCCCGAGGAATACCATTATTTAGGAACATCTTCCTGTCTGCATTTGGGTTGGAGTGTATTACTGGACGGGGTGTTTACGTGTGTGACAGTGGATGGAGCCGCAGAAGGTCAAGTGAAGGTGTTTACTTCTGGGTAAGAGGGAGATACAAGATCCTCATAAAACCACATCATGAAGCTTCTCTTCCGGATCATGGCTGCAAGTAAGTCACTTCAGTTTCTGGTGAGTAAAATCCATCTCTGCCCAGCATGCTCTTGCAGAATGCGAACCCCTTGGACTGTCGCTGTTTTTAAGACAAGCAGCAGAAGACCAGACCATGGGTTAGAAAGCCTTGGCTTCAGTCCATATGTCAGTTGGGCAAAGCAACTTTGTAAAAGTCCAGCTCCTCTAATTCTCCTGATCTATGAAATGGGGATAATTGGAGGTATAATAATTGTGCTGGGTTGAAAATTCATGCTCACCAGGAAACACAGAATGGACCTTGTTTGGAAAGAGGGTCTTTCCAGATGTGATTCGTAAAGATGAGCGGTGGGCCCTAATCCAGTGATCGGGGTCCTTAGAAGAAGAAAAGAATTTGGACACAAAGAGACACAGAGGCCAGCATCATGTGAAGAGGGAGACAGATGGAAGTGAGGTGTCTACCGGCCAAGGAGCAGTGAGGATTGCTGGAAATTCCAGGCACTAGAGAGAGGTGTGGGACAGACTGTCTCTCAGAGTCTCCAGAGAAACCAACTCCAGTGGCACCTCAATCTTGGACTTCTGGTCTCCATAAATATGAGAAACAAATTTCTGTTGTTTTAAGTCACTGCATTTGTGCTACCTTGTTACAGAAGCATGAGGAAACACGAGACATTAAACAGCCACCGCATGGTGTCTTTCTGAGGCTCAGTTTGAATCATACACAGAAGACCTTCAAAGGTTAGTGGTATGTTCATATATGGGTTGTGACCGTGACCCTGGGAGACAGAGTCCAGGTTCACACTTGCAGCTCTTGCACTCAACTGCTGAGGGCTTTGGGTAGCTCCCGGGTTCTTCCGAGCCTGAGATTCCTGGTCTATAATCAGGAGCCACCTCTACCTCGTGTTGTCGGGAAGATGTAATGGGGACAGCATGTAGAGGGCCTGTCACCAAGGAGGCACCTGGGAGATAATAAAGGCTGTTATTATTATTATTTATGGAGAATCCCTTGTGCTCGCTTTCACCCTGCATTTGCTGTTTGGGGCAGTTATTGGGATCACTGAGCAATACTTAGTGTGTACTTATGAAGCACCTCACTCTGCCAGTGGGTGTCAAGGAATTGTAACCAGGGCCCTCAGCCCTGGAACGGTAAACAGCATAGAGAGGGGAGAGAGGATGGGAGCTGGTGCTCTGCGGCCATGCCCATCTGCACTGCACCATGGAAAATGCATGCTCCCATCCAAATGGGCAACAGTCTCCCTTCTTATGAGTGGGCAATACTCTCCCTTCTTATGAAAGATCGAAGTGAGACCATCCTAGACTCCTGAGATTGGAAACGGGTGACTGTCAAGTGGAGTGGGAGCTGGAAGTGGCAGGACTCCTGTCCCTTTCTGAGATGGAAGGGAGCACACATCGGAGTGGGTGGGTCTGTTGCGCATATTTGAACCCAGTAGTGCTGAACTTATGTGCTCTCAAAATCCTGCAAATACTATTTTCTTCCAAATGAACAAAACCTGCTCCTTGGACGAACCCATTGAAGTCTGCAGGATGCACTTCTGTGAGATTTGGGCTTTTACAATGGAAGTTTAGGTAGGGGAGGCTTTGCTTTCTAATCAGGTACATCAAACACAGTCAAAATCCCTTCTAAGGTTCTTCTTGAAAAGTCAATGAATGGATCATGATCAAAGTGTTTGAATTTTTCTGTGTCCCCAAATAACACAATTCTTGATGATACATTAAAAGAGGACTGTATGTAAAGGAATAAGGACGCTTCTTTATTTGGGTTTTCAGCACGCTGTAGTGCTAAGCTCGCCAAAGTCCATTGAGTATATCATCTCTTTCTTCTTTTATCCTAAAAAGAACCTTCTAATCTATTGTCATGACCATACTGTGTTTATAATAAACCCAGCTGATAAATTATAATGTTATTCATTCATTCAACAAGTGACTCCTGTGCCCCTACTGTGTGCCAGGTGCTGCTCAAGGCACTGAGATGCCAACGCAGAATGAGACACACAGACCCCTGCCTCCCTGACCCACCCTTGCAGGCATGGACACAGGTGTTCAGTGTGATCCCAGTTAGCGTCTCTCATGTGCTAGATGAGGACAGGGTTCTGGAGACATAAAAGCAATGAAGACAGGGAGCTGGGGTCACAGGCTGAAATTCTGGACAGCGATTGCAGAAGAGGCCTCCTGGGGAAGGTGACATGAGAGCAGGGTTTAAGGAGGAAAGGGGACCAGCTGGGCAAAGGTTGGAGGGAGGAGCATCCCAGCTGAGGAGACAGCACCTGCTGAGGCCCCGAGGTAGGCCAACCTGGCCCTGGAAGGATCTGTGGAAACTAGAGCAGAATTAGCCAAGAGGAAAGCAGGAGGGGCTGAGGCCCGGATCACAGGAGGCTGTGTGGACCCTGCCGGTGCCACGGCCTCTGCTCTAAGTCAGGTGGGGAGTTACTGGAAGTGAGGAGCAGAGGAGTGACAGGAAATGATGGGGCTGTTACAGGACCACCAGGGCTGCTGTGTGGACAGGCAGCTGCGGCAGCTACCAAGAGCAGAAGCAATGATGCCGGCCTGGAGGCTGCATGTGTGTCCATATCTACAACTCGGTCTACACCACACCTGCATTTCCATCGCTGTCACTTCTATCGTCATCTATATCCAGGTAGGAGGCTGTATGTCCATATCCACAACCTGGTCTACACCACACCCACACCTACATCTCCATCACTATTACCTCTATCATCATCTCCATCCAGCCCGGAGGCTGCACGTGTGTTCATATCTACAACCCAGTCTACACACCCACACCTATGTCTCCATCGTTGTCACCTCTACCATCATCTCCATCCAGCCTGGAGGCTGCATGTGTGTTCATATCTACAACTTGGTCTACACCACACCTGCATCTCCATCACTATCCCCTCTATCATCATCTCTATCTATATTAATATCTGTCTATCTATCTATCACCTATCATCTATCCAGCTCTACCTACCTACCTGTCATCTATCATCTATCTGTCCATCTATCATGTATCACCTATCTGTCTATAAGTTATCTATGTCTATTTATTCATCTATCATCTATCTACCTACCTTCATCTATCTTCTACCTATCTATCCAGCTCTATCTATCCATCCATGTATCTATGTATGTATCTATCATCTATCTATTCATCTACCTATCATCTACCTATCTATCCATATATCTACCTATCTATAATCTATCTGTATCTATCTATCTATCTCCTCATCGATCGTCTGTCAACCTGTTATCTATCTACCTGTCTATCATCTATCTTCCTATCATCTATCTATTCATCTATCATCTACCTATTGTCTATCTATCTATTCATCTCTCTACCTATCATTCATCTATCTATCTATCTCCCTTTATAATCTCCTTATCTATAATTTTTAACCAGCTGCAGAGGAGTCGGTGAGTTGTACCCTCCACTCATGACATGTGGACATCATGAGCACTGTTTGTTTCCTGCTGCTGTTGTAATAAATGACTGCAAATGTCATGGTGATTAAAACGCCACCAGCTCACGCTCTCACAAAGTCTGAAATGGGTCTCCCTGGGCTGTCTGCAGCTCCTGCCCCGACCCCATGCCCACCGGCTTTGCTGCCATCAAGGTCCCCATGGGCCTCTGCCTGCAGAACCCAATGCTGGTCCTCAGTCTTCTCCCTGCTGGAGCGTTCAGCCCTCTGTGGCCCTGGGAAGAATTTCCTTGTCCTTAGACGTGATTTCCCCTTGGCTTCAGGAAGCCACCCTTTGCTTTTCCTTCTGCCCTATAAGCTGCTCTCTCCCAGGGCCTACTGGGCCCTCCTCTTCCCCTGGACCAGAGGACCCTGGAGCACCCAGAGCCCAGGCCAGCCCTCTCATGTCCACCTCCACCCCCAATCGGGGGGTCCATCTCTTCTCACGGCTTTAATGACCACCTCTCTGGCAACGACTCCCAAGTGGATATCATCAGCCTGAACCTCAGCCTAAACCCCAGACTTGCCAGTCCCCATGGCTCCCTGACAGCTCCTGGCGGAGGTCCAATGGGCATGCAGAGGGAGGGCTTTGACTGGAGGAATAAGGACAGGAAGTAGGAGGCAGCCGGCGTGGGCAGTGCTTCCCAGGAGCTTTCCTGAGCAGGGAAGTGGAAGTGGTGCAGCAGCTGGACGGGAGAGCAAGGTCCAAGAAGGTGTGAGATTTATTTTTATTTTTATTACTTTTGTTTTAGGTTCAGGGGTACATGTGCAGGTTTGTTATATAGGTAAATTGTGTGTCACGGGGATTTGGTGTACAGATTATTTCATCACCCAAGTTATAAGCATAGTACCTGATAGGTCGTTTTTCCATCCTCACCCTCTTCCCTCCCTTCACCCGGTGTCTGCTGGTTTCTTCTTTACGTCCGTAGGTATTCAATGTTTAGCTCCCACTTACGAGTGAGAACATGCAGTATTTGGTTTTCTGTTCCTGTGTTAGTTTGCTTAGGATAACAGCCTCCAGCTCCATCCACGTTGCTGCAAAGGACATGATCTTGTTATTTTTATGGCTGCATAGTATTCCATGGTGTATATGTACCACGTTTTCTTTTCTTTCCACTTTTTCTTATTTTTTAGGCTGTTTCTTTTTTATTATTTCAATTGTTTGGGGGTATAGGTGGTTTTCAGTTACAAGAATAGATTCTTTAGTGGTGATTTCTCAGATTTTAGGGCACTCATCATCTGAGCAGTTGTACTGCATTTTCTTTATCCAGTCTATCATTGGTGGCATGTAGGTTGATTCCATGTCTTTGCTATTGTGAATAGTGCTGTGATGAACATATGTGTGTATGTGTCTTTATGGTAGAACAATTTATACTACTTGGGGATATACCCACTAAGGGGATTACTGGGTCAAATGGTAATTCGGTATTAAGTTCTTTAAGAAATCGCCACACTGCTTTCCACAGTGGCTAAACTAACTTGCATTCCCACCAGCAGTGGCTAAGTGTTCCCTTTTCTCTGTAACCTCATGAGCATCTGTTATTTTTTGACTTCTTAGTAATAGCCATTCTGACTGGAGTTAGATGGTATCTCATTGTGGTTTTCATTTGCATTTCTCTAATGATTAATGATGTGGAGCATTTTTTTCGTATGCTTATTGGCCACAAGTATGTTTCTTTTGAAAAGTGTCTGTTCAACAGTTTCTCAGACTTTCCTTACGTTTGATGACATTGACAGTTTTGAGAAGTATTGGTCTGGTATATTGCAGAATGTCCCTCTACTGGAATTTGTCTGAAGTTTTCCTCATGCTGAGACTAGAGTTATGGGTTGTGAGGAGGAAGATCACAGAGGTAGAGTGCCATTTCCATTACATTATATCAAGGGTGTATAATATCAACATGATAAATGCCTGCTGATGTTGACATTCATCATCTGTCTAAAGTAGCGTTTGTCAGGTTTCTCCATTGTCAAATGTGTTCCTTCTGTCCCTACTGTCTTTGGACGGATGTTAATATGATCATCCCACACTTAGGGAATAGGGAGTTATGCTTCCTCTCCTCACTGGTGGAGTGTCTACATAATTGATGTGCAATTCTGCACACATTTGTCTCTTCTCCTCTATTTACTAGTTTTTCTCAAATATTTATTTTATATTTATAAACAAATATGGATATTTGTTTTATACTTTGGGTTTTAATCCAACACTATTTTCTTGCTCAGATTGTTCCATATTTGGACATTGGAAGCTCTTTTACCACATAGATCACTCTAGCCTTTCCCCTTTGCTTGTCTGTAACCTCCAATTCCAACAATAAGAAGCCTGGCTCCCACCATAGGCCATTTACTTCATTGTTCAATTCAAAGTATATGTGTATAGTGGTATCAGAATTGTTAGCCTGTACCTTCAATAGGAAACAATTCTGTCAACAAGAATAAAGTGCTTATCTGTAGTTAGTTTTGCCTTTAGTCTTACAAATTCCATTTATTTCTAAAGTTACACAGGTTAGCACCTTTTCTACACCCTTTTCAGTGAGGTTGTTTCATATATTTATAATACAGTTAGATTTTCTGGTCATGGTCTACTAGTCTTTACTAGGATCACCTGACCTCTTCAATAACTTTTTAAAATTTTTCTTACTTTAAGGTTCACTCTCTGTGTTGCATAGCATTTGTGTTTTGGCAAATGCATGATGTCATGCATCCCATATTACAATATCATACAGAGAGCAGTTTCATTGCCATAAAAATCCCTGTGCTTCATCTATTCCTCGCCACCACCTGCCATCCAACCCCCAAACCCCTGGCAACCACTGATCTTTTTTCTATCTCTATAAATTCACCATTTCCCAGCAATGTAATGTAATGGGAATAATACAGCATATAAGTATATGGCCTTTTGAGACTGGGATTTTTTACTTAGCTATGTACCTTTAAGTTTCTTTCATATCTTTTCATGTCTTGATAACTCACTTCTTTTGATTGCTGAACAATATTCCATTGTGTGAATTTGTCATAGTTCATTTCCCATTCACATATTAAAAGGTGTATGAATTACTTCCAGTTTTGGGTGATTATAAAGCTTCTATAAACATTTATGTCCAGGAATTTGTATGGACTTAAGTTTTAAACTCAATGGGTCAATATTTAGGAGCACAATCACTTGATTGTATGATAAGACTATGCTTAAAAAAAGCAAAAGACAACAACAAAAAAAAAACCTGCCAAAGTGTCTTCTAAGTTGCTGACTTATGTTGCATTCTTACCAGTAATGAATGAGGGTTCGCGTTCCTCTGAATCCTCCCCAGTATTTAATATTGCCAGGTTTGGGGACTTTTAAGCATTCTAATAGACGGACAGTGGTATCTCGTTGTTTTATTTTGCAATTCCCTAATGATGTCTGATGATAAGACTTTTTAAAATGTTTATTCCCCATTTGTATATTCTCTTTGGTGAGGTATCTGTCCACATCTTTTGCCCATTTTTTAATAGGGTGGTTTACTTTTCTATTGTTGAGTTTTAAAAGTTCTTTGTCTATTTTTGGATACAAGTCCTTGATCAGATATGTATTTTGCAAATATTTTATCTCAGTCTGTTTCTTGTCTTTTCATCCTCTTAACAGTATATCAAAGAATAACATATTTTAATTGTAATGGAAAAAAGTGTCTGTTCATGTCCTTTACCCACCTTTTAATGGGGTTGTTTTTGCTTGTTGTTTGTTCCTATGGGTTCTGGATATTAGACCTTAATCGGACGCATAGTTTGCAAATATTCTCTCCCATTCTGTAAGTTGCCTGTTTACTCTGTTGGTAGTTTCTTTTGCTGTGCAGAAGCTCTTTAATTAGGTCCCATTATTTTTATTTTTTTAAGATTGCCTAAGAACACATCTGAAGGCTGATGGGAAAGATGGAGAAAAAAGGGAAAGATGGGTGAGAGAGAGAGGAGAATGGTGGGAGGGAGTCCTTGAGTAGGCCAGAGAGATTAGCATCCAGGCACTAATGGAAGTGTTGGAGGATTCTTGGAGTGTCAAGAAAGAAATGGGAGAAATGACTCGGTTCTCCAGATACCCTGGGAGACTGCTCCAGAGGCAGCGCCATCCATCTGCGGCTCATGGGAAGGGTGGAGTTTGTTTATGGTTTAATTAATAAAATAAATGCTGTCCTATCATCCATGGTTACCAGGAGTTGGTGAAAGTAGACATCAGGCATGGTGTGTCTTCTGGGAATAAGTGCTGGGCATTCTCCTCTCCCAGGAGATCCATCCCAAGGCCCCTGTGTATCATCTGATGCTGACCTTCTGTCTCCTCATCCAGGAGGAGGGGAGGGCGTCAAGGATTGTGAGGTGGTCTTTCTCCCACACCACGGTGCCCACCATGTCTGCAGTGGGTTAATGCCCAGGTTCACTGGAAGGCCCGGCTGAAACCACAAACCCCCTTCACTAGGAAATCAGGCTCCTTCTGGAATCTAGGAGAGAAGTCAGAATCCACTGATTCTACTGGTGGGGACTCCTTTGGAAATATGGATCTGAGAGCGTCCCAATGACGCAGGTGCGATGAGGCCAGGTAATCTCCGGAAGTCTTAACAACTCCTCCAAACAGACTGAATTTGAATGGTGACAAGCTGCTTTCTCTCCTCTTTGAGAAAAAGAAGCCAAACCATCTAAATTCCCTCGTGTGATCCCATGTTTTTATACAAGAGCTCCTGGATTTTTCACTTCTCCTTTCTAGCCACTCCCTGTGTCCGCTACAGAACATGATCTGTATGGAGAGAAAGGTTTAGTGCAGAGGAAACATGAAATCAGGCCAGACCAGAGGCACAGAAGAGGAGAATCCTGAGTTCCTAACAGTTCCGTTTTGCTACGAATGAGACCTGCAAAATGGATCCTTGTCCTTTGGGGTTCCTCCAGAGACTGATTTTAATCAGCGAGGCATTTTCACAGGTGGCTGTCACCCGTCTGCATGGGCATTTCTGCTTGATGCTCAGAACTGAAAGGGCCCATCTCCATCTGGACTGTGTTTCCACCACCTCCATCACCTGCCCTATTTAGATTTTCCAGGAAGGCAGTGAGTGTCTCCGGCATAAAACCCGCTCGCCTTTCAGTGGTGAAGGGTCAAGGCCAGGGAGCTTTCTGACTGCGAAATTGCCGGTTGCTTCTCTCACTTTCCTCCTCCATGCAGCTCGGTGGCCCTTTCTCTTTCTCGTTGGTCCAATTTCTCACCCTCTCTCCTTTTTGTAGAAATACTGAGTCTGTTTCGTGTCCTCCCAGGAGCTGTTAGACACTGAAATCTGCAGCTGAGCTGAATTCAGGTTGGAATGCTGCACCCTTTTCTAGTTGCAAAGACGCACAGGGTTAAAAGAAGGAAGAGCATCCCAAATAGGCTTAACAGAAAGGAAGCCGGGATCCCCAGACCACAAAACCAGTGCAGGTGGGGAGGCCGTGCAGAAATGTGTGTGTCCTTCTCATGTCAGAATCTTAAAAACGTTTTATGAGCAAAGTTAATGGAGAAGGCAAGATGTTTAATGAATAATAAAGTCGGGCCATATGCTTTATCCAGAGAAAAGAGAGAAAGAAGTACATGTGTGCATGCACACACACACCACACACACATGCACACACACACACACACACACACACACACAGAGAGAGAGAGAGAGAGAGAGAAGCTGCAACGCATTCTTTGTTAACCCAACCACAATCCAATTAATGATGAAAGCATTTTAGCCTTGTTCCAGAACATAGGGGAGATGTTTCAGATCTGTTTCTGTTACCTCTTAGGGGACCTGAAAGGAAATCCCTACTCCAAAATATTTTCCAAATTAAAGTGTCTAACAATCAGCTCTGTCAACAAATGCCTTTTCCTCTCCCTGAGTTCAGTGCTGGCATATTTTCAGAGGTGGAATTTGTAGTTATGTCTATAAAGCACCGACTGCCCCTAGGGTGAGAAGCCCTCATGGTGCCAGCCCATCTTCTTTAAGCCTGTTTTCTCCAAAGAGTTCTTAAAAGGCATTTTCCCAAATCTGGAGGTGAAAGGCCCCCAGGGCCATAATATCCATCGTCATCTTCTAAGCAAGAACACACATGGCTTATCCTGAAGATGAATTCACACGGCAAAACTTCTCTATATGTTTCTGGGTGGCTGCTCCGGATTTGTACAAATTTCCCACCCATTAAATCCAAGATTTCTGCTCTCTCCTCCACAAGAAAAAATAAAGAACATAAGCCAAAATGCCCCCAACATCCACACTCTCTGATTATAAACAAAATCCACAGTGATCCCCATCTCTTCTTTGGAACAAAATCCTTCTTCCTTCCCAAAGAGTCACCTCTACTGGACGCTTGGTATTCATTCCTTCCTCTTAATTCTTGCAGCCAGGACTTCTCTGTAGGAGCCGAATGCCCCCCACCCCCTTCACTGCCCTTCCCTCCAAGGTTTCTCAAGCTATGACTACCCTCCTACCAGGTGGCCCAAGCGCCCTTTCCCCCACCCCGCCCCCCAAACCTGCAACCAGTCTGTGTCTCAAATCCCCAACGTTCTCTAATGGAACTTATGTCTAAAAAGTCACCTTGGACCGTCCATGGTCAAATGGCTGGGCTAACTGCCCCTCCTATCCTGTTTGATGTCCTAGGAGCGTGTCACACTGTTGCCCACTCTCCTCCAGAAATTCCTCCTTCCTGGATTTCTGTGCATGGAGGACTCCTCCCTTCTCTGCTTTCTCCTGACCCAGATGTTGTTGCCCTGAGTCCCCTTCTGGGTCAGCCCCTCCTTCCCTGACAGACCTCCTCTCCCATGGCTCCTACCACACTCTGAGCTCTAACTCTGGTGCTCCCCCAGACCTGTCCCCTGAGCTGGTGCCTCATTTCCCAAGGGCTCCCTGACACACTGCCTACTCACCTTCAAGCAGCTGCGATGAAACATATCTAAAATTAAACTCACTGTGGCGCCCTCACACACACCTGGCTCTGGTCCGGATGTCATTCTCCATGTCAATGACTTCCTTCCACCTGCCCTTCCTACCCTTCCATAACCGGTTGTCCTGTCCCATCTCTTTGAGCTCTCAGAGCTGGGTCTTCCTCTGCCTGAACTATGGCAGCAACCCCTACACTACTCCCAGTGGCAATTTCTTCACCCTCCAGCTTTTCTTTTGTTTTGGAAACATGCATCAGACTCTCCAGTGATTTCCAAAGGCATCATCTTATTTAATCCTCAAAATAACCTTTCAAGGCAAGAGGACGACTTGAGCCCAGGAGTTTGAGATAAGCTTGGGCAACATAATGAGACCCTGTCTCTACAAAAATAAAAATTTAAAAATTAGCCAGGCATGGTGGGGCACACCTGTAGTCCCAGCTACTTGGGAGGCTGAGGTGGGAGGATTGCTTGAGCCTGGGAGGTGGAGGTTGCAGTGAGCTGAGATCACACCACTGCACTCCAGCCTGGGCAACAGAAAAAGATGCTATCCCCAAAAAAACAAACAAACAAAAAACCTTTTAAGGTTGGTACTCATATCTTCCCATTTTACAGCCAAGATGAGGGAACAACTTGCCTAAGGTCCCATAGATATTACTGGAAATGCCCCAGTTAACATTCACAGCATTTATTCAGCCTCATTTATTTACATCTACAGATTGTGTTTCCAGTTATACTACTATTCCCAAAGCTGTTTATATATTGATTTAAATAAAGGGTTCTTCTTTTGGTACATGAAGCTGTGTAAATTTTACACTTGTGTTTCATATTAACAGTTCTTTCCCTGTGCACCAGGAAACCGGGCTCATCACATATGCTCATGTGATCAAGACAAAGCACCTTAAATAAATAAATAGTCTTGAGACTGTGGAAATATATGTAGCACAGTGGTTAATTGTCCCCTCCTGCTGTGTGGGCTTTAGCTGGAATTATTATACACATGCATACACACACATGTGCACTCTTACTGGCAGACATGCATGTTCACATATGCATTCACACATGTTCACATATGAATTCACATATGAACACACACCCCACACGTGCACATATATGCACATGCTTACATGCACACACATCCCACACACATATGCATGCATGCATACGCACGCACACACACACATACACACCCCTTACCTTTCCTCGCTTCAAAATTTAGAGCTCTATTCATTCTACATTACTTAGATTTCCTTTTTATCATCCTCACTTGCAAAGCTGTCTATTTTTACATTCATTCCAAGGGCATCATCTAATGATACGCAGTAGGGAGTCACGGGCTTTTTTAAAAAGCACAGCTCTAAAGTTTGTGGAATAAATGTAAATGTGTTCACTTGTATGGAATTTTTTTCATAGTAATATATATTTTGATACTCTTTATTATATATAGGACAGTATATAGTATAGTACAGATACAGAAAATTGCATTAAGAAAGTGTACTGCCTAGTGAAATAATATAACCAAAACTTTCATAGCTGCCATCCAAGTCAAGAATTAGGACATTGTCAGCCCCTCGCCGCTCCCCACTCCCAGATGCTGTTCCAGGCACCACCCTGCACTCCACTTTGGAAGTCGCCGCCACTCTTATTTCTTCATAATCAATCCCTGGTTTTCCTTTAGAGTTTCATCACTCAAGTGTGCATTCTAAGCACTGTAGTTTGGTTCCGTCCACTTTAGCATGTCTCGTAAGTCTCTTTTAATTGACATTGCTTTTGTCTCTTTTTTCTTTTATGCATAATTTATTTGTTGAAGATACCAGGCTGTTTGACATGCTGAGGTCCCGTGGTTAGGATTCTACTGAAAGCATCCCCATGGTGTAGTTTAACCTGTTCCTCTGTTCCTCATCTTTCCTGTAAACTGGGAGTTGGACTGATATATTCAATCAGATTTAGGGGGGCAGTTTCTTAGGTGGTGTGGTGTTTACCCACCAGGAAGCACATGGTGATCCATTGTCTCCCTTTTTATGATGTTAGCAGTCATGGGTCCTCAGTGCTTAGAACCAAGATCTTCCTAGAAGTAGTGAAATGATGACACTGTAATTCTACCATATGTTCCTTACTAGCTGGAATAATTTCATAAAAAGGCCATTTCTTTAATGTTTTATTTGATTTTGTAGTGATACAGTTCATATCGGACAGTTCATATAGTACAGTTATTTCTCTTTTGCTACCAATTTTTGAAATAATGAGTGAGTTTAACATTCAAAGGCCATCAATTCCATTTTTGCAGCAACATCATGAGCTTGTGGGTTTAACATGTTCCATGTGTTTTCACTCATTGCTGTTGCTGTTTGTGGCAGTCTGTTCTTGCATTGATATAAAGGAATGCCTGAGACTGTAATTTATTAAAAAAAAAAAAGAGAGAGAGAAGTTTATTTGGCTCATGGTTCTGCAGGCTATACAGGAAGCATGGTGCTGGCATCTGCTTCTAGTGAGGGCCGCAGGGAGATTCAATCATGGTGGAAGGTGAAAGGACAGCAGGTGTGTCACAGGGTGAGACAGAAAGAGCAAGGGGAGGGGAGGTGCCAGGATCTTTTATATTTTTGTTTGAGACAGAGCCTCTGTTGCCCAGGCTGGAGTACAGTGGCATGATCACGGCTCAGTGCAGCCTTCAACTCCTGGGCTCAGATGATTCTTCCACCTTGGCCACCCAAATAACTGGGACTACAGGCATGTGCCACCATTCCCAGCTAATTATATTTTTTGTAGAGATGGCGGTCTCACTATATTGCCCAGGCTGGACATGAACTCCTGAGCTCCAGTGATCCTTCTGCCTTGGCATCTCACAGGGCTAGGATTACAGGCATGAGCCACTGTGCCCAGCCACCAGGTTCTTTTAAACAAACGGATCTTTTGTGAACTAATGGAGTGAGAACTTGCTCATCATCACCAAGGGGATGGCACCAAGACATTCATGAGCTATCTTTCCCCATGAACCAAACACCTCCTTCCAGGCCTGACCTCCAACATTGGGAATTACCTTTCAACAGGAGATTTGGAGGGGACAAATATCCAAACTGTAGCATTATTCTTGATCTGATTTTCTCAACTTTGCACAATGGGATCCTCTTTCCGTTGGCTCTAGAGAGTCTCTTCTTCACTCTGTAAATCTTTGATAACATAGTTATATGGCATGACAGGAGGCTCCAGGCTCATCCTATATCTATTATATATCATAGATAGATAGATAGATAGATAGATCTCCTGTATCTTTCCACTCAGATCTAGGATCAGCCATTTCTCAGTAAAGTCCCATTTTGTTTATTTGTCTTTGTTTGTTCATTTTAGTTGGGGAACAGATTTCAAGATCACAGTATGGAGGCTGGCATTGCCCATATCTGTTTGTCTCTTGTGAATTCTAGGCCTTTTCAGGGGACAGAGCTAAACAATATATGTTTCCATATCTAAAGCTGTAACAAAAAAAAATCTCCCAGGTTCATACTGTTCCTTCCAGTTTCACTTGGGCCCTACAAGTTTTTCAACTTGATATTTCCTGTTTTATACTAGTTTGGGTGGTTTTCCATGCTAGCAATCCTGGTTCTCAAGACCACAGAGCTTGATAGAATCCTAGATAAAGCAGCTTCATATAATTATTCATTTGCTGCATTCCACCACCACACACATAGCTGTCTCAGAATAACAATACCAATACTACTTCCACTGAAAATAGTAAGAAATCAAAACAAAACAAAACGTGTGCAGATGTTTCCCCACCAGCTTTCCTTTTGCAGGTAGTCTTCCTCTATTTCCCTTGTCAGGGCACACAGTGATTCCACACCAAACTTTCCTTACTATGGCACTGAATTAGACTTATCTACAAATAACTTCATGTTTAGAGCACACTATTAGTTCTTATGTCCACAGCTCTCTGGTCATTTTTGTTGTCTAAGCTCATTCTATGATAGATTCTCAAGAAGGACTCTTGAAAGCAATACTGCCTGAGTTCTCACAGGTGACGGCAACCTTGATTCTCAAAAGTCAGTTGCGCTGGGTATAAAATCCCTGGCAACATTTTCTTTTTTTTTGAATTAGAAATGCTGGCATTGAAAATTTTATGACAATTTAATTTTCTTTTTTAAGTGACATCATAATTTTGATTTTATTCTTAAAATATTTTATCCTTCTTTTGAAAATAAGTACTTTTATTGACCATTTCTCATTGTTAGTTGTTTGGGGGCAAATTACTTAGGTATGTGATATACCCTATTAATACAGAGATCAGTTTTTTTTTATCTCAGGAAAGTTTTTATTGAATGTTAGTGTTTATGCTTTTCCCTTGCTTGGATTTTCTTCTTTAGATACTTAGATTTTAGGTTTACGGGATCTGCATTGCCTTATCTTCTAAATTTGTCACTTCTCTAAAATCTTTTTCACACTTATTCATTTCTTTTTAGTTTTCAAAATGTCCTCCTTTTCAACTTCTGTAACTATTAAAAGATTCTGTTGTGTTTATTCACTCTTGTTTTTCTTTTAGTTTACTTTTCATTACTGAAAGAAAAGTCTTTTATTTATAATTCTTTCCTGAATTATATCATCTCATTTCTGACTTTTTCTAATTCTGAGTTATATTTTTCTTTTTCATCTTGCACTTTTTAAAAAAAAAAAAAGAGCAACATTTTCTTCTGATCGATGCATATGTTTTTCTGGTGTGCTCTCCCTCTCTGTAGGTATGTTTTTCTGCTTCTAGCTTATTTTATGTGATTATGTGTATGGGTTTATATCTCAGTTGCTTCTGTCGTTTATCTCACATGGAGTTGGTTTTTCTAGAATTGGATAAGGAGGCATGTTTCCAAGCTCATCTTCTGAGGTCCACATTACAGACCTCTCATATAGTTAGGCTTTGTGTCCCCACCAAAATCTCATCTTGAATTATAATCCCCATAGTCCCCATCATTCTTATGTCAAGGTAGAGACCAGGTGAAGGTGATTGAATCATGGGGGCAGATTCCTTCATGCTGTTCCTGTGGTAGTGAGTGGGTTCTCACGAGAGCTAATGGTTTCATTAGGGGCTCTTTCCCCTTTGCTCAACATTTATCCTTCTTGTCACCTTGTGAAGAAAGTACCTTGCTTCGCCTTCACCTTACACCATGATTCTAAGTTTCCTGGGGCCTCCCCAGCCATGCGGAACTGTGAGCCAATTAAACCTCTTTCCTTCATAAATTACCCAGTCTAGGGCAGTTCTTTATGGCAGTGTGAAAACAGACTAATACAACCTCCCTCTTCTATTTTTTCATGTTATGCTTAAAGACATGGTGGCCTATTTCTGAGATTTCTTATCTCTTGTTTTACAATATGCTTTTACCTGTCTTTGTGTCCTCTCCCCAGTTTAGATTCCCAGTGCAAAGGTTTGTCCTGGTGGGAAGTTCTGTCTGGTGAGTTTGGGAGTCTGTAGGGCCCAGTATCCTTTTCCCTTCTGAACTTGCTTGGGCCCCTTGACTCCCCAGCTCTTGGAGCAAAGTCTCTCCCAGCTTCAGCTTCTGTTCTCACTTGGCCAGTGCTCCAGCCTTACCAGTAAACACCTGCTGGTTCTGCTGAGACACTGAGGCCTGGCAGGTGCCACTGCTCTCTGCTTGCTCCTGACAGGAGATGTTTCCACACAGGTATGCTGACTTCGGGTAGTTTGCTCCCTCCTCCCATGTGTATTTCCCATTTGTGTTTTGAGGTTCCTGGGGGATGCCTTGTCATCAGTTTTGTTGTAGGTTTTTGTCATGAGCTTTCAGTTTTATTTTTGTCTCTATTTTTATGGGACAATTATGAGAGTGAATAACCATGCCATTGCCATTTGGGGATGGTATAGACTGGGAAGAGAGAGGAGACAGGAAAAGACCTGGGAGCTCTAAGGTTTAGAGTTGAGAGGAGATGTTGCAGTGTGAGAACAGCAGCATTGCAGGTGCCAGGAGGGTTTGCCAGAGGGTGTGGGGATTGTGGGAAATGCTCCGTGAATGTAGGAGACTGAGATGTCCCTTGGATTTGGAAATAGGAGGTCCTTGATTATCTTAAGCAATTTTATTGGGGACTGAAGCCAGGTAGAACAGAAAGCAGAGAGGAAGAAATGGTGAAGAAGGGAATACAGGACACATGGGCGACCCAGTAGTCCCACGGTTAAACATAGAAAGTGACCCTTCTGGTCTTCAAGCTTGAACCTTACATTCACTGTATCTGAGCTTCTTCCTCAGGAAAGACCTTCAGGCCCTCAAAAAACATATCAAAGAACTGAAACTCCCCAGATCATTGTATCCAGAAAATGAGATGCGGGACCCCTCATTCATCATGATTGCTTCCTTGCCCCTCCTGGGTTCCTGTTTTCTTACACACTGATTCATTTCTTCCCTGCTACATAAACCCCTAATATTAGTTGGTCAGGAAGATGGACTTGAGACTGATCTCCCATCTCCTTGGCTGCAGCACCCAATTAAAGCCTTCTTCCCTGGCAATACTCATCATCTCAGTGATTGGCTTTCTGTGTGGTGAGCAGCAGGACCTGGACGCAGCCCCTCGTGTTTTGGTAACACTGGCTTTCAAGGAGCTGGCATGGAAGGGAGGCGAGTGCCCTCGTCCCTGTGGTCCTTTTCTCCCAGGCATGTTCCACACTGTCGTCCAGTTGCCTGGGGCCTTCCATGCAAGGTACCTTCCATACCAGAAGGACTGAGGCAAACCCAGAGGGAGATTAGGAGTTAAGAGAAGCCTTGTAAAGGAACAGAGATCAATTCTGTCCTTCAATGTCCTGCCCAGGCTTGTTTGGATCCGGGATCAGCACCAAGACTGAGACTGGCCAGCAGCCAGCAGTGGGATTGACGTTGCCCAGTCGGGTTTTGCTACGCTGGGAGAATGCAGGGAGCCAACCTGCTTCTCTCTTTTTGGGAGTTAGAGTGTGAAATGCACAGAGCCAGTCTCCACAGGTTTGCAGGCCAGGAAAAGCAAGCTGATGGAAGGCACAGGGATGACCAGTTGAGACACCAGCCTGGCAGTTGTGGTATTCTTTGCTCAGACTGTCCTCAAAATCAGTTCCATTTCTTTCTGTTCCAAGCAAACCAAAGTAAGCATTATAACAATAGTCAGGAAAGAAGATGGATGTAATTGCCAAAGTCATGTTTTGTGCAGTTTTACTCCTGGGATGTATTTATAAGGACCCTTCTCCAAAAGATAGAACAATTTTATTCAGGTGACAAGGTTCAACTTTTAAAGCCCTCCACTACATATATGGACATTTGAAAATGGAAATTAAGCACTTCCCATATGCTGTCTGATTAACGGAGAATGACTGATCACTTTCACATGAAACGGTGAGTGCAAACGGGGAACGTTTCACAACGAGCCACTTCTCTCAATCGGAGAGTCGTTTCAATGCTATTTTTGTAGAAATGCACATTGTGCCGAGAGAACAAGACCAAATATTCTCTTCGGAGGCCGCCCTCTGGTTTTTCCTTTTAGGTGGCAAGTGGGTCCTTCAAGTAGTGGGGGTACCCATGTCACCGCGAGTAAGTCCTTCGTGTCGTGGGGTCCTGTGTTGCAAGGTGTGCTCTCAGGTCACTCTCCTATTGTACTGACATTTTCCCAAATGCTTTGATGATGTGCTTGAGCTTCAAGCAATGCTGGCAGTGGGGTCGAGCCCACAGGCTGGCTAATCTGCCCGCTCATTCCACACCATCTGCTTTCTCTGCGTCTGGACCTTGGCCGGCTCTCAGAGCTCCTGTCTTCTGTGCCCCTTCCTGCTGGGCCAACATGTAGCATCTTCATGTTGTACTTGGCCAAGGACAGCGCTGTGATGTGGAATTCAGAAACAAAATTCGGGTACTGCGAGGTCAGCAGACTTCTTGCCTGGCACAGCCGACGTTTCAAAGTAGCTGTTGTTTGAAGGCTCCAAGAGTTATGAAATAATCATCAGTGTAATTCCACTTTCAAAAAAAAAACTGCTTCATTAGCACTGGGACTGTGTTACCTTTGTTTGACAATGGTGAGGTGAGTTGTCAAAATGAGACTCGTCCTTTAATTTAATCCATTTCAAGGAGCAAAGAATAGGCTCGTAGTTGGGATGATTGTACTTCTGACGTTCCTGTTTCTAAACCTCAGGATTTAGATCTTAATCTTGAAAGCCCTGCAGACTTTAGCCAGGGCATCTGCCCTCCGTTAAAATACAATGCGGAGTTTCTAAAATAATTGTGTAGCTATGACCATTTTTTTCCCATAAAGCATTTTCCACGTGAAGAACATCCTTTGAAGTGAGAAGCCGTGAAGATGGCTGGGGCAAAGGTGAGCGTGTGTGACAGAAGCTTACATTCCAGGCAGAGGGTGGGTTGCAGGGCTCAGGAAAGAGTCTATTGATATTCAGCGCTTTGACCCGCTCACAATAACTGTTGGCCCTGGGGTCACCGCAGAGACACATCCCTGCATTATGTGGCAATGGAGGCAGGCAGACCTGATGGGTTTTCATTTGCTTTGCTGGGGGACCAGCAGGACGTGGGCCATGTGGTCACCAGTTACTCTTGGGGTGGGAACAGGGTGCGAGGCCGATGGTTCAGGGAGCTCTGGGTGAAGGAATTCCTGCCCATTCCACATCCCAAAGAGCAAACCATCCTAAAATAATTCGCCCAGAGATTTACAGCAGGATGGGTATTTTTCGAAATCTCATCCAGAAAAGAAAGGAGAAAATTAATAGCATATCCTGAAGCTGGAATTTTAAAGGGCACAGACAGAGGAAGGGAACACCCTGCTGTTGCTCTTTCTTTGTGTTAAAAAAAAAATTGCCTCTCCTGACTTTGAAAGTAGCTACTGCTTTTTTTAAAGGAAAAAAAAAAATCAAAGCTCTACCAACCATTTCTTTTTGACAATGGAGAGCGCGTTTTCCCCTGGTACTCAACTCATTTTGAATACAGTTCTACCAGTCTTGTAGAATACACACCATGTATGGACTATTTTTATTATGGAAAAGCTAAGCAGACTCCCACCAGGGAGAGTGGGTGTGTGTGTGCTGGGGGAGGGGTGGGGGAAGAAGGCCATACACTTGTTTATTCCAGGAAGGAAGGCGTCCTCCCTTGGAGGCCCTGAGCCTGCAATCCCACGAGCTTTGTCGTCCTCACGACCTCAGTGGGAGCCCCTGTCTGAAACAGCACCCAAGACTGCCTATGCAGGGTGGCCCTTACTGTTTAAGTCCCTCCCACAGGCAAAAAGCAAATCCCAGGAAGGACCACGAAGCCTCACCCAGCTCCTCCCACTAAGCAGACAAAGGCCAAAACCTGCTGTTGTCGGAGCACCCATTCCTTTTCTCCTGCCTGTCTGGTCCATTACTGTAGCCACCACTCAGGTCTTGTCTCAATCATGTACAAAGGGTGACTGTTTAAAGAAAAAGAGGTCCTTCTGTCTACTCCTGATCAACTACCCTCTACCTGTGTGTCTCTATACAAAGAATGCATTTTTGTTATTCTTTATGTATTATTGAATACGTATTTATATTTTTTATTATGGCAAATCAGATCACTGTGTGATGGAGGGCGTGTTGAGCTTTGAAGGAAGAAGCTGAGAGTCGTGGCCATTGTGTAAGGTGGGCACTCACAGATGCAGGGGTGCCATCCAGACAAAAGATTCTCATTGAGGACATGGTCCCTTCTGAAAGGGGCACCCCCTTCTCCCTTTCTGCGTGGAGCTTAGACCACCCGCAACCCAGCTGGCCCTCGCGCGTTATCCTGGTGGTGAGCTGTTTGGCTTTCTCTCAAGGGCAGAGACTAGATACACACTTACACTTGTACATGTGAGATTACAGGTATCTTCCCAAGGCATGTATGACGCCAGCTCACGCTGCCTCCGGACATTCGTAGGAACTGACTTGGGCGCTTGCCCAGCCATTTCCCCGCTCTTTCCCTGGCTCTTATCTCAGCGCTCCTGCCATCTGGTCCACCCACTAATCATATATATTTGATCCCCCAAAGAGTGGGAATCCCGTGGGCAGATGGGACACACTTCCATGAACAACATGTAGTCATGATCCAAGTTTACCAAGTGAAAGGAAGAAAGACTATCCCAGCCTCGAGGAAGACCAGAGGATGTTTCACAGCTGCCAAGGCCTTCAGTTCAGCCAGGCTCTGGCACAGTCAGCTCACAGAGGAATCTGTTGAATGGATCAGCGTGACAGTGGAGGTGGGGAGAGCCTCCTGTCCTTCCTCCTCAACATGCACACATGCACACATAGGCACACACGTGCAATCTCATACACACACTCGCTCATACACACACACCTCTCTCATACACATGTACACAGATGTATTCACATACACACTCACATGTAGACTCACAAACATGCACACACACATTCTCACAAACTCCTGCACACACACGCATACACTCACTCGTATACACGCACATGCACACACTCACAAACTCATGTACACACACAACTCATGCATACACAAACTCATGCACACACATGCACACTCACAAACTCGTGCACACACTCACAAACTCATACACACACTCACAAACTCATGCACACATGTGCACACACAAACTCCTGCACACACAAACTCATACACACGCACACACTCAAACTCATGCACACACGCACACTCACAAACTCATACACACTCACAAACTCATGCACACACTCACAAACTCATGCACACACATGCACACACTCACAAACTCATGCACACACGCACACTCACAAACTCATGCACACACACGCACACAAACTCATGCACACACATGTACACACAAACCCATGCACACATGCATGCACTCAAACTCATGCACACACATGCACACACTCACAAACTCATACACACACGCACACACAAAACTCATGCACACACCCACAAACTCATACATATGCAAACAGATGCACACATGTGTATACATACTGACCCACCTACACAAACATGTACATGCCACTCTCCCATACAAACGTGCGCACAGATGCTCTCCTGTTAACCACCTTCCCTGCCGAATACGTTTCACGTCTCTAATTTTAGGGGTCTTGTCCCCATCACATGCTCTTCTGGAGAGGGAAACTACTCAGGGAGAAGGTTACAGTCACAGTGGCATTTGACAGGCACGTTATTTGCTTTGGCCATGACTTGATTTGAGGTCTCCATCACTGACCCTCCAGTTGGGTTGCTTCTGCCTGGAGGCTGGACCACCCGACGTCGGGAGGGAGCTCCTAGCTGTCCTCTCCTATGAGTTTACACTGATTTTTAAATAGAAAAATGGAAGCAGAGCCGACTTTTCTGAAGAGCAGCCTAATAAATTATTAAATAAAAGAGAGTCCTTCAACTCACCACCCCCATTTCCTTATCATCAGATGTTTTTTTGTTTTTTCAAATTTCAAAAAAGAAGATTAAGGTTTTGTTTCTCTTCTTCCTCATGCTAGGGTTTTTTTTAAACACCATTTAGAGCTAGGACGGCCACTGCCTCTGAGGAGCAGCCCTTGAGTGGAGGGTGGCCGCCACCGTCTTGGCTGCCTTTGTGTCCCTGGCCTCTCCCCAGAATTTCTTCTGCGTGTTCTTTTTAATTTTCCTTGTTGAAAGGAATGAGTGATCCTTGTGCTCAGATGGCGTTACTGACACCCCCAGCTGAGAATGAGTAATTATTCCCACTCCGCTGTGGCTTTGATAAGGTTCTGAGGGCTGCCTTTGGCGCAGTTGCCCAGCCTTTGTTCCGCAGAAGTTATTTTCCTCCTTAGGAAATGAAAAAAGATGGAAGATGACAACGCCATCAAGGGAATGGGGAAACACCAACAAGTTATTAACCTCTAAAAAACCATTAATTCCCCTGCCAAAGGAGGCAGACGCCAGGATGACGCGGGGCGCATGGCAAGCTTTGCGGCGGGTTTTCAGGAGCAAGGGAGAACAAAGTGTCAAACACGCGGAAGTTATTTGCATAACTCAACTTGCAGGGAGCTCGGTTACCGAGGTGGTAGAGAGCAGTGGCGCCACTCGGTGGCTGATTTTCGGGGGCTTCTGGCTTCTCTGTGGCTGCGGAGACTGCATTTCCCCACTGGAAGGCCTGGGGTTGGGCGTACCAAGGGGGCTTCTAGATCAGGGAAGGACCTGGTTCTCCTGCTGGTGGGGCAAGAGGTTGGATCTTGCAGGGTGGTTTGCAGAGCAGGTGCTATGGGCTGAATTTGTCTCTCCCGAGATTAATACCTTAGTCTCAATACTCAGTAATTCAGAGTGTGACTGTACTTGAATATAGGGCTTTAAAACAGGTGATTAACTTAAAATGAGGCCTTTAGGGTGAGCCCTAATCGGATTTGAGTGATGTCTTTACAAGAGGAGATTAGGACAGACATGTGCAGGGGAACAACCACGTGAGGATACAGGGAGGAGGCAGCATCTGCAAGCCAAGTAGAGAGGTCTCTGCAGGAACCAGCCCTGCTGACACTTTGAGCTTGGACTTCCAGCCTCCAGAACTGAGGGAGAGTACATTTCTGTTTAAGCCACATGGTCTATGGTACTTTGGGATGGCCACCCAAGTTCCCTAATACAGCAGATGACGAGAATAATTTAGATTTAAATGTCCCTTCCACTTTAAATAATATAAAGGTCTTTCATCTCCAAAACCCTCCTTTGAACTCTTCAACGTTGGCTGTAAAATAATTGCCTATAAGCACCATATGACAACGCCTAAAATTCCAGGGAAGGAAACTTACAGGCAAATCAATTGGTGGCCAGAGGACAATGGCTGGAAGCTTCTGTTCTTAGCACTTTACCGTTTTCCTTGTTGATTATGAGAAAGAAAACATGAAGATAAACCATGGTCAGTGAAAATGGTCCATCATTTATGTCTTGGTGGCAAATTTGGGTTTATAATATGCAAACCTAACTCCCTTCCTTGGGTCACTCCAACTCTTGCGTGTGGATGCTGAAAATGTTTTCCACGTAATTTTCCCCTGCATTCTAGCTGCATGAAGACCCACTTGTTCTTTCCCTCTGATTTCTGATTCTGCCACAGGCACTGTTAGAATTAGAGCACTGATAAGGAAAAAAACTGGGCCAGGATTTAAATTAATGCTTTTAGACAAATATCCGTTCCATCTCCAATTCTAATGCTAATTACATTTGTGGATCAAAGACCATTCGTTAAAGTTTTGCTTTTGAAAAACAGGGAGAGATTTTACTTTCTTGTTTGATATTTTTATGGGACTTGATGGGAATGGTGGGGGGTGGGCGGTGGGGGGAGACAAGAATCTAGGGAAGCTGGCCTCATGCAGAGACGGTTTGTGGGTGTGTGTGTGTTGGGTGGGGGGGGGGGTTGGGCGAGTTTCCCAGGGTTCCCAAAGCACTCTTTGGAGGCTCAGAGTCTGAAGCTGCGAGGTTGTGCCTTCACCTCTCTTTCTCCTGCTGTGGTGGCTGTCTTGGTTACACGAGAGGACAGTCAATAAGGGGTAAAAAAAAAAATGGGAAGAACTGATTCAGGAAAAGCCATGGATATGGCTTACATGCATATGACTAAAGGAAAAAAGTGAGTCTGAAAGAATACATGCGGAATGACTCCAGCTAGATGACATTCTGGAAAAGGCAAAACTTTGGAGACAATAAAAAGATCAGAGGGTGCCAGGGGTGAGGGGGAGGGAGGGAGGGATGGTCAGAGCACGGAGGATTTTTAGGGCAGTGGAACTCTTCTGTATGATGCTCTAATGGTGGGTACGTGTCATTATAAATTTGTCAAAACTCATAGAATGTACAGCACCGAGAGTAAACCCTCACGTGAACTATGGACTTTGGGCGATAATGACGTGTCACTGCAGGTTCATCAAGTGTAACTAATGGACCCTCTGGTGGGCGATGCTGATGGCGGGGGAGGCTGTGCCTGTGTGGGGCAGGGGGGAGGATAAGAAAACTCTGTTCTGCTCAATTTCGCTGTGAACTGCTCTTTAAAAGTCTATTTAAAAGAGGGGAAAAAATTGATAGAATTTTTAAAACCTAAGCAAAGTTACTTTTTGGTCTGGGACCCGCATCATGGCTACATAGAACCCAAGTCGTTCGGGGAGCAGAGGAGGAAATCAAAAGCAAATATGACACGGAGTTGACCCCAAGAATCCACAGAGCATGGAGGGATTAGCTGGGCAGAGAGATGGGTTTGCCAGCAGGAGGTAGCAGAATAAGAAAGGGACGGAGGGAGGGATGGAAAATGCAGTCCAGGGACAGAATCACAAAAAAGCCAGTTTCTGAAACGAAGATGTAATAGCATTAAAAGCCAGGAAGAAGCTTAAACGGGGAAACAGGCAGCCTGCAGTTAGAGACAGGTTTCCAGGAACAAATAGGACATGCACACGCTTAAAGGCCTTCCCTCCTCTCCAGCCCAGCCACCCGGCATGAGTTTATGTAGTCACACCTGTAGGCGTGCGCCTCTAGGTGTGGGGTGCCACAGGGGACAAATGCAACTTGTGTTTGTGTGCTTGGGGTTTGTTTAGATCTTTCTTCCCCAATTCCCTTCTCCTGGCCTCAACACCAGCCATAAACTTACTTCTGACTCATTCATTCATTTATGGAATGAATATTCAAAGAGCTTGCCTCCTAAACAAAGACATTGAATAAGTAAACAAACTCCCAGATAAAGTTGTTCCCAGTAGTACACCAGGGCGAGAGGGCGGGATGTGGGTTGTTCAGAGGGGGTATTCCTGGCAGGCTTCCTAGAGGAGGCCACGTTGGAACTGAGGCCTGGATGGCAAGAGTTGGAAACCACGTGGAGAGCTGGGCAGAGTATTCTAGACAAAGGTGGGGACAAGAGTGAAAGCCCCGAGGCTGGAACGTTCTAGAAACACACCGGAAGCCCAGCATCCGAGCCTCAGCGTAGAGAGCATGAAGGTCTTGGGGTGGTCGGGGGTGGGGTGGGGGGTGGTGCTCCAGCTTCTGTCGGCTCCTGTCCTGAGTTCAGGAAACCCCTGTCTTGAGCCAATGCGATGGCTGGTCACCTCTACCACCCACAAAGATCAGATCCTACAGGAGCCTGGGCTCCGGTAAGGGGGGCTGTGTTTGACATTAACCAGGGAACCATGGGGCACATGCATGAGCTGTGATCCGTGTTGTAGATTCTGGCTACAGGCAGCATCATTCCCAGGGCGGCCTGATGCTCCGAGCTAGATGTAGCATGAAACCCATGCACACTCTACCCATAGAATCCCCCTCCTGTGTCCCTGCCGTGGGCCAGCCCCTGCCTGCATCTCCACTCCAGTCCTCAATTCCTGATGGTGTTCTCCCTTCTCTCTGAATTCCAGTGAAAGCCTCAGCTCTCCTGGCCCACCCAGTGCTGATCACGTCCAGGAGACAGACTCTGTGGTTCTTGCCTGAGCCACGCATCCTGGTGGCCTTTGGAAAATGCCAGGCGGTCCCTGAGTTGACTGAAAGCTTCCACGAGTGGTTATGGAGATAAGAGGCTGCCTCCAGTGCCTTTCTAAGAATGGTGCTTGGAGCACTGGCCCTCACGGCTCCTTGCAAAAGTAAACACCTCAATCCGCCACCACCAAATCTATGGTCTTTCTGGTATCTGCACCCATCTCACTTCTTCCTGCATTGATGGAGAGAATGCTCCTTCCTGCAGTCGACAGCCAGGTCCTCCTCCTATTTTCTGGAAACCTCTGCCCTCCACCACTCAACGGCTGTGCTTCTGTTGACCCTTCATTTTCCGGAAAAATCAATCTCTCCTCCAGTGGGTCATTTCTTCAACACGCTGACTTGCCTCATCTACTCTACTGAGTCATAGACCTTCTTCTGTCTTGCACACCACCTGTCACCCCTGCCTGTGCCAGGCTTTTCTCCACAGCACAGCCCGTGCAAGCTCAGCCTCACCTCCTCACACCCACACCCTCCGTCCGCTCCTCCAGCCTCTTCGTCTGGCTCCGCCGCCACCCATCACGTCCAGCTCTCTGTAGGACGCTGGTTACTTCCAATCCAATGATCACTTTTTTCTTCTGCTTTTCGTTAGTTTTTAAAATTGATACCTAATATTCATACATATTTATCTGACCATGTGATACTCGGTTACATACATAGAAGGTGTAATAATCAAGCCAGGGTACTTGGGGCGTCCATCGGCCCAGTGTTTACCATTCCTATGTGTTGGGAACATCTGAAGCCCTTTCTTGTAGTTATTTTGAAATATCCCACACACTGGCTATTCCTCAAGGATCTAGAACCAGAAATACCATTTGACCCAGCCATCCCATTACTGGGTATACACCCAAAGGATTATAAATCATGCTACTATAAAGGCACATGCACACGTATGTTTATTGTGGCACTATTCACAATAGCAAAGACTTGGAGCCAACCCAAATGCCCATCAATGATAGACTGGATTAAGAAAATGTGGCACATATACACCATGGAATACTATGCAGCCATAAAAAAGGACGAGTTCATGTCCTTTGTAGGGACATGGATGAAGCTGGAAACCATCATTCTCAGCAAACTATCACAGGGACAAAAAACCAAACGTTCTCACTCATAGGTGGGAATTGAACAATGAGAACACTTGGACACAGGGTGTGGAACGTCACACACCAGGGACTGTCGTGGGGCGGGGGGAGGGGGGAGGGATAGCATTAGGAGATATACCTAATGCAAATGACCAGTTAATGGGTGCAGCACACCAACATGGCACATGTATACAAATGTAACAAACCTGCACGTTGTGCACATGTACCCTAGAACTTAAAGTACAAAAAAAAAAAAAAAAGAAATATGCCACGCATTGTTGTTAACTCTAGTTGCCTTCCTCTGCCCTCAAACGCGAGAACTTCTTCCTTCTAACTGCATGTTTCAGTCGCTTGTGGGTCATCAAAGCTCAGTGACATTGCAGGCGACCGTCTCGCCTCCTACTCCTTGAAGCTCTCGTCTGCTTCAGTCTCCAGGCCCCCAATTTCCTGGTCTTCCCTCCCCTGCCCAGCGGCTCCCACGCCAGGTACCTTGCTGGGCCTCCCTTTCCTTCCAGTCTCTGTGCAGAATTTCTTCCAGGTGATTCCTGGCTCTTCCTCTCCTCTCACTCCGACACCTTCCTGGAGATGAGATCATTCATTCCCATGGCTTTGTATGCTCTTTTTATGTTAAACAGGCCCACATGTATATCTCCAACCCAAACCTGAGCTCCAGACTCGTGTAACTTACTGTGTGCCTGTACCCCTACTCAGAAAATGAATTTTTGGGCTGAATTTTGAATTTGGAACTGTCTTCCTGAAATCAACCTCTGTAGGGTGGCACACACCTCAACCATCCACGTCTGTAAACACCACTGCCACCACCTGGTCTAAGCCCCACCTTATCCTGCCTGGCCCCTGCAATTACAGCCTCCTAAATGGTTTCCCTACTTCCACTCTCAGCCTTGTTTCCCAATCTGTTCTCCAAACAGTTGCTGAAAACCCTTTGTTGGGACTTTTCTTCTGAGGAAAATACGGTCCCGGGGGCTGTAGAGCCGTGGTCCGCCTGCTCTCACTCCTGACTCACCGCTGTTGGCTTTCGCCAATGAACAAGTCGGTCAGGAAGCCGCGCTGGACCATGGCTTTTAAAGACACCGGAAAACACCCACAGGGCCAGAGGTCGCAATTCACCAAGTTCAAGTCTCCCTAATGAGCCGCAACATGCAATCCTTGGAGAAGGTGTGTACTGACTTGACCAGAGCCGCAAAGGAAGGTCATCTCCAAGTGAAAGGACTGGCCCAGCTGCCTCCCGAGCCTTTGAGAAGCACTACAGGAAAAACTCCTTGTGGCGAAGGCTCTTGACATGGGCTTCCTTCCAGAGGAGAATCCACCCGCAACCTACACACCTGCACAGCCCTCCTGAGACTGCCAAGTGGATTATTCTCATCAGTGTGAGCCAGGAGTTGGGGTTGAAGTCACCATTGCAGATGGTGACATCAACTACCTTAATTCATTGATTAGCAGTTTAAAAACATCCCTTATTGGGCTGAGCGCAGTGGCTCACACACGTAATCCCAGCACTTTGGGAAGCTGAGGCGGGTGGATCACTTGAAGTCAGGAGTTTAAGACCAGCCTGGCCAACATGGTGAAACCCCGTCTCTACCAAAAATACAAAAAATTAGCTAGGTGTGGTGGCGGGTACCTATAATCCCAGCTCCTCAGGAGTCTGAGGCAGGAGAATTGCTTGAATCTGGGAGGCAGATGTTGCAGTGAGCTGAGATCGCACCACTGCACTCCAGCCTGGGCGACAGAACAAAACTCCATCTCAAAACAAAAAACAAAAACACCCCTTATTGGATTCTCATGGGTCTGAGAATGAACTCCCCGCCCCTCCCCTGCCTGTGGGCTCCTCCAGGCCTGGCCCTGCCACATGGCCAACCTCATCTCCTGTCACGCTCCCTGCACCCCACTAGGCTCCAGGCGGCCTGAGTATTCCACACATGCATGCCCTTCCTGGGCAGGGCCATCACGCCTGCTCTTCCCTCTTTCTGGAATGTTCTTTTGGCATCTCTCCTCACAGTCGCATTCACTCTCACTTCTTCAGGCAGCCCTTCATGATCACTCTGTAAAAAGCAGGTCACCCCGCCACTCCCTGTCACAGCACCCGGGCCATTGCCTGTGTGACGCATACCAGAATGTTCTCCTGGATTCCTTATGAAAGTGTTCACATGCTCGTTGTCTATCACTGGGGAGCTCTAGTGGGGTTTTTCCTGTTCTTTTATTGCACCCCTAGCACGCAGCTCATGGCTGTGTTCATGAACAAGTGTAAGTTGTAAATAAATTTCCTCTCTGTCCACCTCTCTCCACACACCCGTGCTGCATCTCATGCTTATACAGCATTTTGTGTCTACAAGTCATTCAACAATAATCATGCAACAAATATTTATTGAGGTCTCATGTCAGGTGCTGCTGAGGATTACAGATTAAAAGATGAAACAAGTCTTCACTCTGCCTCCATGTGGCTCATGATCCAGCTGGGAAAATAGACACATATGCAGATAAATAGGATATTATGTGGTCACTCGGCAATTGATACATATGCCTATCTATTGATTGATTGATTGATAGATTGATAGATATGTGTGCACGAAGAGTGACTGCCCCAGCCTGGGGTGGAGGGTTTGGTGATTTGAGTGAGGGAGGATAAAGAAGAGGGAGGGGGTCAAGGCTCCAGGGTTGTAGCCCAGGTGTGTGGGGCAGACAGAGGGGCCAGCCTCGAAGATCTGGGGTCGTAGCCCAGGTGCATGGGGCAGACAGAGGGGCCAGCCTTGAAGATGCCCCTGTGGGAGGAAAAGGGGCTCAGAGTCAGACTTGCTGAGCGGCAGTGCCTGCAGGACATCCAGGTGGCAGCCCGGCAGACACTTGGATAAATGAGCCCAAAGCTCGGGGGAAGTCTTGGGTGGGGCTGTGGAATGAGATCCGGGAGCCAAGGATGGAACCCCGGGGGACAAAACCTCTTCAGAGCGTTCTTTTAACTGAAGAATATATTAAGTCAGGGAGAAAAATGTCATTCAGATGATTCAACAACTTCCCTGTGGTTTCATGTATCAACTTGTCATCAGTAAAGGAAGAGAATACGAAATGCAACCCCGTAGCCTCTACAGTGCTCCTGAAATTGGAAGGGGAGCCAGCGGGGACCACCTTCCTACATGAGTTGCCTGGTTTTGCTTTTTGGTTCTGTCATATTCCTTTGCTGGGATTGGAGTCCTACATTAAGGAGCTTTATTTAGCCCCCTTATTATCTCCAGCCTCCCCACTCCACGAGAGCAATGAGCTTTCTTCCCGTGCAAACACAACCTCAAGATAGGTCTCCTACGCCCTCTTCCTTCCAGATGCTCTCCTACAAGGACCTCCCACTGATAAATTTGGTAGCAGCCGAGGTTCACCACCAGGCTCAAATCAACAGCAGGGGAGCAGTGCAGGGGAAGAACACGGGTTTTGGAAGTAGACAAGGCTGGAATTAGAATTTTGTTTGCATCACTCGCTAGCTCAGTTTCCGCATTTGTAAAGTGGAAATAAGCACATGTGTGTCATAGTCTCGTAATGAGTCTCATAAATTTGAGTCTCTGATTAGATTAGATCATGCTTAGTCTCACACCAATTCCTTCTGCCCCTATGTGTGCACTTGCTATCTCTACCACCTCACTTCTTTTTTATTTACTAAAAGTGGGATTAGGAGCACGATGCACAGCACTACACAAAGCTCTGTGAACGCACACATTGATCTGAGATATTGGTCGACACACACATGTGAAGCTCCCACATGAAATATCAAAAATAACCCCCTTAACTGTTAATCAGAAAACACAAGCAGGTCTTAATTAGAGGGTGATGATTTGCTTTATGGACTCAAAAGTCTCAGAGAGGGTAGATGGCATTTATGTCTTATTGTAGATTTCTAGACCCTTAGATAAAATCTGCAAGAAGCAAGGTGGAGGCACATCTTTGCATTTTCATAGCTCAAAACAATTGAGCTTAAATACAGTCCATTTTTCCACTTAGCACCTTTATGCAACTCCATGAATTCTGGCAAATTCTCCAGACAAGATGATCATAACAGAGAAGAAACCACATTTGTCCTTTTTTAGCATGTGTGCTGGCAGAACCAGACATGTTGGAGAAACACAGTCCAAGGGGGTGAGCATTGTTAGGGAGAGAGGGGATCAAAGGGCTGAGATGGCCCATGCATGCCTTGGATGACAGAGAAAGCTGTTTTATGATTGGAAGTTAAAAAGCCCCATAAGATTCCAGGTGCCTGGAAACAGGAGATGACAGAATCCTGCGGGAGGGAGGCCATTGCTGCTGGCGTCTGTGCCTCCACAGATGCTTTAAAGAGGTAGGAGATAAGACCAGAGTTGTATCTGGAGCACATAACTTCCCATTTAACTCTACTTCAGGACTGGAGTAGCTGAGTGGGGTCATGTGTCATCCGAATTAAAGGTTATTGAGCTGGAGCCAGTGGAGGGAGTGCCAAAGGAGAATATGACCCATGCTCCCCCCAGCCCTTCTCCAAGCAGGTCTTCAAGGTTTGCAGAGTGAAGAGAAGAGCTGCTTCACCTGGGAGGATGTGGGAGCTGGACAACTCCACTCATCAAGATTAATAGAACCTCCTTATCCCCAATACAGTATCTTACAGAAGATAGCAATCTATTTCCCTCTCACGTGAAAGCAACCTGCAGGTGGGCAGCTCAGGTTAATATGGCATGTGGAGAGTTTCAGGGATCCGTGGACTTTGTGGCTTTCATGTTTGCTATTTCTAGGGTGTGGAGCTTGACTTCCTAGTCCAAGAAGGCTGCAGGACCTCCAGCCCTCTCTTCTGCATTCCATGTATTCCAAGCACGAGGAAGAGGCAAGGAAGAGGAGGTCAGGAGCCAGCAAAGCTGCCTTCTAAGACAGCTTCATGAAAGCAGCCTCATGTTTTCCACTTTTATCTCAATGACCGGAACATAGTCACACAGATACACCAAGCTCCAGTGAGAATGGGGAGTGGACTGTTCTCTTCTAGACAGCCAGGCACTGTCAAGGAACTGTCTCCAAGCTGCTGACCAACAACAGTGAGAGATCTATTGATGAAACTCCTTAGGCAGCTCTAGGAGTCTTTGACAACTCAGAGTCCTCAGTTTCCATATACACACATGGAGTTATACATAGCAAATCTTATATTTGTTGTTGATGTATGTTAATGAAAGAAAAAGACTTAAAATATTGCCACACAATTACTAAATAGTATTTGGGAGGAAGCTTCTCTTTGTGGAGTTATTCCACTGAATGGATGAGGAAACAAGAGAACGGAGCATTAACATTTGGCAAGCCTTCTTAAAATAATGGATCCAGGCATTGAACACAGGTCTGTTAACATAACAAAATGAAAGACAATCAAGCATCGTATGCCTCCTTGTAAGACAACACCTCACGTAGATAGATTTCCTGTTTAAAAAAATCGAGTTTCATGAACCCCACTGCTCCAGCTTCCAATCCACAAAAAAACACAGAAGACAGAGAAAAATATTACACAACGCCCCACAAGGACATGATTAGCAAAATCGAAACTAGGAAACAGGACAAAAGAAACTGGTTTCTTCCACAAATGTTGAAAAAAAAAAATGGCTGGGAACTCCAGAGATGAAAACAAAAGATAGTACAGCCAGTCAGCAGGTGTGGAGCTGTTCAGCGCCTGGTTCAAACCGACAAGTAGAACCTAAAATCAAAGAGACTTGGTTTGACCCCATATGACTTTTAGAAGACAACCGGAAATTTGAATACTGAGTGGATTTTTGTTGATATTAAGGAATTACTATTTTAGGATAATGGCATCATGGTTATATTAAAGAAAGTGTCCTTATCTGTTAGAGAAACATACTGAAATATTTATGAATAAAATATGATTTCTAGGATTTGCTTCAAGATAATAGAGGAGTGGGAAAGTGGATAGAGGTATAGATGAAGTCAGATTGGCTGTGAACTGACAGTCTTAAAGCTAAGTGACTCACTATTCTCTCTCGCTCTCTCTGAAGCTGGGAGTTCATTATACTACTATATTCACTTGTGTAAGTTAAAATATTCCATAATAGGCTGGGTGCAGCGGCTCACGTCTGTAATCTCAGCACTTTGGGAAGCCAACATGGAAGGATTGCTTGAGGTCAGGGGTTTGAGACCAGTCTGGGCAACACAATGAGGCCTTGTCTCTACAAAAAATTTAAAAATTAGCTGGGCCTGGTAGTGCACCTGTAGTCCCACCTACTCTGGAGGGTGAGGTGGGAGGATCACCTGATCCTTGGTGGTGGAGGCTACAGTGAGTCTTAATTGTGCCACTGCATTCTAGTCAGGGTGACTGAGCAAGGCCCTATCTCAAATAAAATAAAATAAATAAAATAAAATATTCCACAATAAATAAAAATATAACAAAGTAGAATGATTTATAATCCTTTGGGCATATACCCAGTAATGGGATTGCTAGGTAAAATGGTATTTCTGGTTCTAGATCCTTGAGGAATCGCCAAACTGTCTTCCACAATGGTTGAACTAATTTACACTCCCACCAGTAGTGTAAAAGTGTTCCTATTTCTCCACAGCCTCACCAGCATCTGTTGTTTCCTGACTTTTTAATAATCTCCATTCTAACCAGCACGAGATGGTATCTCATTGTGGTATGCACACGTATGTTTATTGGAGCACTATTTACAATAGCAAAGACTTGGAACCAACCCAAATGCCCATCAATGATAGACTGGAGAAAGAAAATATGGTACATATACACCATGGAATACTATGCAGCCGTAAAAAAGAATGAGTTAATGTCCTTTGCAGGGATATGGATGAAGCTGGAAGCCATCATTCTCAGCAAACTATCACAAGGACAGAAAACCAAACACCGCATGTTCTCACTCATAAGTAAGAGTTGAACAATGAGAACACATGGACACAGAGAGGGAACGTCACACACTGGGGCCTGTCGGCGGGTGGGGGGCAAGGGGAGGGAGAGCATTAGGACAAATACTAAATACAGGCAGGGCTTGAAACCTAGATGACAGGTTGATGGGTGCAGCAAATCATCATGGCACATGTATACCTATGTAACAAACATGCGCATTCTGCACATGTATCCCAGAACTTAAAGTAAAATGAAAAAATAAACTCAAGAATTAAAAAAAAAAAAAAAAAACAAAGTGCGAGACAAAAACTATGAGTTCTTCCAAACGAGAAGCTCTAAGCCAACTTTCTCAGGTATTAGGTAAGGCTCTAGCCAAATCTGTAGCCACCCTAGGTAGCCCCTGATGGACTACCCCGGGCCGCCGCTGTGGACTTGAGAGGTCAAGCTGAAGACTTGTGGTTATTGCCGCTATTCAAGGAGAGAAGAGCCTGGGTCCAGCCAGGTTCATTGGCAAGTGTTTCTTCCACATTCACAGGAAAAACTGGGCAAGATAAGATGTTCCAAATACAAGCCCTGAGAAGTGATCGAGCTATAGAAATAATCTCAGAAAAATGATCTCACTCATACTGGGAGAGTGGCAGGGAAGGAGGCAGGGGCCACATACAAAAGAGACTATAGTTTCTTCTAACAGGCAGTCAACAGATAATGTCTAAAACTAATACTATATCATGATGTAATGCTGAAAACACCTTTTTAAAATGGAAATGGACCAGAGAGAGCTGCAACAATCCAGCATGCTTTCTCCTGGGAAAGCAAACATGGAGTCGTGGGGCCGTATGAGAGAGGAAAAGGGATGCTTCTTAAATTATAAGCACTGGATACTCTTAATTATGTGTGTATTTCACACATATTTAAACTTTAAGATGAAGGTTAAAAAAAAAAAAAACAAGCAATAGCAATAACAACAAAAACCAGAATGTGGCCCAACCTGTAATCAGGGGAAAATTCCTGGACTGAACATCCTCTTATTATTAATAAAGTGGCTAAAAACAAATGAATTAAATATTTAACTGAAGAAGCTAAGAAAAAATAAGAAATTAATGAATAAAATAGGTGAAATGGAAAACAAATTAGTTGTATAGAAAAAAATTAAGGAATAAAAAACAGAATTGATAAAGTAAAGAACCATAGCTTTGAATAGATTAAGATAGATAAATCTCTTGGCAAACTTGAGCGAGAGCAAGAGTGAGAACAAGAGAGAGAGAAAAACTAAATTGTTCATGATAGAAATAAGACAAAATACTTAGTGATATGGCAGAGATTTATAAAACTTAGAGAATGCCATGTATACCCTCATACCAAGAGGTATGAAGGTATGAATGAATCCTTATCTGGATGAAAGGAATAATTACCAGAGTTAAATAAAGAAGTAGAAAATCTGGATAATAATTATTTAAAAATGAGAAGGATGTCAAAAATTTACCATCCGACCCTCTAGGAACAGATAAATCGTCTATGATTTAAACTATCCTGAAGCCTAGAAAAAAACACAGAAAATTTTCTAGTATATTCTACAAGACTGATAAAATTCTGACACCAAAATCTAATTAACAGTATTATATGTATATTTAAAACATACAACTATAAACCCAAACTAATATTTTTAGAAATGTATCTAACAAATGGAGAAAAAACCCTTCCCTCATAAATGAACTTGTTTACCATTAAGGGTTTGTTTTTTCAACTGTTGAACTTCCCAGAACCTTTAATATATTAAGATACAGCTTTAAAATTTTTGTGTGCGTAAGAATCCCTGGTAAAGCTTGTTAAAATGCAGGTTTCCAAACCCAAATCACAGATTTTTATTGAATAAAGCCTGAATATCTGAATTTAACAGATACCTAGGTAATTTGGATTCAGGTGGTAAAAACACTGCACTAACGAGCATTGTAAATCTCCAAGAGGGGCATTCATTACACAGATGCTTCCCAGAGTGGTTTAATAGAATTGCCTTTGTCAGAGCTCCAATTAAACTTCCAGAATTACGGTTCTTGACAAACAGGTTAAGAAATACAGATTGAGTTTAATCACTTTTGCAAATAAGAATAATAAAACTCAAAATTTACTATCAACAAATTGAATCCATCGGTGTATTAAAGAATAATATACCATGACTAAACTATTTTTCTTCCAATAATAAAAGGATGAAATAACATCGGAAAACTTTTAAAAATCAATTAGTATGTGCATTAGTTATCTACCATTGCATAACAAATCACCTCAAACCTTAGCAGCTTAACACAATAGATATGTATTTAATCACAGTTTCCGTTATGTACCCAGAGCAACTTAGGTGGCTGTAGCTTAGAGTGCCTTTCAAGAAGTTGCAGTCAAGAAGTTGATGGGGCTGCAGTCATCTGAAGGCTTAAATGGGGCAGAAGACTGGCTTCCAAGATGGCAGCCTTGGAAGGCACCCATGGCTGTTGGCTGGAGGCCTCAGTTCCTGGCCATGTGGACCTTTTAGGACTCTTTGAGCATCCTCACAACATGGCAGCTGATTCTCCCATAGCAAGTAATTCGAGATATTTTATGGCCTAGCTCTGGAATTCACACTCTGTTATTCCACATCGTCTATTGATTACACAGGTCAGCCCTATACGATGAGGGAGGGGACTTCATGGTGTGTGAATGCCAGGATTTGAGAATTATTGGGCATTTTATTGAAGGCTAACTACTACAATAGGTTGAAGGATAAAAATTATGATTCAATCATTAAATGGGAAAAATTCTGAGGAAACTTGATAATTATTACTGCTTTCCCTTGGCTATTGACAGAAGGAAGTTCTAACGGTAAAAGATATATAACAATAACTAGTAAACATTAGATAAATTGGTGAAACATGAAAGGCAGTGCTATCTGCTGGTACCAGGGTTTTTCAACATTGTTCTGGGCTTGCTAGTTAATTCAATGAGGTAAGGAAGAAAGTAATAGTTAAAAACAGTGAAAAGAAGAAATAAAATTCTTACCCATGTATTTGATCTCTCTCTGAATGAAATTATAAGACTATACTGAAAAGGATAAAAGAAAACTCAATAGCGTGAAGTCGTAAATTAATAAATTTAGGGTATATCCAATCAATATTTTAATGAAGCATTTATTAACATGTCATATTTATTAAAGGTTACTTGAAGAGAAAAATGCAAGAGAATAGCTAAAAATATGTTCAAATAGGAAGTATTATGAGGAAGACATATTTTAGCAGATATCAAAAACACCCAAACAATAAATATATTGAGAGATGCCCACACAGGTCACTCAACAGCACAAGAGAGAGTCTGCAATCAGGACAATAAACTTCTGTCTAGACCTCTTACTTTTGGAAGTGATTCTGTACCTAACCCCAGATTTACAGCTTTCTATGCCTAAGGATGTATGGGCAGAGTAGTTTGTAATAACAAAAATCAAAACAACCTTGGTGTTCACTGAATGAAATTGAAACATGGATCTATTAAAAAGAATGTAGTTGATTTGGCATATTCTGCCCTGGAAAAACAGTCACAGTATATTGTTAACTTTTAAAGCAAGTTGCAGAAAAATATGCATATTATGTTGACTTTTATTTAAATAAACAAAGGAAAAATTCTGCAGGGATATAAAGAAATGTGTTAGTGTGGGAAGAAATCTTTCACTTTCTACCCCATATAAATTTGTCCAAAAATGTGTAAACCTTGTTTTATTTCTCTGAACTCTGAAAATTGTTTCAAGGTAAGTTTCAGGTATGAATTTTGTTTGGTCTTTTATATAGAACCTGGTTCCCTTACTGACTTGGGGGCTGTATTAGGCTGGTCTCACACTGCTCATAAAGACATACTCGAGACTGGGTAATTTATAAAGAAAAAACGTTTAATGGGCTCACAGTTCCACATGGCTGGGGAGGCCTCACAATCATGGCAGAAGACGAATGAGGAGCAAAGTCACATCTTACATGGCAGCAGGCAAGAGAGCTTGTGCAGGGGAACTCCCATAGAACCATCAGATCTGAGACTTATTCACTACCACGAGAACAGTATGGGGGAAACCACCCCCATGATTCACTTATCTCCACCTGGTCCTGCCCTTGACACATGGGGATTTTTACAATTCAAAGTGAGATTTGGGTGGGGACACAGCCAAACCATATCAGGGGCCCTCTGTGATTTCTTCCTTAGTTTTCTTTTTTGAGAACAAGGAATCCCAAGGTGTCCCTTCTCCTAGCACAGGAGGTGAGAGCAAAATCAAGACAAAGATTTTGTCTCACAAGGAAGGCCCATGCAAATATTTGAACAGATGTGCTTCTTGCAAGAGACCTTTAATAGTTCCTGATGAAATGTATCAGATATTGGGGCTCCCCTCCCTGGGCCTCAGTTCCCTCTTCTGTTCAATAGAGCGGGCACTAAAAGACTTCCAAAGTAACTTCTGTATCCATCCAGCTCTTTTTGTTGCAAGTGAAAGAAGAAAGAAAGCACAACTCAAGTTGGGGTAAGGCGGCATGGGTAGGTTATCGATTACCAATGCACATAATCAATCAATCACACACTCACATGCACACCTTCTCTCTCCCTGCCTTCCTCTCTCTATTACGCCCTCCTCTCATGGTGACCAGATGGCTTCCAGAAGTTCCTAACTTGCTCTTAGCCTCAGAGGTAGGTAGGTAAATCTTTCTCCCCAGTCATTCTAAGAAAAGTTCTGGACTGAACCTCACTGGGACAAACTGGGTCCTTGCCCATCTCCATACCACTCACAGTGCATAGGGGACAGAATATGCTGATCAGCTTGGGCCTGGGACTTGGGTCTTTTTCTTTGCTACAGGCTGGGAGGATGCACTGATTTCCTGTCTTGCAGTACCGTGTGTGATAATAACGTGAGTAACAGCATCATCCAAAACAAAACAAGGACTTCGTAAAAATTAAAACCTTTTATGCATCATCAAAGGTGCTTGCCAATACAGTGAAAAGACAACTCACAAAATGGGAGAAAATATTTGAAAGTCATATGTCTGAGAAAGGATTAATATCCAGAATATATAAAGAGCTCTTACAATTAAACAACAGTGACAAACATTCCACGATCCAGGGACAGATCCATAAGGGAATATAGAGAACCACCCAACTCAACCCTACTAGGGATAGTTCTAGCTCCAGAATGCTCTGTGGGGTGGGTTGTGGCTGTCCTGGGTCCCGTGGGTGAGGCTGACTTCTCCCTCTGCCTGCTCCCTGGCCCACCTGTCCTCTCTGCAGAGGTTCACCACAGGGATCCTCACAGAAGTCAGGCCACACTCTACCACCACCTCACCGTCCGCCTCCAGGGACACCACTAGGCAGCACTTTAAGCTTTCAGATGTTTTAAGACTTTTCAGAGGCCAGATGGGGTCCTTTGAGCTTTAAAAACAAGAACTTCTTGAATCTGGCTTTACGGATGGGACTTCCTCTGGGGAACACATTCAAGAGGACATCACAGAAATGTCCCTGCCCACTTTGTGTTGCTGCTGATCTCCTGGCCCACGATGCACCCTAGCCTGGCCTGACAGCACACACCTTTGCAAACAGCTTCCCGGCCTCACCCTGACTCTACAGCTGTTGGCAGGCTGGGCGTGGGTGGGTCAGCTTGGGAGGAAGCATGAAGGTGACTGACAGACAGACCAATTTGTCCTTCACGCCAGCCATGTGTGGGCCTGGGTGTGGGATATCGGGAGAACCACAGCCTCTTCAAGCTCAGCAAGATCAAAGGGATCTCAGAATGTTTTCATCAGCAGCTCCTTCTGGTTTCAAGCTCATCTCCTATGGCTGTAACCCAAAGATGAGGCTCGGCCCCTGTTGTCAGGGGCCTGTCCCCTTCTCAGGATGTGGCCGTTGGACTAGACATGGCTCCATGAGTGTTCTCCTGGTCACAGCAATTGATCTAGGGATGGTTGTGGGACTAGATTAGAACCAGTCAGCTGCCATGAGGCTTTTTCTGCGATGTCTGGGGAAAGGGTCCTGTCTTTTCTGCTGGGCGGGAGGCTTCAGGCTGTCAGGGCCGGAGCTTTGGGTAACTTGAGTCTTCCTGGAGCCCAAGAGAGCATCAGCGCTGGGAGCAGAGCTGGGAAATGGGGAGATCCTCATTGCGGCAGCCTTCCCAGAGTGCTGGCCCCCAAGATAGCTCTGATGCTGCCCTGCGTGCTCATGCAAACGAATCACTTCCCTCCCGCCCTCCATAAACTTAGGTGATAAAATGGCCATGGCCACTGGAAGAGGCCCTAAGGAATGCACTCCCCTCCTCGCTATTTCATGGGAGCTGAGCTGGCTGCTTCTGGTAATGGGGAGGTTTCCACACTCGGCTTTGATCTGTCTGGAATTGATTTCTTCCTCGTAAGCATCTGAATTTGTCAGTAACCCCGGTCACCACAGCCTTCACAGATGAACACCTTGCCATGGCAGGAACCCTTGTGCATTCTCTATCACACACGCCTGTCCCATCCTCACCCTCAGTAGAAGTTCAGACGAGGTCAGTTGATGAACTTTCTCCACCTTTCATTCTACAGACAAGGAAATCCGCTCCTACCGGGTTGCCGAGCTTATTGGAGGTCAGGAATAGTTACGAAATAAATGTTGCAGCATTTCACCAGCGGCCTCTGGCTGGGTATTAGCGTCACCGGAGGCCTCACCGCCCAGAGACCCTGATTTAATTGGTCTGGGGTGGGGCTCAAGCATTACTATTGCATCAGTTTCCTACCCAGCCTGTAACAAGTCACCACAAATTTAGTCACTTAAAACAACACTGGGCTGGGCCCGGTGGCTCAGGCCTATAATCCCAGCCCTTGGGGAGGCCAAGGCGGGTGGATCACCTGAGGTCGGGAGCTGGAGACCAGCCTGGCCAACATGGTGAAACCCCATCTCTACCAAAAATATAAAAACTTGCTGGGTGTGGTGGCGTATGCCTGTGATCCCAGCTACTCAAGAGGCTGAGGTAGAGGAATCACTTGAACCCGGGAGGTGGAGGTTGCAGTGAGCTGAGATTGCGCTATTGCACTCCAGGCTGGGTGACAAGATTGAAACTCCATCTCAAAAAAAAAAAAAAAAAAAACCACACACACACACAAACGAAAACAACAACAAAACTCCACAGATTCATTATCTCGCAGTTCTGAGGGTTGTAAGCCCAAAACAGGTCTTGCTGGGCTAAACTCAAAGTTTCAGCAGTCTGCATTCCTTTCTGGAGGAAAATCTATTTCTGCAGCTTGTTCAGCTTCTAGAGACTTCCATAATTCCTTGGGTTGGGGCACCTTCCTCTGTCTCAAGCCAGCAAAGGCGGGTGGGCCCTCATATCACATCCTTCTGACATTTCTTCCCTAACCACCCTCCACCTTGCCTTCTTTTCCACTTAAAGACCCCGTGATGACATCGGGTCCACCTGGATAATCCCAGATCCTCTTCCCACTTCAGGTCAGCCGACCTGCCGCCGTTGCCTGCGATCTAACATAGTCTTCGGTTCTGTGGATCAGGACCTGGATGCCTGCGGGGTCATTATTTCATTATTCCCCGCACTACGTGTGTATCTTAAAGCTCTCAAGTGGTGCCAGCATGCAACAGAATAGAAGCTGCATCACAGATGAAGGTTAATGTGTCTGTAATAAACTGGTTGCTTTCTCTTTCTGGTAGAATTCATTAAGCTGTTATGGTTTGCAGAAGAATTATAGATTTGGGAACTATTTCAACGATAAGGTGAGGAATAAAAGCCATAATGCGAAAGAACACTTTTTGTAAAAGAGAAACAAGGAATCAGAAATGGCTGTGGAATGCTCCCTTGCCTGCCCGTTTTTAAACTTGGAGAGTTTGGGACATGAAGGTGCCCTCACGGTCGGTCCCCTAAGCCAGGCTCTTGGATTCATGGACGGAGAACTGTGGCCTCAGGAGATGAGGTCATTCCCCCGGCTTCCACACGGGGCCATTTGTCCCGACTCCCAGTCCAGTGACAACAGGAGTGAGCCTTTCCCTTGGCCTCCACTGCCAATTCCAGACCAGCACTCTTCCGCCCTCGTGTGAAATTTCATACTCCTTTGATGTTTGATTTTATCTTGGGGCGGAAAGTGTGCCTGGGGCTCTGCCAAAGGGATGCTGAGCTGGAGCTGTTTCTGCGTGATGATGGCCCAGGAATCAGGGAAGGTCAGAAATACCACATCCATTGGAGTGGGCAGTGGGCAAGGACTGGAGCGGACGCCAGGGCACCCAAGAGCTCCCAGGCTCTGGAGGCCTAGAGGTTACCGAGGGGATAGGACAAAAGTGCTGGGAGGGTGTTGGTGGGACATTGAGGGCCAAAACCATCAACAGGGAGGTCCTGTGAGGTTGCCCCACCCTCCTGCCCTGCGGCCCACAGGGTTTGCTCCAGCCCCATCCTCCTCTCATCTTCCTGGCTGCAAACAGCCAGGAAGCTGTTTGTAAAAGTGTATGCTGTCAGGCCAGGCTAGGGTGCATCTTGGGCCAGGAGATCAGCAGCAACACAAAGTGGGCAGGGACATTTCTGTGATGTCCTCTTGAATGTGTTCCCCAGAGAGAAGTCCCTCCTCTCCTCACCCCTGCCATTGACCAGCCTCTTGTCCACCCCTCCCTATCCATGCGTAACTCAGGGAGCTGGCTCAATCTTCTTCTCTGTACTGGGTTAAATAGTGTGCCCCCAAACTATGTCCCCCTGTAACCTCAGAATGTGATCTTATTTGGAAACAATCTTTGCAAACATGTTAAAGCAAGCTGAACTCATGCTGGATTAGGGTCTGTCCTAAATCCAAATGACTGGCGTCTTTATACGAGGCAAGGACACACAGAGACACACAGAGGAGAAGTCCACGTGGCAACGGAGGCAGAGCCTGGAGTGATGCCTGTGCGAGCCACAGAACCTCGAGGATTGCCAGGGACCCCAGAAGCCAGGCCCACTGGGAGGAGCCAACCCTGCCACACTGGTTTCAGACTTCCAGCTTCCAGAATGCTGTGAGAACAAATTCCTGTTGTTCTAAGCCACCCAGTTTGTGGTGTTTTGTTATAGCAGCCCCAGGGCACTGCTGAAGCCTCCATCCCATGTCCTGCCATAGTCCCAGGAGGTTTAAACATCCATACAGACTCCCTGCCAACAGCCACAGCTCAGAACTTGACCCTCTTTCACTCCACTGGTTGACATCTTACCTCACTCCAGTCACCCACACCTGGGACACATGCTGGGTCTTGGCACCACCTGGAATAATTCCACCTGGGAAACTTGTCAGCCCAACTCCTTCCCCTGTCTTTTGGGGCTTTCATAATGTTATTCTGGGTATAAATTATCTCCAACCTCAAGGTGAAAGATTAGAATGATGGCCCAAATTCTCTCCTATGTCATTGGTTCCGAAACAGAGCTTTTAAATACATCTTAACATTTCTGATATCAGGATGTGCCTGGCAACAGATCACATCCAGCAGCAATAGTGACATATTGGCCTTCCCTAAGACGTTGACAGAGATAAAGTATGCAGCAGCTTCAACAATGCAGAAGGGCCATCGAGACAATGGTGGGGGACTCTTCCAGAGAAGGCAGCCTTCCCTGTCGCTCATGAGCACATGTAGTTCCCAGGTAGATTGAAAACCTGAACATGGGTGATTCTAGTCTCAAAGTATTTCAGAGGAGTCAAACTCTGAATGTGAAGACGTTTGCAAAATCTGAACCAATTAATTTTGTGCCTTTCTTTTCTGCATGCATGGAGAGATGCAGGGTATGAATCTCTATGTCTAAGTGTGGAAGGGCACCTTTAATATGCATGTAATATGCATAAAGGGCAAACTCTAAGTGACACAACAGTAACCCACCATAATGTAAGTCTTAACATAATTTCTTTCTTAGAAGGATACAAAATAATGACCGAATTTACAAGTGATGTCTTGGATGAAGTGAAATATGGTATTCTCCCAGCAGCATCCCTGAACCCTTGCATAGCTTCTGCCAGCCAAACCTGCCCACAAAACGCCAAACTCTGGATGCGCGGATGCTGCGGGAGGAGGCTTCCTAGCTTCTTCGTGTGCACCCATCCCTGTCTGGTCTCATCCACCCCATACCCTTCCTTGGGGTCTCCAGGGGCTGGCAGCTCCCCACACACACTCCATGGTTACTTTGTTTTGCAACTGTCATTTGGTCTGCCTAGAATGAATTCTCATTTTCTCACCTCCTGCTCTGACCCGCTTCACAATGAGAGGGGAGATGGCCACTCCTGCCTCAGGCTGGCTTGGCCAAAAACCCTGGAGTCATTCCTGACATCGCTCTTGCCTCAAATTCCACCTCCTATTGGCCGTTCAATCTTATCAGCTCTGTCTTCAAAGTACGGTCCCCATCCAATTACTTCCCACTCACACCATTGCTTACACCTCAGTTTCACCCACCATTTTCCGTACCTGGTTGGGGCAGCCACCTCCTGGCTGGTGTCTCTCCTGCCACCACTTCTCCCCTTCAGTTTCATTCCCCATTGCAGCCAGAGAGAGACTATGAAAACATTAGTCAAGCCACACCCATCTTCTGCTCATAAAACCTCGGTAGTTCCCATCTCACTCAAAGGAAACTCAGAGAGCCTTCAGTGGCCAAGAAGCCTCAGCGTGGCGTGTTCCCTGTCCTCATCAGGACCGCATCTCCGTCCTCTCCCTCACATTCATTCTGCTGTGGCCACACTGTGGTTGCTCACGTTGAGCTTCCCAGGGAGCCCCTGCCCCAGGACCTTTGCACGTCTGGTCTTTGTCTGGAAAACCATTCCCTGATGTGCCATGACTCATGTCATCACATCCTTTAGAGTTTTACTCCAATCCCACTTTCTCCATGATGCCTTCTCTTGCAATCCTATGTAAAATTGCAATAGCCCAACCATAGTTTTGCTATTCTCTTTCTTTATAGTTTTCACACTTATCACGAACATATCCTATGTGTTAAAAGCTCAAACTGTGCTTTTCCTGTAAGTCAGAAGCTGCCTGCTTGTCCCTGGGGCAATCTGAAATGCAGGCACATCACCTGAGAGCAGCAGCTCCCAGAGTGTGGCTCACGGACCTGCGGCACCAACATCGTCTGGGCTCTTGTGACAGGTGCACATTTCTGGGTCCCTCCCAGACCTCCCGACTCGGGTGCTTGGGGCTGGGGCTGGCATCCTGTGTTCCAGCCAGCACTCCCAGGATGTTCTGATGCTCAAGCTTGGGGACAACTCTCTCAAAGCAAACCCATGTTACATCCCACCCTGTTTATTGCTACCACCTCCTCCCCCAAGAACACAAGCTCATGACAGCAGGTTGTGTTCAGTCGTTTATCCCCGGGGCTAGGCCTGTGCCTGGCAGGGAGGGACACTCAATAGCTTTCTGGATGCATGTCGGTGGGATGAATTTCCTCTTAGGCCTGCATACTCCTTTCCGTCCTCTGCCTCTTCACTCCAGCACCGTCTCCACTCAGCAGCCCATCCCACCCTCCCCGGCCTGGGCTAGGAATTCCTCTTTGATGTCTTCATAAGACCTCATTCATATTTCCAGCGGTCACAAACCTTGTTCTTTTGTAATGATCTGTTTCCACTACAGAACATAAGGAAACCACTCCCAGTGCAGCCTGGCCACAGCAGCCCTCGCTAGGAGGAGGTTCTTATCATTGTGACCGAGTGCCCGCCTCTCCGCTTCCCACAGGGGAAGCCACTGGGCAGCCGTGCTCAGCAGAGGGCCCTGCACACAGAGGGTCCTCCACATCCCTATGACACGAGGGAAAAGCTGGTTATCTGATGTTCCTCTGACTCCGATCACTGACCGAGCCCCATGCACCTCAGAAGGTTTCTCTCCCACTGTGTCTGTGCTTCGTAGAGAGTTAACACACAACAAACACCTGCTAATCTGAATTCAGTGCCCACGAGTTTTCCGGGTCTGTGGCTACTGGCGCCGTCTTCCCAAAAGTCTGTTTAATACCATTGAACAGGCAGCCCTCCTAGAAGTTTTTCCCTACACCTGAGCTGGCCACAAGTTCTCCATCCTCTTGGTGGCTTTGAAAATCCCTTCAGGATTCTGAGTGAATACTTCAAGAGTGTGTTATAAATTCAGACACGTCTACGGGGCTTTAAAGTGCCGCAGCGGGAACCTCTTACTGAGGCAACCTGGGGGTAAAAGGCTTTTCACCTTCCCAGAGTGGCTCCACCCACAGCATTTTCCTAGCCTGAAGTTAAAGAGGAAGAGGAGGAGGAGGAAGAGAAACTACCTGGCTGAGCCTCTTACCACCCCTTCGTCTCTCACGAGGCAGCTGTTTGATTGCTACACTGTCACGTAAGTTAACACAGTCACCTGCCCGTCTCCTCCGTGGGATCAGCCTCAGGTCTCACTGTGACCACGACTTTGCCCAAAACATAGTGAACTACAGACTTAATTAAATGCATATAGACAGAGAGTGGAACGATGGCTTCAGGGACGGGATGGGAGGTGGGGACGAGGTGTTGGCGCATACTGGGCACAGAGCTTTAGCCGTGCAAGCAGAAAGCGTGCGGGGGCAGCACGGCGTGATGGTTGCACAGCCACGTGTGTGCGCTGAACATGACTGAGTCGTAGACTCACAGGGGGTAAGGTGGTAAAGTTTGTGTTACTGCATTTTGGGTATTTTGCCACAATTTTTTAAAAACCTTAATTTTGTAGATGTGTTGCATACAAGCAAGAGATACAAAACCCAAACTGTGATTTTCCTGAAAGCCAGAAGCTGCCTGCCTGTCCCTGGGGTGATCTGAAATCCAGGCACATCTCGCGAGGCCAGCAGCTCCCAGAGTGCGGCTCACGGACCTGCGGCCCCAACATCGCCTGGGCTCTTGTGACAGGTGCACATTTCCGGGTCCCTCCCAGACCTCCTGACTGGGGCACTCCAAGCTGGGGCTGGCATCCTGTGTTCTAGCCAGCACCCCCGGGATGTTCGGATGCTCAAGCTTGGGAACCACTCTCTCAAAGCAAGCCCGAGGCGCTCCCACGGCATCCCAGCAGCTCCTGCATCTCATGCTCTGCAGGGAGGAGGGGTGCAGAGAGCAGGGAACACACTTGGAAGCAAAAGAATCTGAATGGTGTATGAGAACCCCCAGCATCTTCCTCCCTGCACTGGGCCCAGGGCCCAGCTTACCTGCGTCAAGCTGTGCTGTGATTCCCCTGGCATCTGCTCGAGTTCCAGGTCTCTCCTGAAAACGAACACGCCTTTCTCCTTCCAGGCCTTTCTGCATCTGAGGTTTACCCAGCACAGGCCTAGGTGCCTCAGGTCTGAAATTACATAAGGGGTGACAGAAGCGTTTCAATGTTGGGACTGTGCTCTCTGTCGATGTATATTAAATATATATATATATATGTTTATTTAGACTTGCATCTGATTAGGTGGTGCAAACATGAGTAGCTCAAATATGGTAGGGGCCTCCATGGAAGAGTCATTTTCTGTTGAAAGAGGATATTTAAACAAGCAAAGAATGCCTTCTAAGAGACTTGAGATACGAACAACCCAACCTCAAGGTTATCTTGCGTGACTCTCCCTCCGCCTCTTGTAATGAGATCAATGGGTTCTGTTTCAAGCTCTGGACAGCCCTGAGCCCTCTGCGGCTGGGATCTCCTGCCAGGGGCGGCTGGGGAAGACCCCTCGCAGGTGCTCTTTCACATCAGAAATCACACAGATCACCTCAGGCCCAATTGCCTTCAGATATGTTAGTCTTCACCACAGATACACACACAGACTCTCACATTCACATACACAAACATGCTCACACACACTTTTACACACATCCGCACTCACATACACGAACCCACGCACCGTTCACAAAAACACATGCCCACACACTCTCACACTCACGCACCCACACACACATACATACATAGACACAGGCACACATATTTATACTCACATACATAAAAACATGCACACATTCATATACACACACACCTGCATACACACTCATATACACACACACACACACCCACTTCCCACTCTCTCACACTCACATACACAGATGCACACACATTCATACTGGTATACAAAACACACACACACTCTCATACACACAAACACAGGCAAACACATTCATACTCATATACACACACATTCATATATGCAAATACTTACCCATACACACCCTCACTCTCACACACACAGAGGCCCATACACACATCCACAAACAGGCACACATGTTCATATCACACAGCGGACGCAGGTGCACACATTCGTATCACATACAAACACACACACTCACACAGCTGCATTAGTTGTCAACGTTTAAACACTAGGAGGCAGAGCCCTGCAGGGAGAGGCGAGCAGGAATCCCAGGCGCCATGCGTGAGGAAGGGCGCAGTGGGATCTGCAGACTGGGGCGACCCTCACTCCCGGTTCCTCCCCACATTCTGCATCCCAGGGGCCCTCCATCTCCCCCACTCTCACCCAGTGTCTGGATGTCAAGTTAGAGAACTCGGAAGCTGCAGCCACACCTGGCTGGCCCTCCCACACGACCACGGGCTCTTCCTACTCCCCCAATAAAGAAACTATAGATCTTTGTTATTTGGTCATCTTAAAAAGTTACCTATTAAATCATTGCAAAATTAATTTTTATATATGCATAGAGTTTTTGAAAGCATAATCCTATCATTTTACTTATACATACATTAGTGTGTATTTATCACCTAAGAAGACTTTTTGAAACACACCACACTACCGTTGTCATGTTCAGAAAAGCATCAGTAATTCAGCAATGTCCTATAAGACCCAGACTGCGTTCAGTTTTCCTCAGCTGCCTCAGAAGGTTTTTTTTTGGTAAAATATGATTCCTGCTTTCCCCTCATTTATAAGCTGTTTATTTCTGTATTACAAAAGTCATAGATAAAAGAAAATACAGAGATTAAGATGCAAAGCCACGTCCGTCAGTCCCATGTCGATTGATCTTCACTGTCTGTCCTGGAAAATAACCATTCACGAGACTTCTAGGTGTGGCCTTTCATTTTGGAAAATACTCAGAATATTCTGAGTATTTGTACAAGTGAATGAGCACATGGTTTTTCTGCAGAAACACAGTCGTGTTTATTTACATTCTGCTCCTTGCTCTTTGCCCCTTACTGTGTGTCCTGGAGACCTTTCCACCAGCATGCACACAGCCCCTCGCTATTCCTTTTAATGGCTTTACCCTAATACAAAACAGTGTGCAAACCACTTGTGAAAATCTGGTTTATTTCCGATTCTTTGCTATTACAAAAACCAATGCAGTCAGCCTCAGCCTGTTTATCCTCTCATCTCGGTGCAGATACGCAACCGCGTGTGCAGGACAGGATGCAGGGACCCCTGCTGTGTGGACTGTGGCTCTGAGGAAGAACTCCCGGTGTGACAAGGAGGGTGTCCGCCACAGAGCACAGGGTGACGGTCCTTCCCATGATGTGCAAATCCACCCTGGCCGTCTTCTCACCGCAGCAGCACATCTGCCAAGGTCACGTTTTCAAGAGTTTCCATACCTCCAGTGCTGGCCGGAATTAATCATTTATGATATTTAATAAAACACACATCAAAAGCATCAGCCTTCTCATTGATGATGATTTTTTAATCATAACACGAGGTGGGGAGGATTCCTTAGATGTCTAAAGTAGCTCATTGATTGAAAAAGTTTGAGGCCGGGTGCAGTGGCTCATATCTGTAATCCCGACACTTTGGGAGGCCAAGGCGGGAGGATCGCTGGACTCCAGGAGTTTTAGACTGGTCAGGGCAATATGGCAAAATCCCATCCCTACAGAAAATATAAAAATTAGCCAGGCATGCCTGTAGTCCCAGCTCCTCAGGAGGCTGAGGTGGGAGGATTGGTTGAGCCCGGGAAGTTGAAGCTGCAGTGAGCCGTGGTCATGCCACTGCATTCCAGCCTGGGCAACAGAGCAAAACCCTGTCTCAAAAAACAGAGAGAAAAAGTTTGAGAAATAACTAATACGAAGGATCTGGATGCCTAATAACCATCTTACAGCTGGTCAAATAACATATTAGGAAAGGTCCCTTGTTACCACTGATTATGAAAATTGAAACAAGGTAATATACATTTGGAAGAACTTATCAATAACGTGGGCTCAAAACCCTGGAGCACATTGACCAAGATTAGCTATGGAGTTCTGTCTTTTGAGTATTTCTTGAAAGTGGCAGCATTTAAATGTTGGATACAGTTTTGTTCAGAGACAGCAGCACGAACTATACAACATCCTCGGGCTCCTCCTGTTTTCCGGGGTTTATACTTTCTATGGATTCCTGAACAATCAGATTTCTATCAGAATGTTAGCTTTTCCTGCATGCATAGGATTCATGCTGTATATCCACTAAGATTGGCTGTTTAGAGAAGACAGCACCACACTATTTCTTACCCACTCTTTCTTGTCTTCCTCTCCTTTTATTTTTCTTGAGATGGAGTCTCGCTTTGTCTCCCAGGCTGGAGTGCAGTGGAGTGATCTCAACTCACGGCAACCTCTACCTCCTGGGTTCAAGTGATTCTCCTGCCTCAGCCTCCCACGTAGCTGGGATTACAGGTACCTGCCACCACGCCTGGCTCATTTGTATTTTTAGTAGAGATGGGGTTTCACCATGTGGGTCAGACTGGTCTCGAACTCCTGACCTCAAGTGATCCACCTGTCTCGGCCTCCCAAAGTGCTGGGATTACAGGCGTGAGCCACCATGCCCGGCCCTCTCCTCTTTCTTAACACCTGAACTCCTTGTCCACAGTTATTCTGTGTCTTGCTAACTGAAATGAATATTGCATTGAAGGAGTTAAGCTGACGATAACGACGTAGATGGGGAAACATGATTTGGAGGTGACAGGAGTGTGAGCCTGCAGAAGCCGACAGATGGACACGGCATTCAGGTGTGGAGAATATCTGCAACATGTCCCGAAATGCAAATGCAAAAATCCAGGCAGCCTCTCCCCCCAGACAGTCGCAGGGAAGTGGGGAAGCAAGCTGGATGCTAACAGAAAATCCTTCCCAACGCTCTCTTCAGGCTGTGAGCACACTTGCGAGAAGGAAGTGGGTCAGGACAAAGCTGCTGCCTCCCGCGGATTCATTGTGACAAAAATAGCCCTAAGGATCCCGTTGCATTGTGTGCACCTCACTATTCTTCCCACAGGACCCCGGGAGCCACAGCCCCCAGAAAGCTCCTACATGTGAGATGCTGGTCAGTCCACACAATACATCAAAATGGGAGTCACCTCAGCCCCCAAGGATTTCAAATGGGACTCTCTAGGGTTTGGAGGGGGTATTTTTTGTCTTGTATTGTTCGGGGTTTTGCTTGGCTTGGCTTTCAAAATGGCATGCGGTGTTGGTTGACTGCACCAGAATCCACATTTTACCTACATCAGGTCAAAGGTCCCAGAGACCAAATAAGGAGACCAAAACGAATCCAAACAAAGCAGACCAAATAGGAATCCTTTGTCCATTGAGAAACTTCTAGAAGATGCTTATTGAACAGCCAGATTTATCTAGCTACTCCTGATAAAGTCATCTAAAGAGGAAGACTGCCAAGGAAATTAGTTGTCTCTCCAAAGACAGAGCGCCCATATCCTGTCACCCTTGCCTGCTCCAGGGCTAGTTGCCATGGACTCAGGGTAGAAAGGATGAAGACGGGCCAGGCGCGGTGGCTCACACCTGTAATCCCAGTGCTTTGGGAGGCCGAGGTGGGTGGATCGCCTGAGGTCAGGAGCTCGAGACCAGCCTGGCCAACATGGTGAAACTCCGCCTCTACTAAAAATACAAAAATTAGCCAGGTGTGGTGGCAGGTGCCTGTAACCCCAGCTACTCGCGAGGCTGAGGCAGGAGACTCGCTTGAACCCAGGCGGCGGAGGCTGCAGTGAGCCGAAATTGCACCACTGCACTCCAGCCTGGGCGACAAAGTGAGACTTGGTCTCAAAAAAAAAAAAAAGACAAAGCTCATGGAATAACTAAGATGCAGAGAGTCCCAAGATGAGCCAGAGACTTTCCCAGAATTGGTCATTCCCTTCTTTATGGAAACAGAGCCTCCTGGGTTGTAAGAGGAACACCTGGCTAGTGCCTGCAGCCACAATCTCGCTTGCAGCCTGGTGCGGGGACACACAGGGAGGCGAGCAGCTCCCTGGAATCCTCCTTTAAGGAGGAGCTGGTCCGCCCTGCACCCTCTATTTCCCTTCCCCCTTCCTGCTGGTGTAATGCCCATGGGTGCTGGTGAACAGCTACCACAGGAGGGCGAGAGCGGCACACTAGGGAATGGAGGGGCAACAACACGGCGGGAACCTGGTTCCCTGGACAGCCTCGTAGAGCAGAAGCACCTGCCAGCCCTGGCCGACATACCTCTGTATGTTACAGGCGGGGAAAACAATAAAGTCAGATGTTTCTGTCCTTGTCCTGTGGTGTCTCCTTCAGCAGCTTTGCCTGTATCCTCACTGAAATACAGGAAAATGCAAGAACAGCCCTGGATCCCGCTGCTCACTCCCAGGAGAGTGGAAAGAGTTGTGGGCCTGTCTGTGCTGGCTGGCTGCATGTGACTCGGGGTCTCCGCCGGGTCTCGCTTCATTTCTGAGCCATCAGCATGCGTGTGACTCCCCCACCCAGGCCCAGCTGCATGGCCGCAATGCCTCAGCCCCTCATGTTTATGAAAATCTGTCAGATTGTTGGCTGCTCCTACAACGACACCAGTATTATGTCAAAATAATTCTGAAAAGAATTTAAATATAAAAAATAAAAGAGGTTCTCAAAGGGTGAGCTGGGGACCCCTGGAGGTCCCCAAGACCATTTTGTGGGATGTTAGACGTTTTTTTCACTCTCCTTCTTCCAGGAGTGCAGCAGAGTTTTCTAGAGCCCACGTGACCTGAGATAACACCACAGACACAGAGATGAAATCCAGTTGTCTTTGATGATGCCAGACATGAAGGAGGCATGCACACATCAGAAACAACGCCACTCTTCTAATACTTTTGCTTTGGAAAGTATAATTAGTTTTCATGAGAAAGATGTTATTTGTGATAACATGCAAAGGTATCATTATCGTTATTTTTAAACAAATATTTTTAAAACTGTCAGCGTTAAATTCTAACAAGGTAGGTGATATGTTCTCCATGAACTAAAGCTCTTTGGGATCTCCAATAATTTCTACAACTGTAAAAGGGTCCCAGGACCCAAAGTTTGAGAAGTGCCAGTCTACATACACCTAGGGATCCAGAAACCCTTTGATTCGATGTACTCTGCTTATAATACCACCACTACCAACCTCCATATACACATATGCACATAAACACACGCATACACACACACACACACACCATATACATGCACACAAACACACACGCATATACATACGCACCATATACACACATGAACACATACACACATAAATATACACGCATACACACACATTCACACACATATTTACACCTTATACATACAGACACACATGCATGTATATACATATGTACCATAAACACATAAATACATATAAACACACACATACACACACATTCACACCTTATACACGTGCACATACACATATGCATGCATTACACATGCACCATATACATATACATAAACACACATATAAATACATGTAAGCACATACATACACATATATACACATACATATACACAGCACTAGAACAGCACATACACCCATGCGTGTATACATCACACACATACATGTACATACACACCACCCACATAAACACACACATACACCCATGCATGCATACACATATACACATACATACTCATGAATACATGTCTACACACACACACACACACACAATCAGTCATTTCTGACTCTTCTTTATCACAGGTGCAGATCTTGGTCCAGAGGATCCCCATGAGATGCCCCAGGGACAGGCACTGTCAGCCTCATCACATGGTCATCCCCTGGAAGGACAGCATGGCATGGGTGCAGGTATTTAAATGGTGGTAGCTGCTCTGATGAGAATGGTAGGTGACTATTCTAGTGCTTTCATTCATACTCCCTTGCTCCTGCCTCCCCGTTTTCTCATTAAGGCACTGACGGGATGCACAGACCCATGCCAGGGGCAAAGCCATTTCTGCTTCCTTCTGCTAAGCCTTTTGTTCAGAATGGTATCTGGCACAGCCCCCAGGGACTTTTCCAGACTTCCCTGTGGAGCACTAGGAGACAGGGGAAAGGAGAAAACACCCAGTGCTTAAAACTCGGCCTGACCACAGCCCATTGTCATAGCTTTGTACCCTCCAGCAAATAGATCCTTTATTAAGCCACCTGGGGACCAACTACAAAAACGATAGATTAGACACAAAGACAACCCTAATACCTTTCTTTTTTTTATTATTATTATACTTTAAGTTCTAGGGTACATATGCACAACGTGCAGGTTTGTTACACATGTATACATGTGCCATGTTGGTGTGCTGCACCCATTAACTCATCATTTACATTAGGTATATCTCCTAAAGCTATCCCTCCCCTCTGCCCCCGCCCCACGACAGTCCCTGGTGTGTGACGTTCCACACCCTGTGTCCAAGTGTTCTCAATGTTCAGTTCTCACCTATGAGTGAGAACATGTGATGTTTGGTTTTTTGTCCTTGCCATAGTTTGCTGAGAATGCTGGTTTCCAGCTTCATCCATGTCCCTACGAAGGACATGAACTCATCCTTTTTATGGCTGCATAGTATTCCATGTTGTATATGTGCAACATTTTCTTAATCCCGTCTATCATTGATGAACATTTGGGTTGATTCCAAGTCTTTGCTATTGTGAATAGTGCCACAATAAACATACGTGTGCATGTGTCTTTATAGCAGCATGATTTATAATCCTTTGGGTGTATACCCAGTAATGGGATGGCTGGGTCAAATGGTATTTCTAGTTCTAGATCCCTGAGGAATCACCACACTGTCTTCCACAATGGTTGTAAACTACTTAAACCCTAATACCTTTCAATAGGCTTCCGGCCGGGTCCTTGCTTTCTGACCACGGCAGAAGCACACTATGAAAGTTTAAATGAGAAACTCAGTTTTCTAACATTAAAAACTCACCTTCTAAAAGATCTCCTAAGTAAACAGGAAATAGACATTTCAATTGCAGATGTAAGAAAAACAATTACAGAATACTAAAACTTATAGGATATGCTGTTGCTCATAAACATTTGTATCACCCTAAATGAGTTTAATATTTAAAAAAAGAAAGCTCAGAGAAAAATGAAAGACATATTTAAGTCAAGAATTGACTTAATATATCAAAATCATATCATATACCAAAATCGTATACACACCTACATATCTCTAAGGAATATACTACTATAAAATGAGGTATACATGCAAATAAGAAAAATAATTGAAGTAAAAAGGAGAAAGACATTGAAATAAACAAATCAATGAGTAAAGAAACCAAAAGAATTTATAAATATATTTAAGAAATACACGATGTTCAACTTTCAAATAATGTATTAAAGCAGGAAGAGAACCAAACGCTTCTCTGCAGCACACGTGAAGCCCGCTGTAGGTTTCCACGTTCTTTAGGAAGACTGAATAAGGTTCTCAGTATTATCCAAATGAATAGAGAGAACACCCTTTAGTATTCAAAAGTCCCATGAGATTATCTGACAAAAGAAGTTTTAAGTTTCACCTTAAAAATACATGCACGAGGGTAATAAAAATATGTAAAGAGAAGAGTAATGAGGAGGGGTCACTTCCCCTCATTTTCCCCTAGGGTCTCGTATAGAGCTTAGCACATTGTAGATGCCAAATAAAGGTTGTTGAATGAATAAAAGAGGTACTCGAATTACCAAAATAAGTAGCTATTATAAAATTAAAGCAATGTATTATTGATGTAGTGGTAAAAAAATATTGGAATTGAGTCGAAAATTCAGAAACTAAGTATGGAAATATATTTACATGTGTCACCATTTGAAATTGAGATAATACTTTTGAAATAATAGAACAACAATTTGGGAAAAATTCAAATTATATTTCCTGTAACTACAACAACATTACACCAAATTTTTTTTTAGTATTTTAAACATAAAGAATAAAATTGTTAAAACATTAGAAAAAGATATAGTTACTAGAAGACTTTATATTCAGGACACTGGAGGCAGAACTAATATGGGAAAAAATGGATTGACTTAACTCCATGCAAAATAAAATATATTCTGTAACAAAAAGACCTTAAACAAAATAAAGTGACAAAGAAAACTGGGAAAATGACTTATGATGCATAGTAGCTTTGTTAAATCAGTAAGAAAAAATAAACGCTTCAGTAGAAAAATGGGCAAAAGTCAAGCAAATGATTCAAAAGTAGAAAAGCCAATAATTTATAAACAAATGAAAAGATGTTCATCCTCTTTACTGAGCAAAGCCTTGCAAATTAAAAGATGCCATAAGCACTGGGAAAAATGGAAAAAATACAGTTAAGAACCAATGTTAAGAGGCTGTGAGGCAGGTGGAGTTCATATACACGGCCAGTGAGGGTTCAGATTGATTCATCCTTCTCGAGGGCATCTGACAATTCGAACATGAAGCTTTAGTAATGCTCTAACTCTTTGACCCCAGCAATTCTGCTCGGGAATAATCCCACAAGCTCATAACAGCTGCGTGTACAGTAATACCCTTTATATTTAGAGAAGAAAAAAGAAAGAAAGCAACCTGAACACCTACTAGTGAGAGATTCATTTGATAAACTACAGAAATTGTATTATGGAATACATTAAAGCCATCTAAAATAATGGCATATAGTTGTCTGTTAATTGGCATGGAATAAGGTTTATAATATATAATATCAAGTGGAAATATTATAAAAGAGAATGGTGACATGAACCCATGTTGGTAAAAATGATAAATCTATGTAGACATGCACAATAGAAATCTAGAAATGTTATCAGATGACAGCTGTATTCTCTATGCTGCAATTTTCCATGCAAATACATATTACCTTAGGAATGAGAAAAAAAATCACCAAAATAAACACCTTTACTTTTCATTCTTTGTCTTTTGGACATGAAGTTTGGAAGATGGTGGTTATATCTACGGGGGACTGTGGCTGAAATTCTGATGGGCACGTGGTTTCCAGGCCGTATATCTGAGGAAACCAGGTGCCGGGGCACACTTCCCGCATGCAGGGGAACCCAAAGAGGATGGGGAAGGACAGGTGCCGGGGAGGAAAGGGCTACACATGGTCCAGGGTGCACAGGCCCAGTTCAGGCTGCTGGGGCCTGTCCTGTGTCTGGAGATTACAAGGACAGCAGAAGGAACGTGCCTTCGGAAGAACATATTCTAAGGACCATGGGAAGATTCTTAGATAACTACGACAGTACTGAGGTGGCCTAATGAGAATTTTCATTAAAATATTTACAAGCTAGGCCAGGCGTGGTGGTTCACACCTATAATCTAGCACTTTGGTATGCCGAGGCAGGAGGATCACCTGAGGTCAGGAGTTTGAGACCAGCCTGGCCAACATGGCAAAACCCCATTGCTACTAAAATACAAAAATTAGCCAGGTGTGGTGGCAGGTGCCTGTAATCCCAGCTACTCTGGAGGCTGAGGCAGAAGAATCACTTGAACCCGGGAGGTAGAGGCTGCAGTGAACTGAGATCGCACCAGTGCACTCCAGTCTGGGCGACAGAGTGAGACTCTGTCTCAAAAACAAAAACAAAAACAAAATATTTACGAGCACCAAGACTTTCATATTCTCTGCAAAAATCTCCTCTGCTATTAGTGGAAAGCGTAAAAGTAGCTCATCCATTCTGGAGGGCAATCAGATGAGACTGTTTCTATACCAAGCATCGCCTTTATAGAAAAAACAGTCCACAGCATTGAACCTAGGAATTCTACTTAGAGGAATTGGTCCCAAGGAAATCCTCCAAGATGAGAGCACAGATTTCACTCAAAAGGATAAAAAATACATTGTCATTTTAAAAAATTATGTGCAAAGTAAACAGAAACACAGCAATGTTAATGTTATCTCTGGGTGAAGGAATTTTGAGTGATTTTTACTTTCTCCTTTTGTCTTATTTATATTTAAACAGTTTTTTTAATTTTATAAAGTAGTCGCTTTCTACCGAAAAACAACCCCTGTAGTGTAAGTAATTTAAAATCTTCTGTCAAATAATTCCATCTTTTAACGTGGTTTAGTTGGTTTTCCTTTCTGTTACCTTTATTTCCCATTGGTTCTTTTCTCTTTTTTTTCCCCTCCAGTTAGAAAAGCAGGAGCAGGAAGTGGGTGAGAAGAGCCGTCTGGCTTTAGATTTACAGAGCGTATCCATCAATGACTAAGGCGAGGGCTTGGCTGACTCACCCTTTTCCTGCCTCGCCTGCTGAGGGGTCCACTAAGCTCCCAGGAATCCATGGATGGTGCACCTGCGAAGGAGACACGTCCTCCTTGGGGGACACGTCTGTCTCATCTCTTGCTTTTTTTCTAATCAAATCCATTGGTTCTCAAACTGTAACGTGCCTTGGAACCCTCCCGAGAGTTTGTTAAAGCAGATCTTGGGGGCCTGCCTCCAGGGCTTCTGACTCAGCAGGTCTGAGGTGGGGCTGAGTCCGTGCTCCTAACCAGGTCCCAGGTGGCGGTGATGTGGCTGGCCAATCACACACACCCATCCACTTTGAGTGGATCTGAAGCTCTCGCACTTTGAGAGCACAGGTGTAAATCAGTGGAAGGTATTGGCTGCAGAGAAACCAGTCATTGTTGGAAGCTCACCCAAATGAATTTTAACCTTTCAGGCCAACAACAAAAACAGTAAGGATAATTTTAAAACTTTCGCCTCAATGAGGAGAGCAAAACAGAAAAACATTGCTACAGCAGCAAGTGTGCCAGTATCACGTCTCACTGGCCTTTATCTTGGCGAGGCAGGTTGGATAGAGACTTTCAAAGAGATTTGACACAGAAAAACATACACTAGCTCCCATCCCCGCAAATAATTCAAAACCAAAGCAATTCTAACATGTGGGGTAAGCCTAAGGAAGTCCGGCAAACCGCCAGCACCTGCCATGTTGACTTCTCTTCAATGCTCCTTTTGAAATACCAACTTCATAAAAATAAATTCCTGGCATCCCTGCTTTTCCGTCATGCATCCCAGGCGTGTTACTAGGTGGCCTATTGGGTAACACAGCCCCGGTCAGAGAGGAAATCTCCGCTGTGACTTACACAGCTCCGGAGAGAAATGCGCAAAGTGTGTTCGCCTGGCCTGAAGTCAGAGTCAGGTTTCTGGTGTCTCGCGTCCCGGAGTTGTGAAGGCTGCCTCAAGGTCAAAGCCCTCAACTTAATCTCTTGCTCAGTTGCAATCTAGGCTGGCACAGATAGTGGCCCCTCCTTGCCCCGCAGCCCTCCACACAGCGAGAGGCTGCCTTCCTGAGGGGACTGGCTTGCCTGTTGTCTGGTATAAAGCCGGACGGTGTTCATGTCCCATGGAGAATCTCCTACCAGATTTGGCCAGCAGAACTCGCTCCCCACCCAAGCTCCAGCCAGCTGCCGGTTCCGGCTGCTTGAACTTGGGCTGCCCTCTGTAGAGAGCCATGAAGGCAGCCTAGGCAGGGAGGCGTGATGTCGGGGAGAGGTGCCTACAAGATGCATGGGCCATACAAAGCCTTCTGCAGGGAGGCATGGAGCCGGGGAGAGTGCCTACAAGATGCATGGACCATACAGAGGCTTCTGCAGGGAAACCTGGGATCACAAAGAGGAGGGAAACAGCACCCCGGCCGGTAGTGTGGCCAGTGTGTACTGACTTCACACCCTGCAGGGCGTTCCCGGGACCTTCAGTGTTATCATTGCATTGTCGATGCCAGCCATTTTGCAGGGAAGGAGGCTACGCATCATCTAGACCTCTCTTCCCAAAAAAGTCCGACTTTTGGGAAGAGTCATACTTTTGGGAATCCATCCTCACGATTACCTTGGGAAGGAGACCCTACTTCCCGCTACAGAAGTCCGAAAGCTTCTCTCCTTTCCCACCCAGCTTAACCGAGGAATGGCAGCCGGTTTAGGCCTAGCCAGTGGGACAGTCTCAACTAGAGTTCTTGGGGATCAGGGTAGGAAACTGAGGACAGCTGGGAATTATTATGTTAACTGTAGCCACACGGAGCACGGGGCAAGACTATCTGCCCTACGGTTCCTGGTTCCAAATTCTGGACTTCTGACCTGCTGTTCATGTCCGTTCCCCTCCAACCCCACACCCCCACCCCTTAGCTGAAAATGGCTGAAGAGGGAGTTTCTGTGGCTTGCTACCAAGAAACCTGTCTGATACAGCGGGGTAAGGCAGTGTGCTCAGAGGGAAACGTGAGGAATCGAGAAGATGGAGCAATTCATACACCTATGGATGAAGAGGACTTTTAGAAACCTCTTGACAATGATTGTGCTCCCCTGGCTTTGGATGGTCAAATGTTCACCTCGACTTTGCTCTGTGGCCAGCGTGTCAGGCATTGGCAATAAAGAGGCTGGACTGAGGGCTGAGGGGACTTTGGAGTCAGGCTGCCAAGTTCCAGAAAACAGCTGCTGAGCCTTTTGAAGTTAGTATTTCATTACAGACCCAGGTGCAGTTGTCTCTGTCTGTTTGCCCCTAAATGTCTGAGTCAGCTCAAGGGATGGGCAGGGTGGGGAGGGAGCGGAAGGGGCCGCGTTTGGTCCTGGTCCTCCACCACGAAGTTCACTTCCCAGATGGCTGCATTGGAGAAATGGCTCTGCCTTCAGGATGCTGGTGCGCATTCTCCTTGCTATCCTCATGCTCTTTAGCCTATGAGCAGCAGGTCACCTGTGCTGAGACAACAGGGCAGGGCCGAGCAGCTGGAGCCAGCTCCTCAACCGCCCTTCAGCAGTCTGTGTCTCTCCTGCCTCTGACGACTGCAGACAGCTAAGATGGGAGAGTGGACGGGGAGAGGGGGGGCCCATCTCTGGAAGATGCCAATGTGTGACTGATCTGAGACAAATATAGGCCATCACATGGCAGGACATGCCCTGCGTTTCATAGCCTAAATCCCAAAGCCAAAGGGATTCTGTGCATGGTTTTGTTTTGATATCAAGGGACGAGACTCCCTCCTCAGCCCCCCAGAGGACCTGCCATGCGGGAGGCACAGGGCGAGCTGAGCGTGGCAGTTCTGGGAGTGTGTCCTCTACACCCTAATACGTCCTGCCTCTGTGCAGCCTTTATTGTGTCTCTGAAGGAAGCTACACCCGGTGGACACAGCAGAAGCCCCTTGGCCTAGAGTGACTTGCTGTCTCGGGGGGCTGAGGAAAAAACAGGGAAAGGTGACCCAGGACCATCCCAGATGCCACGGGGCACTGCAGGGAGGCTTGGGAGGCCTGTGGCTGCCCCTGATGTGTCTCTGGGCCTTGGTTTGAACGAGGCCCCAGGACCTCGCCTACCAATTCCTGAGGCTGGGGGAGGCAGCGTTCTTTATTCTTTCCCTGCCCCATGCTACTCCCCAGCTAGATAATTGTGCCCATAGATTGAACACCTCTTAAACCAGCAGAAATGTGGTCCCACCCACCAGGGGAGCACAGACCCTGTGAATGTGTGAACTCCACTGCGTGTGTCAGGGCTCCGGGCAGAAGACCTGCAGACAAGCAGACCCGTCGGAGACCAGAGGCCATGGCTCGGGATCCAGATGGTGGTTGTGGGGGGTCTCAAAATCAGCCAGAGCCCGGGAGCAGTGTGGGATAGGGAGCCGGCGAGCGTGCCATTGCAGACCACATGGGACCCCTATTCCCTGGAGACAGGAGCGAAGGAGAAGTAGGCTTACAGATGGCGCCAAGGGTCTGCGTTGAGATGATGAACAGACAAGAAAATCATGGCTGGAGGAGGCAGGGGTGGAATCCCAGCTGCAGGTGGGGCTGCAGCCGTGTGCAGCAGGGGCTGCTCTGACAGTCACTTTTATGGACCTACTTGGTCCTCTAGGCCCCATGACCAAGATGCCATAGTGTCCTTCTCTTACCAATGAGCCACTCAAATGTTACATCCTTGCCCAAGGTCACACGGCTAGCAGGTGGCAGGAGGCAGGATTTAGACTCAGTCTGTCCAGCTTGAGAATCTGTGTTCTAACAGCCCCTCTAAGCACACTTTTGGAGACGTGTGTGAGTTTCCTGCCATAACAAACCACCACAAACTAGGTGGTTTCAAACAGCAGAAATTTATTCTTGAGCAGATCTGGAGACCAGAAGTCTGAAACCATGGTGTCCACAGGGTCATGCCCTCTCCAAATGATCTAGGGGAGGGTCCTTGCTGCCTCTTTCAGGTTCTGGTGGCTCCAGGTGGCCCCAGCTCACGGCTGCATCACTCCAATCCCTGCCTCCATCTTCACACAGTCTTCTCCCTGCATCTCCGTGTCTCAAATCTCCTTCTCCTTTCTCCAGTTATGGATTTAGTGCCCACCCTAAACCCAGAATGATCACATCCCAAGATCCTTAACGTACTTACATCCACAAAGGCCCTATTTCCAAATAAGGAAGGTCACATTCACAGAACCAAGGATTAAGGACTTGGATGTACCTATTGGGTGGCACGATTCATTCAACTGCTTACAGGGGGTTTATTTATTAAGTTTTTTTGGGGAAAGAAAACGAGCTGTGGTAAACAGAGGAGGGACTGGGATCGAGAGAATAGGTCCAAGGGTTCGCGCAGGAGATATGGGGCCACAGGCGGAAGTGAAAGGATGGTGAGAATAAGCATTAACTTGGAGCCATATGGAGTGGAGAAGGACCATCAGGTGACCCTCCAGGTCTTCAGGGAAGAATGAGGGGGGCTGGGTGGAGCTTGGCCTGGGGGAGGAGGACCCACTGGGAAATGGGATTGTCAATCAGATGGGACTGGAATGACCCACAGAAGCAGAAAATGCTCAGCTGAGGTAGAAAAGCATGATTTTCTACTATGGCCAATCTGTTCCAAAGGAAAAAAAAATCTTTCCCACTGGTCCATGACATTTTGGAAATTCTCCACACAGAACTGTCTATTCTCTACATCAAACAAACCTACTATCCAATGGAATGAAAACATCAACCTTAAAAGAGAGGAAAACACATGTCCCACACAGAAGAAGTACACAAATGCTCATAGCAGTATTATTCACAATGGCCCAAAAATTGAAATAATCCAAGTGTCCATCAGAGAGAGGATGAATGGGTAAACAAAACACGGTCAATCCCCACGATGAAATATTATGCAGCCATGAAAAGGAAAGTATGGATTTATCTGCTGCATGAATGAATGCTGACACATTCTCTTAAGTGAAAGAAGTCAGTGATGAAGGACCCCACACTGTATGATTTACATGAGATGATGTCCAGAATAGAAAAATCTATAGACAGAAATTAGATTTGTGTTTGCCTAGGACTGAGGAGGGGAGTGTGGGGGCCGACTGTGAAAGCCATGGTTTTCTTTCTAGGGTGCTATGAATGATCTAAGATTGATGATGGTGATGATTGCATAATTCTGTAAACATACCAAAAGCCATGAAATTGCACACCTTCTATGGATGAATGTATGGTATGTGAATTATAGCTCAGGAAAGCTATTAAAAACATCAACCTAAACCTTTGTACATGGCTGGTAGGAATGTAAAAATGGTCCTGTTTCTGTGGAAAACAGTTTGGTGGTTCTTCAAAAAGTTAAAAATAGAATTATTATGTAAACCAGCAATTTTATTCATAGGTATATACCCTGAAAATTGAAAACAGATGTTCAAACCAATACGTGTACACATGCCACAGTAGAACAGTTCACAACAGCTGGAAGGTGAAGACAGCCCAAATGTCCATCCACGGATGCATAAAACACAAAGTATGATCTGTCCATATGAAGGAATATTATTCGGTCATGAAAAGGAATGAAGCTCTGACTGACTCTGCAACATGGATGAACCTCAAGAAACATCATGCTGAGTGAAAGATGCCAACACAAAAGGCCGCACGCTGTGTGATTCCATTTCTACGAGCTGTCCAGAAGAGGCAAACCCGGAGAGACAGAAAGCAGAGTGATTGCCAGGGGCCAGGGGAGGGAAGAATGGCAAGTGACTCATTATTGGGTGGAGGGTTTACCTTGGAGTGACGATGTTTTAGAACCGCAGAGAAGTGGTAGTTGCACGCACTGTGAATGTTCTACGTGTCACCGAGTGATACACTTTCAATGTTTAACTTTATGTTGTGTGAATTTCACCTCAATGAATTATTTAAAGAAAAATCAACCTGAAGATTGATAACTGTTCTGCTCCTGATTGGTGGCCTTGGCTATGCAAGCATCCTTTCTTTTCCCTACTTTCTCTTTAACCCTCATTTCTCCTTCCTGGAAAACTGGAATAACAATATTTTTGTGGGGATGGAAGGAGATCTTATGTATTAAATGCCTGATAAGCTTTCATAGACTTATAGTGGTAAGAGTTGTTTGTTTGCTTTTCCCCCATGCCTAGCAGTATTCAATAAATATCTGTGGGAATGAGTTAAATAGCTTAAGTTGATGTGAGAAGATGGTCTATTGGGTTTCCTGCAGGAGACGGGTGGCTCTCAGAGGGCAGATGGGCTGTGTCCCCCCAGAATTCATGTGTTGAAGGCCTGGCCCCCCATGTGATGGTATTAGCAGGTGAGGGCTTTGGGGGAGTGACTGGGGTGAGATGAGGCCAGGAGAGTGGGGGCCCCATGGTGGGATGGGAAGAGGAAAGTGCCTGACACTTCACCCACACACGCCGAAGATAGACAGTAAGGAGGCTGCCGTGTACACTCCAGGGATGGAGCCCTGATGAGGAACTGAATTGGCACCTTGATCTTGTATGATTGATCCTGTGCTGCCTCCAGAACTGGGAGCAGGAAAGGTCTGTTGGTGAAGTCACCTAGCCCATGGTATTTTACTGGAGCAGCATGAGCTCCCTAAGACAGATGGTTTCCCTGGAAAGGACTTAAGAGAGGGACTCTTGATCAAGGTGTGTGTGATGGTTAATACTGAGTGTCAACTTGATTGGATTGAAGGATACAAAGTATTGATCCTGGGTGTGTCTGTGAGGCTGTTGCCAAAGGAGATTCACATTTGAGTCAGTGGGCCGGGAAAGGCAGACCCACCCTCAATCTGGGTGGGCACGATCTAATCTGCTGCCTGCTCAGCTCAAATATAAGCAGGCAGAAAAATGTGAAAAGAGAGACCGGCCTAGCCTCCCAGCCTACACCTTTCTCCAGTGCTGGATGCTTCCTGGATGATCCCTTGAACTGGACTTGGACTTGGACTGGCTCTCCTTGCTCCTCAGCCTGCAGACGGCCTATTGTGGGACCTCGCCATCATACTTAATAAACTCCCCTTTATCTATATATCTATTCCATTAGTTCTGGCCCTCTAGAGAACCCTGTCTCATACAGTGTGGGTAGAGTTAAGAGAAACATAAGTGAATGGCGAGGCCCAGAGAGAACAGCCAAGTGGGTGTCGCTGCAATGGAACCAGTCTGATGGGGTCCAGGAGGAGCTGGGCAGCAGAAGCCTGCTCCGGAGAGCTGCAGCCTCGATGGAGGAGCCACAGCCCGCAGCAGCTGAAGCTGCAGGGAAGGGACGGCCCCCACCCTAGGCCTGGCCAGGAGGGACAGGGCGGAACCCGTGCCCTGGAAGCTCACTCTCTCCCCGTCCTCCAGTCTCCCTTGCTGGTACCACTCCGTTGGCCAAACTGGACCCAATCCAGAGGTCAGGGGGCCCTGAGACATGTGGTGTGTGGGGTCAGCCTTCTGGGGGCAGAGAGGAAGAGAGGGGATTGGAAGAGACAACGGGAGAAAGACCTACACTGAAGCCCCTCTCGGACCTACTCAGTGCTGAGGATGGGCCGCCGGTGGATGCACGAACCTCCTCTTCCTCTGTGCTTCCTCCACCTCCTTCTACACCCACAACACCGAACATGGACAGAGGCATCCAGGTGATGCTAAATCGTTGCTGCCACTTGAGTGCACTCGGCTGTGCTCAGAGCTGACCTGTGCCCTGGTCAGCAGGAACTGAAAGGTATTTCTAGGAACGGTGCACTCACCCCACACATCTTGCAGGCCTGCTCCTCGGTCAACGGTGGCCCAGAGGGACAGGTTTTTGCTGTTTTTCATGTCCTGGTGACCAGTCTTTCTTGTCTCTGCTGATCACAGGTGGAGCTACAACATAATTAGTAGGTGGAGTTGCCTCGGAAAACATTCCTGTGGTCAATTTTATTTTTTAAAGCTGGGAAATCCAGGTCTCTGGGTGGCCCCTGTGGTGTCCCTTGTGCTCTTCAGTTGGCTCAGAACTCGTCGTCTTTTTTAAGTAACTCAAGAAATTATGTGGGTCAGCTGCACAGGCGTACACAAAAACTCCAGTCTTGACAGCATCGCTGGACCATTTTTTTTTTTTGAGGTGGAGTTTCGCTCTTTCGCCCAGGCTGGAGTGCAGTGGTGCAATCTCGGCTCACGGCAACCTTCGTCTCCCGGGTTCAAGTGATTCTCCTGCCTCAGTGCCTCAGCCTCCCGAGTAGCTGGGATTACAAGCACCCGCCACCACGCCCGGCTAATTTTTGTATTTTTAGTAGAGACGGGGTTTCACCATGTTGGACAGGCTGGTCTTGAACTCCTGACCTCGTGATCCGCCCACCTCGGCCTCCCAAAGTGCTGGGATTACAGGCATGAGCCACCGTGCCCGGCTGCTGGACCCATTTTTAACAAGTCTTAGATTCGTGAAGGTTTCCTAAATGAAAATCTTAAAAAAAAAAAAAGTGTGTTTATATCTTTGCAGTCCTAGATCGTGAAATATTTCTCCAGAAATATCCTCTCAAGCTGAAATCCCCACGTCTCTGGTTTTACTTCTGTATACCTCCTAAGTATCGGAGCTTCAACTTCTTTGTCCATCTGCTGAAGCAGAGAATCTGCTCCATCCATGATGAAATGTAAAGCCTGCAGATGCATAAATCTCTTGAAAACAGGTGAGAGAAAGGCCAGGCAGCCATCCTCGGATAGACCACTGAACTTAACGAGCCCTGTGCTTCCTGGGCCCTTAATCTAAATAAGAAACATACCGAAAGCTATAAAAGCTACGGGCCTTTCTTTGAAATCTCAATTAAAACCAACACAAAACAAGAATGCTGAATGTCCCCATCCAGGACCATCTCTCAGGAATAAACCTTTAAAATCTCAGTAACTTGAATTAGAACCACTTCCCTCCACGCGCGTCTACAATTCTTCCGACGTTTACTGAAAAATAAATAAATCTTACAAACCGGGAAGGATGGGCTGAGAGAGAACACAATTACATCTACCATCTCAAAACCGTTTTTCAAATCTTTTCAGTCTTGGCGAAATGCCAAAACATGTTTTGACATGATTCTTCCCCCCCTAATTTATAACCTATGTGTATCTGCAAGGAAATTTAATCCTTATGTTTCTGATTCCTTTACACTTAACTCATCAAATGTTACTGTGGAAGAGCCATTTGATGTGAAGGGGCCTTAGAGCCTTTTTTATGAGGACTTTTAAACCTGTTCCCCCTTAGAAACAGGAAGCCAGGTTTTTCCAGGAGTAAACAAACTCAGCCCACAAAAAGTGTCCCTCGTCCGCCTGGAGACCAGATCCGGAGTCCTCCAGCGGCTCCCAAACTGTCAGCACATTTGACAAAATTGCAGTACAGCAGCATCTTTCAAGGAGAAGTTCCTCTGGTTAAAAATCAGCGTGCCGCAAAAGGCAGGGACGGGATCACTGTGGCAGGAAGGAGTTAATTATTCTATCTAGAATCAACTTCTGTTGCCATTTTATGAGAAAACAAAAGATGGGGCGTCCGGGGCAGGAGATGAAAGGAGGCCGTTTCCGCTCTTTCTCTTTGTGGATTTAGGGGCACCCTGTCCCGGGTGGTAAGAAAGGCCACAGGGTCCTATCCCCTTCTCTGATTGAGAGGCAGGGACTCACTTCCCTCTCCTTGAAGTTAGGTGGGCTACGTGACTGCTTTGTCAAAAGAGCATGGTGGTAATCCCAGCACTTTGGGAGGCCGAGGAGGGAGGATGGCTTGAGCCCAGGAGTTCAAGACCCCATCTCTACAAAAAATTTTAAAAATCAGTTGGGTACAGTGGCACATGCTTGTAGTCACAGCTACTTGGGAGGCTAAGCTGGGAGGATCCCTGAGCCTGGGAGGTTGGGGCTGCCTGGTGCAGTGGCTCATGCCTGTAATTGCACCACTTAGGGAGACTGAGGCAAGGGATCGCTTGAGTCCAGGAGTTTGAGACCAGCCTGGGCAACATAGGGAGGTCCCTTCTCTACAAAAAAAATTAAACATTAGCCAGGCATGGTGGCACACACCTATGGTCCCAGCTACTCAGGAGGATGAGTTGGCAGGATCACTTGAACCCAGGAGTCAGTGAGCTCTGATCACACCACAGCACTGTACCCTGGACAACTGAGCAAGACCCTGTCTCATAAAGAAAGAAAGAAAAAAAAAAAAACCAGCATGGCAGAGGGAGTGCCCTGGCCAGCCCCATTTTCTTTCTCTTAAAGAATGCTCTCTCTGGGCAGAGCCAATTGCCGTGTAAGAAGTTTAACTGCTCTTGATGAGTTAATGGGTGCAGCACACCAACATGGCACATGTATACATATGTAACAAACCTTCACGTGGTGCACATGTACCCTAAAACTTAAAGTATAATAATAATAAAATAAAATAAAAAATAAGTTTAACTACTCTGAGCCAGCCATGCTGTGAGGAAGCCCAAGCTACAGCCAGGTGAGGGGGCCCAAGAGGAGGCGACACCATGTGGGGTTTGGGGGAAAAGAGAGACCAAGGTGGCAGCAAGAGGCCAAGTTCATGAGTGAAATGAAAAGCAGAAGTGTATCCTCCAGCCCCAGCCACCCCAGCCATTGCCAAGGTGGCCAGAGACAAATGACCCAGCCAATGCCTGACAACATTCCTGACTTGCCAAATTGTGAGCTGAATATGAATAAAAGAGTCATTTGAGGAAGCTGAGTTTTGAGGTGTTTCACTGTGGAATAACAAAGAACCCGAACACCCTGAGTGAATCGACTCCCCTCCCCTGGCTGGTCTCCTGCCTAGTGAGGCAGCTGCTTTTGTGACAATTATATTCGTGTCTCAGTTGGTTGCAAGTAAGAGAAAACCCCACGGAACTGTCTCTAAAAAGTAATTTATGGACTGAAAAGCACAGGAGAGATTTTATCCAGGCACTGTTTGATTCGAGGTGTGTCATGTCACCATGGCTTAGTGTCGGAGTTTCTGAAAATAGCCCCACTCCAAGTGTTGACCTTCTCCTGGGATCGGGGGCCCTTGAAATAGTAAACATGGCAGAGGCCCTTTGAACCCGACGTCCTGTGCTGCGTGACCCAGAGGAAGAGAGGGTGTCTGTGCCCACCCATGCCTGAGCCTCACACTGATTGGGTTGGTTTCCGTCAATGCCCACCTTTGTGGATATCTCAAGGAAGTGAGCCAGTGGAGACGGGGTGGGGACAACATTGCCTCAGCTGCATGGATACCCAAAGAGAAAAGGGGTGAAATGAATATTAGGATGGCAACCTGCACATGCCCACTCATGAAACAGACACCATTTTAACACTTGCTCCGGAATAAGCAGATACTGCAAAGTCTGCCAGCCTTCCTTTCTTTTTTTTTTTTTTTGAGATGAAGTCTCACTCTGTCGCCCAGGCTGGAGTACAATGGTGTGATCTCAGCTCACTGCAACCTCTGCCTTCTGGGTTCAAGCAATTCTCTTGCCTCAGCCTCCTGAATAACTGGGATTACAGGTGCCCACCACCATGCCCAGCTAATTTTTGTATTTTTAGTGGATACGGGGTTTCACCATGTTGGTCAGGCTGGTCTCAAACTCCTGACCCCAAGTTATCTGCCCACTCAGCCTCCCAGAGTGCTGGGATTACAGGCGAAAGCCACTGCACCCGGCCTTCCTTTGCTTCCCCATCCCCTTCCCTTCCCTCCCCTCCCCACCCCTCCCCTTCCTTTCCCTCCTCTCTTCCTTTTCTTTCTTTTTATTTTTTGAGACAGGGTCTCCCTGTGTTGCCCAGGCTTGTCTTATTCAGGAATTATATAACTTGCTTTGTGTAGTAACAACAGGGCAATATTTGAAATGTTCAACAACTGATTTGGCATAGGGGTGTGGACAAATTCAAAAACACACCAGACAAAACAAACTGGAAGGGCTGCCCTGGTCCGTCCTGTCTGAAGATCAGCCTGCTTAGCAGTGCCGTGTGGCCATTTTCCCATGTTAATGACACGGTTCTACGTAATTACTTTAATGACTACATGTTACTCTATTTTAAGGATTTTCCATAATTGGCTTGAATAGTCAGCTTACCGGTATATATTTAGACTGTTCCCAATTTTCAATACAACATTTATTTGGAAGTGGAATTGCTGGGTCAAAGGACATGTATACTGCAAACGGCACTAGGTACACATCACACTTGTTCTCCAGAAAGGGTGAGCTACTTTATGGTTCCACTCTGTGATACAGGGAGTCCATTTCTCCATGCCTGAGCAAAATCCAGGTATTATCCGCTTTAAAAAAAAAAAAAAAAGTACCAAGCTGGCCAGGCGCGGTGGCTCACACCTGTAATCCTCGCACTTTGGGAGGCTGAAGCGGGCGGATCACTTGAGCTCAGGAGTTCAAAAGCAGCCTGGCCAACATGGTGAAACCCTGTCTCTACTGAAAATACAAACAAATTAGACGGGCATGATGGTGGACGCCTGTAATCCCAGCTACTTGGGAGGCTGAGGCGGGGGAATTGCTTAAACTGGGGAGGCAGAGGTTGCAGTGAGCCGAGATCATGCCACTGCACTCCAGCCTGGGCAACAGAGAGAGACTCTGTCTCAAAGAAAAAAAAAACGGGGAAACCTGTTAGGCACAAATAATCATTTTTTTATGCATGCACCCTTGGATTATTAGAAGTGAGCTTAAATAACTTTCCACAGGTTTATGGGTCACTAGCATTTCTTCTAATTTGAATTGCCTACTCATAGACCCAGACAAGAAACTTAAGTTTTTGTCTTTTAATTTTGTTTATGGAGATTTTGCAATTTTTTTTAAATTAACTGATTTCTTACATTACAGAATTTTACATTTTTATGTAGTGAAATTATGATTTTTAAAAAATGGCTTTAGCTTTGATGTCATGCTAAGAAGACATTTTCCTGATAAGTTTATAAAAAATGTTTACCTGTAATTTCTTTCTATTGAATGAAAACTTTAGATAACATTTTCCCCTAATTACTGTATTATTTTTATGTTTAAATGTTTTATCAATCCAACATGTATTTTGGTGAAAGGCATGAGGTGGGGATGGAATATTACTTTCCCCACATCTAAACTAAGCCTCAACAGTATTGACTGCGTAATCCATTCTTTCTTATTTATTTGAAATGCACTTGAGACTCTTTCTGGATTTCCTATTTTGTTCCATTATTTTGTCTGTTTTAACACTTGGCCCATGCTGTCTGTTTCTGCAGACTCACAGTGTACTTCACTGATAGATTATGTCCTTTCTTATCCCTGTTCCAGGGTTTTTTCCTTGACTACTGCTCAAATTTTATGGATTTAATATCATCTTGTGGAGTTCCACAGAAATACATATTTTAAAGTTGCAATTGCATTATGTTTAGGAATTAACTTGGGGATAATTGACATATTTACAGGCACATGACATGAGCTTCCAATTATTTGAGCCAATTATTTATGCTCTTCAGTAACATCTTCACATTGTCTTCCAAAAGGCTTGCACACCCCCTATGTTAATTTCTAGATAGTTTGTGCTTGTTGTAGGCATTGCATAAGTGATCTTAAATTTTCTTCATATTTTCAACTGGTTCCTGCTGGTGCATGAGGATGCTATTGGTTTTTGTAGCTATGTTTTGTCCTGGTCTCCTTATGAAAATCTCATCAATTCTATTTCCAGCTAAGTCACTTTTCAATGACAACAGCTGCAAATAATGACAGTTTCCAATGGTTTTACCTTCCTTTTTCTTTCCTCTTCTCTGACTTCAGGGTTAATCATGTTCCGGGTAGTGACCAGTAATCATAGATAGCCTTGTTTTGTCTCTGGTTTTAGTAAAAATGCTTTTAGTGTCCCATTATCTTGTATAACATTTGCTGGGTGTCTAATGATCCCACTCCTTGTTAGATGCTTCCTGGAGATTTGTCTTTACTTGGGCACATTCTTCCTTGACAAGAATTGAGACCATGGTAAACACATTCAGGGGACAGCCAGCAAGATGAAACCAAGTTATCTGGGCAACAGTTTTAAGAATAAAAAGAAAGATCCAGGGAGCACATATTACTCTCTGGATCCCCTGAGAGTTGGCAGGTTGGGTGTTCTGTGCCTCTTAGGAAAATATACCTGATATAGCAAATTAGTCCTGGGCATCTTGAACCCTACTCTGCACACAAATCACTGGGGCTCTTGCTAAAAGGCAGCTCCTGAGTCAGTAGGTTTGGGTGGTACCCCAAATTCTGCATTTGTGATAAGCTCCCATATATAAGTGGCTTTCCCATGGAAAAACAAGTAGACTTGCTCTGTGAAGCTCTATGTGGCAAAAGTAGAGATAATAATAGAAAATAGTTACAAGGAAGCAAATTTTAACTCAACATAAGAAATTGTTTTAATTGACAGCTAGTCCACTACAGGACACCCAGGAAGTGATGCCCAAGATGTGTTCATATAATTACAGCCAGGAGTAAGTGGGGTCGTTCTGAACTTCTGGTGGGTGGCCAAATAGATTCTTCACTCAAAGGGGTCAGGAGCACCAGAAGCATCGACATCAACTGGGAACTTATTACAAATGCAGAATTTGGGGTCCCACCCAGACCTAAGGAATCAGGAGCTGCCTTTTAGCAAGAGCCCCAGTGATTTGTGTGCACAGTAGGGTTTGAGACACCTGGGACTCATTTGCCACATCAGGTGTATTTTCCTAAGAGGCACAGAACACCCAACCTGCAACTCTCAGGGGATCCAGGCAGTGTTGGCTACTTGGCATAACAAGAATCCTGGGGGTGCAGTCGCTTAATGAGTGCTCACGAGGCTGGCTCTGTCTTGCTTACCTGCCATCTCAGAATTTTGGCTTTGGTGTTGGGCGTATTGCCTCGTGGTCACAAAATGGTTGCAATAGCTCCATATGTGATTCTCACACACCACATTGTGTGCAGAAGAAAAGGACAGGTTTCCTCATCATTTTTTTTTTTTATCATGAAGCAAAATCTTTTATTAGAACCTTCCTTCACTCCCACACGCACACCCTCATTTTTTTTTTGTCTCACTAGGAAAGCTCCCCTCACATCTCACTGACCAGACCGAGTGACATGCACGCCCCTGACCCAGAGGGATTATTTTACCTGATTTTTTTTTTTCTTGGCTCATCCCCTGGGACATGCGTGAAGCTTTTTGTCTTGGAAAGAATAAAGCTTTTAGAAGGTAGAGGTGAGTTAAAAATAAAAATACTACATTTCCAACTTCTTTTGATGCCTCCTTTCTATTGCATGGTTTTTTGCTCAGAGGCCCTCTGTTTACTCAAGAGATAAGATTCAGCTCAGAACATTGCTGTAGTATTGTGTTTTTTCTTTTAATTGAAAATGGTTACAATCATGACTGCCATGGAAGAATGTCAAATGTTATAATCGGCCGTGTTCTCTTGTTCTCATTGCTTTTGTTCTGTCTTCTTAGACCTGGGTCATCATGATAGCAAATCAGAATCACAACTTCTTCATGGCTATCTCATGTTCTCTTTACCCTGTGCCATGTGTGGAAAAGTAAGGTGGCACTTAGATTCCTAATACTTAAAGTCTCTTGGGGAAAAAAAAAGTTTTGCTGACCTAAAATGCTTCTGAGTTTAGTTCAAATTTGAGCCTTCTGCTGTGATCCTGGAATCCAAAGAAACCGAGGTGATATTGACCCAAGTTCAATAAGACTGTTTCAGATGAGCTGCAGGAAGAGAGGCAGTTCGCAGATGAATGATCTTATTCAGAGCCAACAACATCCAAGTGTTTTATGAGAGGCGAAAATAGTGCAGGGAGAGCATGGGAGGTAAACAGGTGCTGCTGCCCTGGGGGCAGGGGTGGAATGGGGAGGGCTGGGGTGGGGAGAGAGCTGCACCACCCCATGAGCTTGTCAGTTCTGATCAAAGTCAGCACCTGCAGCTCCCGATCACCATCGCCCCCTTGGAAAATGGGTGTTGATTCATCATGTCAAGGTCGATCACTTTGTAGTTCTGCCTAAAATACTTAAAACATTGTTAGGATAGGTTTTAGATGTTTTTTTAAGTGCAAGTATTCCCTAAAATGCCACAAATTGCATCCTTTGAGGACATCTGTTGCAAGAGACCACCTGGGAACATCCCATCCCATCTACAGAACCCCTGAAGCCCCCAGCATCTGGGAAGGAGATGGGCGTGTGGCAAGGGTTGCTGTTATGAATCCCTTCCTATAAACCAAAGGCCCCTGGAGGGCAGCCTGGTACCAAACAATGTATATAAAAACAGAAACATTCAGAAAGTCTTAGAATAACAAAGCGACAGGCACTGACTTTGGGGAAGTCCGGATGGGCTGCGGACATTGTGTGGGATCCAACAGTGTCATTTTCCTAGGAGTGTCCCCAATTACGACAGCTCACCTCGGCAGCTGAAACTTATTCTTTCAGATTTCAAACGTCTCCTTCCCTCCTCCCTCCAGCTTGGCCTTCACACTCTTAATAAAACATTAAAAAACACCCCACACTATGCTGCCTGCACGTGTTTCGCGAGCTTCCCTGAAGTCTGACCGTTTCTCTGCATTTCCATATTACAGCCATCTTTATCCATTTGCGTATAGAGGTGTCCGTGCATGAGGTCTGATTTCCTGGGAAGTCAGCTGTGATGTTATTGTGTTCAAAGGGAAAGACAGAGAATATTTTTCACTGCTGTAGAGGCTCTGTGCCTGCCTTTTAAACTTGAAAGATCAGTGGGTTTTCTGTGGAACCTGAACACAGTATTGGAAAAAGTGTTTCTGTAAGAAAAAAACTCATTTTCTTTAAAGAGCCCTACTCATTAGCTTACAGGATTTAACTTTCTTTGGGGGGAGGGACAAAAAACATAAAAATAGATCACTTTATTGAGCATTTGCTCTGCGCCAAGCAGCCTTCCAAGTACTTCACACAAATGGTTTTATTTAATCTCGTACCATCTCTCCTAGGGCTGTTGTGAGGAGTAGACGAATTAATAAACACAGAGAACTTAAAGCAATCGAGCATGTAATACTTGTTCAATAAGCATGAGCTATTTGTGAGTGACAGTCCAGTGAGATAGGTACCATTATCATGCCCATTTTACAGATGAAGAAACAGAGGCAGGAAAGTTCTGGTATCTTGCTCAAGGTGAAGCAATGTGTAAGTGGTTGAGTCAAACTAAAAACCAGCTCATAGAGAAGGCAAGATATAGTTCAGTCCTAAACGATGTTTATATCTGCACATCCTTTAAGTGTAAGATGCCAGTTTGCACTCCAATCTGTTATCGTTTTCTGTATTTCTTTCTCCTCCTTCTGAGAAAATAATCTAGAATGTAGGATAATATCTATGGCCTCAGGAATACTTCTTGATTTTTCTCTTCTGTTTCTCTGTCTTGAAACAGCATCCCCAAAGATGCTAGTGGAGAATTTAAAACTATGAGCTCTTGGAGCTGATTTTAATTTTGCTCGGGTAGCCCAAGGGTTAAGTTAAAGATACAGAGGCTGAGTTATCACGGGCAGGAGTGGATCCTCCTAAGTCACTCCTGTAAGACCCTTGCTGCATTCCCCCTTAGTGCTATCCGGATCACGTATTTTGACGTTGGATAAGGCCATTTGCATAATCTCCTCTGCCAATCCTCTTATAGTAAAAATGGGCACCCAGCGCCCAAGTGGTTAAGGGGCTGCTCCCAGTCACAGCTCCCCTTGCAACCTCCTCTTTGTTCACCTGGCCCTGAGGTCTGCCCTCCTCCCTCCTCTGTCCCTGGAGAGACCCACTTGCTTCCTGAGGTTAACCACAGCTCCAACTCTCACCATTTCAAACACCCGCCTGTGACCATGACCTCATCCCAAATTCTCTACAGACACCTCGATGGCAAATAATCCACACTGCACTCATCTTTGCTTCCCATCACACTGCCTGTCCTCTGTTGGTTTTCTCCTGTCTTGATGAATGTCACTTTGCCACCAAAGTCAGAAATGGTGTGGTCCTCCCTGACCATTCCTTCTTGCTCCCTCTCTACATAAAACCTAATCCTGGTTCTACCTTCTAAGGACCTCTCCATCCACCTGCTTCCCCCTAGCCCCACTGCTAGCACCCTCGCGACTGCTGCAAAAATGCAGGTTGCCACGGCCTCCTCCCTTGGGCTCCCCCACACTGGCCAAGTGGCTTTTGCTCTTTGCCATGCAACCTTGTTCCCCTTTTGCTTGGAATAAAGGTGCAGCAGTGCTGCTGTGAAGATGAAATGATTTAGTCAAGTCCTGAGAAACCAGAGACGTGGGAAAGCCTCGTGGTCAGAGGTGCAGGTCTGGAGTCCCACAGCCCAGGTTTGCATGCCAGACTCTCTGCTTGCTGCCTGTGTGACCTTGGGTAAGTGACACAACTTCTCTGTGCTCCAAATTCCTCGTCTGTAATATTATGAGCATGAGAGCAGTACCACCAAAGTTTGTCAGAGGATTGAATTAATGCATGTAAAGTGGTCAGCTATTGTTCATTCATTCATTCATTTATTCAACAATTGCTTACTGAATTGGGGGTTCCAGATCTGTTATCAGACCACCCAGTTCCTGTTCTGGGTCTTTTAGTTGTCATGTGACCCTGGGAATTTACTTAACCTCTCTGTGTCAGGGTCTTCACATGTAAAGTGGGGCTGATGACAGTACCTCCCTGAATGCGTTGAGGATTCACTGAGATAGTCCCAGCAGCCTGTTCAGCACACAGCAAGTGGTCTCAAGGCTGTGCTGCTACGATTACTATTATCACAGCCATTGCTATTATTGTAGTTATTCTTACTACGTCCAAAGCCCTCTGCAAGGTGTGGGCTTACATAGGGGATCATGAGCCAGACCCAGTCTGGGTCCCGATGGAATGTTTTGATGCTCTGTTGATAACTTCTCTTGCCTTCTATATGACCCTGCAGCTTCCCCTTGCTATGACCTCACATAGGCTGAATCTTCTGCCTTGTATGCATTTAGGGGCCCTGTGGAAATACATCTACTTTTGGGCCTCCTGCCCTGATGCCTCACAGAGGCGCATATAAGATGTGCCATGCAGGTCTCTCCTGTCCACTGCAAAACCACACACAGACCAGGTACCAGTTCTGTTTCTCGGCCTTAGCATGTGGTGGGTGGTGATTGGCTGGAGGCTGGAGGAAGGAAGGGAGGGATGAATGGATGTAGATCTTGGACAATCTACTTCTTTGGGCTTCTTCTATGACTCCACCACTGCCATGCAAAACAGGTTGCCATTTTTCTAAAACTAAGGCCGTGGGGTACAGATGCTGAGAAATCTCCAAATTAATGCTGTCAACAATTCCTTTGGAAACCCTGTACTGAGCTAAAGAGAATCTAAGGACTAGTGATATGTGTTTGCCTTTCTTTCTTTCTTTTTTTCTTTCTTTTTCTTTCTTTCCTTCCTTCCTTCGTTCCTTCCTTCACTAGTGATGTGTTTGCCTTTCTCCTTCCTTCCTTCCTTCACTAGTGATGTGTTTGGCTGTCTTTCTTTCTTTCTCCTTCTTTCTTTCCTTCCTTCCTTCCTTCTTTCTTTCCTCCCTTCCTTCCTTCTTTCCTTCCTTCACTAGTGATGTGTTTGCCTGTCTTTCTTTCTTTCCTTCTTTCCTTCCTTCCTTCACTAGTGATGTTTGCCTGTCTTTCTTTCTCCTTGCTTCTTTCCTCCCTCCCTCCCTCTCTCCCTCCCTTCTTTCCTTTCTTTTTTTCCCCAGCTTTCTGACTTAAGGCCTTGATGCTTCTCCTAAAACTCACTGTCTGTATGTGAGGGAGGGTCAGATTTCAGCTTAGTAGAGAGAGAGAGAGAGAGAGAGAGAGGAAGAGAGAGAGAGAGGGAGAGGAAGACCTTGGAGCATTTTGCTTGGAAGCTCTACAGCTGCTCCTTGCACTGCTCACTGTTAAACTCACCCAGCTGCGCCCAACCCAGCCACATGTCACAATCCCTTCACATTCGTAAACAAGATCAGTCATTTCTGGGATGGATCCACAGTGAGACACATTCAGGGATAACTAACAACAAAGGCTCTTAGGTATGTTGTTGAATATGACTTTCCTTGGGACCACATTTTCGAGCCTACACACCTGAGCATGGGCAGGTCTGAAGCTGCTGTAGTCCAGGAATTTTAGAACCAAATGTCTTTGTGTTATATCTAGCCTTGTGGCTCACAGCAGCATCCGGACAATGTTACCCTTCTGGACTTTTTGAAAGTTCTATTCCAAATATGTTATTTTCATTTTCCCTAAGAGTGACAAAAAGGAAACGCTATACCCATACATGCACAGAGACATCAATATTTCTATGTAGTCTTTTGGGGGACTAGGCGAAAACAATCAACAAAGAAATTTTATTTGGGGGCATTTCTGAAGCTTTTCTGCCTTCTTTTTTAATGCACTGAAAGCTCTTTGGGATCTTGCATTCTTTTACTTTGCCTACCTAGCTGGTGTTTCCTCCGTTTGTCAAACTTGATCCCAAACCACCGATCTGCCTGCTCCTGTGCCCTGCAAATATTCACGGCCAAGTGCAGTAGCCCCTCAAAGCCAATGTAAGCCTGTTTCCAGCCCTAGTGTTGATGGGTGATCTTATGTTTACCAGGCTGAAGTTCTGAACACCCTCTTCAGAAAACAGACTGCACTAGCTCCAGGCTCTCCTCCTCGTTGGTAAGCGTGTCATCCATGCTCCAAGTTTTCCAGAGCTCCTTGTTTAACTTGGAGCTGGACAAAAGCATGGCCCCAGGGGCAGCTTGGCTTGCTTTATATTAATAGAGTCCTCACCACAGTAGGACTGCACTGTGCCCTTGCTTCCTTCTGGCTGGAACTTGAGTGTAGCTGTGCCTTTGACCAGCAGACCTGGGGCAGTTCTTTACAGCTACCCAGTTCTAACAGGAAACCCTGGAGAAGAACCAAGTACCATGAAGTTCCAAAGCTGCTTAACTTCCTCTTAAGGATTCGCCACCCTTAGCAGGTATTTTATCCCGTCCAGGTCTATAATCTGTTTTGTAAATGTCTTCATAGTTCAGAGTCACTGCAAAGCCAGCACACTTTGGGCTGATGTATACAGCTCTGTCTAGGTACCATTTGAGCCTAGCAGGTCAATTGAATACAGATGATTTAATTCTCCTAATCGGTTGGCTCTACTCTCTGAATATATTAAAACTGGCTAATCCAGGCTCATGAGTGGGTCCACGCTTAGTGGTGAGGCTCTCCTTGGTGATGTGTGTCTACAACTAAGCCCTCATGTCCAGCTACCAACAGTCACAGAAACGACTTCCAACTTCACACATTGCCTGACTGCAGTTCCTCAGAAACTCACAAGTGAATGATTCTTCCAATCTTGGAATCCTCTGATCTGCAATTTTATACAGATAACCAGTACTCTCTGGCTAGAAGCACAACCCCAGAATTTGCTTAAAAAGCAAAGGGAGAAAGTGTCCTGTAGTCTCTCCACACACAGAGAAGGGAAACCTCACCATGAACCAGGGACTAGCAGCAAACTAAAGAACATATTTTATTTTTAATAAAATAGTGGAGCATGAAAAATATCATATATTACAAATATACACACGCAGAAACCACTCTTTCCTGGCACTGTGAAGAGAATACACTAGACAAAGTGTCTCTGCCAACCTAGTGCTTCCTGATCTGTTTGTGGAAATCATTTGTTTAACAATAGAAAGAGTCAATAAGCCCTTTGGGTAACTTTTGAATGATCCTTCTCCCTCTTCCCCCCTCCTTTCCACAAATCAGTCCAAACGTCTATAACATTGGCTTGGTTTCCATTAAAAAGCCACAAAATGTAGCACTGAAGGGTTTCTGAGGGCTGGGCCTCTTAGTTCTTTTGTTAGGAGATTTCTTTTGTTGTCTTTATATATAGCAAAATACTTGTTTCTCTTTTTATTTTCAAGGAAAGAGAAAAAAATGTATTGCACATCGTTTGAGTTCACAAATGTGAGGTTTGATGGAGGTTTCTGTCTTGCAGAGAGACTATTGGTGAAGGCCGGAGTCTATTTTAAGCAACTCCAAATCCACTGGGGTGTGAGGCGGGCCCCGGGTCCTGTCTTTCCTCTGCAGGGATGCCGCCCAGCACTGTGGCCTTCCTGGGGGTGGGCCCTGGGGATGGCTCATTTGTTAACCCAGGGGAGGCTCTTGAATTTGCAAAGCAGTTATCTGTCCTCTTATTTGTAAATGGGTAGCAAAGCCAACTCAAATACACAGATGTATATTTAGGGAGGGCTCTAAACAAAAGTTTTCTTCTGAGGGCTGAATCAACTACTTTACCACAAATTAGTTACACAAGAGGCTACTTCACTGGAGGAGCTTCCCTTCGCTGGAAAACCAAAACAAAACAAAACCCTTTAAGTACATTTTTCCTTTCAGTGTATCACAGCATCCTGAATTTCAGGGTAAACACTTTTTTATGTATTTCTCTTTTGCTTTTATAAAAAAAAAAAAAGAAGAAGAAGAAAGAAAAACACAACCAAGAAAAGCACCACATCTTAGCTCCGGGCGCCCCTGTGCCCTTCCCTCCAGCCCTGTTCACACGCAGGTGGGCGACTGGGCAGGGATCTCATATTTCCCGTGGTGAGTTTTCTGGGGATGCTGGGCTTTTTTGTAAATCCCACCGCTGGTGATCACGCTGGCCGGTTTTCTCCGGCTCTTCTTCTTTAACCTACGGCTGCACACCTGCTGCCAGGACTGCAGAGTCTTGGAGGTCCAAATCCACATCCCGCTGGTGATCCCCACCACCAGCAGCATAAAGATCTTCACCATGAAGATCTCCACGGCGGGGATGGAGGCGGCCATCAGGCAGTCCAGCGTTTTAGTCTGGTTGTTCATTTTGCACTTGTGCTGCGCCGCCAGGATCTTCCAGTAATCCATGTTGAGGCGTTCGTAAAAGTAGCAGGCGATCACACAGGTGGCCGGCACGGTGTACAGCACAGAGAAGAGCCCGATACGCACCATGAGCTTCTCCAGCTTGTCCGTGTTCTCGCCGCCCGTCTTCATCACCCTCCGGATGTGGAACAGGGCCACGAAGCCCGAGAGGATGAAGGACGTGCCGATGACCAGGTAGCAGGCCAGGGGAATGAGCACGAAGCCGGTGAGCGCGTTGACGTCCATGCTGCCCACGTAGCAGACCCCGGTGAGCTCGTCCCCCGCCACCCTGCGCATGACCAGGATCAGGATGGTCTTCACCGCCGGGATGGCCCAGGCTGCCAGGTGGAAGTAGCTGCTGTTGGCTTCGATGGCCTCGTGGCCCCACTTCTTGCCGGCGGCCAGGAACCAGGTGAGCGTGAGGACCACCCACCACAGCGAGCTGGCCATGCCGAAGTAGTAGAGGACCAGGAAGACCAGCGTGCAGCCGGTGCTCTCCAGTCCCTCCTGGATGACATAGAGCTGGCCGCTGTCCCGGTCGCAGGCGATGCTCTCGGCGCCGGCGAAGAGGCGGATGAGGTAGCCCACGGAGTAGACGCAGTAGCACATGGAGAGGAAGATGATGGGGCGCTCGGGGTAGCGGAAGCGGGCCGGGTCGATGAGGAAGGTGAGCACGGTGAAGGCGCTGGAGAAGAAGCACAGCACCGCCCAGATGGCCAGCCAGACCACTGCGAAGCGCTTGTCCTCGCGGCTCCAGTACACGTCCACGCCGGGCGTGCAGAGCGGCGCGCACGACGCGCTCTTCTCCACGTGGTGGAACTTGCCCGGGTTGTCGCAGCCGCCGCGCCCGGGGCCCCCGTCCTTCAGCGGGTGCTCCTGCGCGCTGTGGGGCCGCTGCGGCCGGAACAGCGGCGGGAACAGGCCCGAGCCCCGGGTGGGCTCGTCCGAGCCGTTGTTGGGCGCCTCCATGCACAGGTAGTTGGGGTCGTTCTTGTTGGGGAGTTTCCGGCAGTCCAGGGAGTCGGGCCACTTGAAGTTGAACTGCTCCATAATCGGGGAGCACTTGAGCCGGGCCTGCTCGCACATGACCCGGCAGGCGGGGATGGGGGTAGAGACCTGCTCGGTGCACATCGGCGCGTACAGCGAGCACAGGAAGAAGCGGAGGTGGCCGTGGCAGCCGTACTCCACCAGCGGCGCGAACTCGTGCAACTGGATGGCTGCCTCGCGCTGGTTCTCGTGGCCCATCAGGTTGGGCATACGAGTCATGTTGTAGCCGATGTCCTTGCACATCGGGATCTCGATGGGCTGGCATTTGCCGTCGCCCGGGCGCTCCATGTCCATGGAGCTGATGGCGGCGCACGAGCCCATCACCTGCAGGACCAGCCACAGGCGGGGGCCCGGGCGCTGCATGCTGGCGTTGGACGTGTCCTCGCGGGGAGCTCCGCGCCCCTCAGCGCCGCCGCTCCCGGGCACGGGCTGCTGCTGGCCCCGGCTCTCCACCCCTGCTCGGGCCCCCGCCCATGCCCGCCCGGCCTGGCCCGAGCGCTGCGCACAGCGCCCCCGGCTCGGCTCTCCGCGCCCGGCGTCCGCCGAGTTGGGGGCCGCGGCGGAGAGCAGCAAAGTTTGCAAACAATACCGGGAAGCGAGGGAAGCCCCCGGAGCTCCCGGCGCAGCGGCCCGGCGCGAGCTCCAACTCACGGCCGCGGCAAACTTCGGCCTCTTCTTGGAGCGCCCAGGTGGCGCGTCTGGAGCGGGCTGGCGGCGCGGGCACACCGAGGCCGGCCCAGCTCGCGGCGCCCCCACAGCCCGGGCGGCTCCTCCCTCCCTGCGCCGGCCTCGGCCGGGACCAGCCGGCAGCTGTTTCGAGGTTTGCGTCCCGGGATGAGAAGACTCGCAAAAAGGCAAAGGGGGGCAGAAAAGCCGAGCGCTGACAGGCCCCGCCCCCGGGCCGCGCGCCCCGCCCCGCCGCTGCTTTGCATGAGAAAGCGCAGCGGCCCGGGGCAGCCTCCTCCCCGCCGCCCCGCCGCGGGCTCCCGGGCCCCGCGGGGGCCGATCCCCCCCGGCCTGCAGCCCAGCCTGCGGGGGGCGCAGCGCCTAGTCCCGCCCGCGTCGCCCGCCAGCCCCGGGACAGCCCGCCTGGCGCGCGGGGCTCTGCGCGCTGCGACCCTCCCCGGCAGTCCCGCCCGCCTCTCCTCGCCCTCTCTCTGCCTGGCCTCCAACTTTGCCTCTCGCTATCCTCTCCGCCGGCGCCCCCTTTCCCGGCGGTCCCCGGGATGGTCCCCGGCACCCCGAGGACGCCGAGGTTACGGGAAGTTCGGGGACTGGCGGGAGAAGGGGTTTGGGGGTGGTCCGCGGCGAGGGGCGCGGGGTGCATCTTCTCTTCCTTTTATGGTGAGTCCCGGGCGGAGGGCGCTTTCAAAGGGAGGTGGGATTTGCGTTTTATAGCCTGGGCCATAAAGTAGGCCCTTGCTTGTAAACCTGCCCGCATCTTCCTGAGGCTGGGGAGGTGCTACCAGCCCCGGGCTCCGGGCTCCGAGGAGGGATTTTCTTTGAAATTTCAAAGAGACGAGCTAAGGGGAGGGGGAGGGGCTCGAGAATCCGGATTTTAGGGCCGCTCATCCGAGGTCTCCTCTAAGAAGGCGGGAAGGGGGAGGGGCGGGAAGCGTCCCGGGACTTTGAACACCGCCTCCCACCCCGCGGGAAGTGCGGGCTTGGTTTGTACCGCGGTGACCCCCGCCCCCTCCGAAGCCGCAGAGCCGGGGCCTCGCGCCAGCAGGGCTGGAGATGCCTTCTTGGCGGCTGAGTTTATTTATTATAGGAAGTCATTCGCTCGTGGGGTATTTATGTGATTTGGCGAGTGATGTGCCCGGCCAGCGCCCTCCTTGGCTGCAGCCCCGCAGGAGGACCCGGAGTAGGGTGGGATGGAGTGGGTCGTGGGAGGAGCGCGTCAGCGCCTGCCCGGGGACCCCCAGCTCCCGCGAGGACACGGAGGCGCGCACGCCGCTCGGTTTTCCTGGAAAGTGGAGAAGGAGCGTCCTGGGCAGGTCCTCTGAGCTCATCCCCCCTCGGATTGGGGCGGGTCTGTGACGGGGTCACTTAGGACACGACGTCCCCCCGCCATTCCCTTCCCCCGCCCAGGGCGTTCGCGGTGGGCGCCCACCGCCAAGCCCCACTGTTCCCAAGGATGCGCCAGGTGCTTCCCGTAGCGTCCTGGGTTGACCCTTAAAAAAACAGCACCCCTAGGAGGTGGCCGGCCCTCTCCTCCCAGGGTCTCTCCGGGTCACGATCTTCCAAAGTTCGGAAACTCGCAGGATCGCGTGTGCAATCTCCCGCTACCTCCCGGGGGGCCGGGGAGAGGTCAGAGGAGCGAGTCCCGCGTCCACCGGCCTCGCTTGCCCCCTGCCCGTTTGAGGATAGTTCCAGGGAGCAGGGTGGAGTGTGCGGACATCTTTGGAGGCAGTGCTGGGGCTTCCCGCGTTGGCGGCGCTCCACCCGGCGTGGGGGGCGGCTGCACGGGCCCCCGCGGTGGGGACGCTGCGCACGGGGCAAGGTCTCCCTAGGAAGCGCCCGGGAAGGAGATGGGGCCCGCCAGGAACCCCCCTCACTGACCAGCTTTCTGCACGCCGTGCAGGAGGGGGCCACTTCCTCGGAGAGTATTGGCTTTTAATTAAAACAAGCCCTACAATTTTTACATCGGTAAGAAACTTGGGGAAATCTCACCTTTCCACTCATTCATTCATCCGTTCAACAGACATTTGAGCGCCCAGAATCCCAGAATTAATAGGCAGGTTCAGGCACCCACCCCTGGGTCGCTGTCCCTGGGTGTCCTGGGTCTCACTAGGAGGTGCTGGAGGAAGTCGGGGTGAGGGAGAAAGTGAAAAAGAAGGTAGAAACTCCGGGCAGTTAGAACACCACCTTCAACTGTGTTATTTCCCAAGTGAAAAGTTGCATGATTTTATTTTTGAAAGACTGCCATTTTTATTATAGTGTTTTTTTTTTTGTTGTTGTTGTTTTTTGTCTAGTGAGTAATTTTTCAGGACCTTTAAATTAAAATTAATTCAGCGGAAATCACTTGGCTTTTCTAGAATTTTCCTGGCAAAGGTCCTTCCTGGGCCCTATTTTCCTTCTTTTCCTTTTTGTGTCTCTCCCTCAGCAACTATTAGAAATATTTAGTGCAAGAGTGAGAGCCAAACGCCGGGAGCTGGGTGTGAGCTATTTGAGAAAGTGCCTCCTAATTGATCTTTTCTGTGCTGTTTTAATTCAGCCACGTTCAGGCCCATTATTTTAGCTATAACCACTTCAGATTGCCTTTTTCTCTCGTTTTTTATAAAAATGTCTGCAGAAGTGCTTCGCCCTGTCCAGCTGAGATGGAAACCAACAAATAGACTTTATTATAGAGAAATGAGGGTTCTGAGAAATCAGCAACTGGAAGATAAGTCTGTAACTAATAAATGAAAAGGCTCTTTTGATGGCCCCAGCTGAAAAGATATTTTATTTTATTTTTTTTCCTGTGTGTGGGATTTGAGATGTGTGAGTCTAAGGAGCAGCCGGGGTCCCCCGCTGCTCAGCCCTGGCTGGCAACCGACCCCCCTCTGGCAAATGTTATGGAGAATTGGGAGGAATTTTATGGCTGTCTTTCCCTCAGCTCTTTTTTCTTTTGTCTTCTTTGAAGAATGACTTTAGACATTTTATTTACATATTTAACCATGGATGAAAGACGGAAAAGAAAGCTTTGGAGCCGTCGTGGGAATAGTGATATGTTTAAATTAATGGAAATCTTATTAGGCTTCTAAAATTTTGAGCAAAGATTTTTAATGAAACTTTATAATTAAACATGATTTCACATAACGTGCAGAGACAAGGAATATGTTTTTACCCCCAACCACCTAAAAATGTCTGTCTATCGGAAAGCTATCAGTAAACATTATCCGCCTTCAGGTTCTTGCAAACGTTCACCAGGGAAAGTATGAGGTTTTTGAGAGAGAATATTTCAGGAGTCAGGCAGTGTTTTGAACAAGAACTAAATATTTTTTGGAGGTGGAGGGGAATTGAAAGAGAGGCCCAGTTTCATTCCATTTAAACTCACAAAGTCAAAAGTATAAAAGTACTTTGACACGGATATTGCTAAAAATCAAAGTTGTATCTTTTCTTATTATGTAATAGTCAATGGAAATTATAAGCACTGTGCGAGGTTTTCTGAAATGGGATTAGAGAAAACCCAAATAATCTCTTTAAGATAAAAAAGTACTGAGTCTTTCAGCAACAGAAAGAAATTAAACCATAAGCTTAGCATGTTACAAGCTAATTGCAAGAGTAAACTGGTGGCATAGGAAGAAAGCTCATAAACAGAAGTAAAATCGTGCTGGTGAATGTTGAGATAAAAAGTGGTTCAGGCTGTCGCAACGCCTTTCAGTAGCTGCTGCTTGAATCACCTCTCTTGGTACATTCAAGTGTGAGGATCCACGTAAGTGATTCTTGTGTTTCTTCTCTTGTCTTCTCGTGTCGTCAATGTTTGTATTTAGTCCGGGACATTTCCAATTCTACCTTCAAGTATGAGAATGAAAACTGATCTATTTACCAATAATTGCTTCACATGCAGGGAAGTCTGATGTGAATAGACCTTGTTTTCTCTGACCTCATCTAGTATCAAGTTTCTGCAGAAACTTATCAGATATAAAACATGCACAAAAAATTATGTTTTCTGATCAAGTAGGCATGCTCCCCGTGGCGTGCCCCCATCTTTTTCTCCAGGGAAAATACCTTTAGTGATCTGAAGTGATACTTAGCAAAGAAAACACAGTTTGTACCACCAGAAAGGCCATGCAAGTCGCAGCGAATTCAACAGGCGCAAAAGTTTTAATTCTGCCTAAAAACACTGGCTGTGAGATGTGGAGGTTTGGGGGAAGGTGAGAAATGAACCCCGAAGCACCCCCATCCTAAAGTGGATGAGTGGGGTGTCCAGTGTGGCTCCAGCACAATTTAGGCAGCTATTTTAAGGCCACTTCCCTTGAAATGTGGTTTGAAATATTACCAAAGGTTCCACGGGGTGCACTAGTGTGAATTGCAAATCAGAGCATTGATTTAATCCTCTTTCAAGGCCGGGCTTTGGATCGCTGGCGTCGACTGGCTCCCCACTGCTCCTGGCTCAGGAGGGACCATTCAAGGGGGCAGCTTCCCGCCTCTATTCCCACACTCCAAAAAACAACACCGCAGACAGACACCCTCCAACTAAATTAGATTAAACTCCTTCTCTTCCACAGCGTATTAGCCTTTTTGCTGCCCAAGCCTCCTTACGCAGCCCCTCCTCATTTAAAGACACAGATTTCTTTTTCATCTCTGCAACTGCAACAACAACAAACACAATCATATATATATATATAGTGTGTGTATATATGTGTGTGTGTGTGTATATATATGTGTGTGTATATATGTGTGTGTATATATGTGTGTGTATATATGTGTGTGTATGTGTGTGTATATGTGTGTGTATATATATGTGTGTGTATATATGTGTGTATATATGTGTGTATATATGTGTGTGTATATATGTGTGTGTATATGTGTGTGTATATATGTGTGTGTGTATGTGTGTGTGTATATATGTGTGTGTATATATATGTGTGTGTGTATATATGTGTGTGTGTGTGTGTGTATATATATATATATATTTTTTTTTTAAAGAGATAAAGCCAGCCTTCTAAGTGCTCTTACATGGCAAGGACGTTATCTGTTTAAAATCCAGGAGGGCGTCGCCTACCTGTTCTGAAACTCAACAAATTAACCCTTAACCTGGGGCAAACCTAGAGCCTATTCACAGTGCTTCAACCTGCAATTCTGTACTGGACTGTTTTTGGAGGAATATATGAGAAAAGAAACATCACAGAATTCCAGAAACACGACACAAAAGAGTGTGTGCGTGTGTTGTTTTGGTTGGTGTTTGTATTCCAAACAGCTTGAGCGGACAGCTTATCGGAAGCGCGTGCCCATTCTGTGAGTTCAGACTTCATACCTGGTCTTCATTGCTTTGCTCCTTGTCCCCTCCCTTAGCTGTTTGGGATGTGCTGATTTAATTACTCCCCTTCCCATCTGTTTTCTTTCGGCTTCCCTCCTGCACCCTGGGACCCTTTTGCCTGTTCTGGGAGCTGAGTGGGTCAGCTCATCACAGGCCTGCGGCCCCTGCATGGGTGACAGAGGAGGCAAAGATGACACAGAGAAACTATCCCTTCAGGGACAGAGTGGGGACACCCACGAGCTTGGCTCTGCCTTACAAAGAAATGAGAAGGAACCCCGTTCCTGCTTTTCACCTTAGGTGAGCTCTGAATCTGCAGCCACTCACCAAACGCCTGAGCAGCCCCGCACCACAGTGATGATCTGGGGAGGAAACGACCCGGATGCCTGGGTCTGAATCCCCCTCTTCCACTTTCTAGCCCCATGACCTCAGATATGCCACTTCTAATTGCTCTGCCTCGGTTTTCTCATCTGCAAAATGGGACCAGCAGAGTTCCCGCTTCCCAAGGCACGATGAGGATGATGTCATAACACACTTGGAAGCGTTGATGGCAATACCAAGCACCAAATAAGTGCTCAGTGATGAGTAGCGGTTATTATTGTTGAAATGCAATATAAATGGAGGGAGAGAGCACAATAAGGAGAGGCACTGGAATGTGACATTTGTGGGGAGGAGTTTGGGGACATGTCAGTGTCAGGCACACAGTAATACAAGCTGATAATCAAGGCAAGCAAATAATCAAAAGGCTAACAAGAGCCGAGGCTGACTAAGCATTTGACAGGTGCTGCCTTAAGCCTTGATAGGAAGCAGCTCACTGCCTCCTCATAGGTACCCCAGGAAGCTGGTCCAGAGAAGATTTCCATTTCAGAGAGGAGCAACTGGGGCTGGGGAGTCCGAGTCACTAGACCCAGGCCACGGGGCTACTGGGGGTAGAGCCGACACCATTCCACTCCCCCAGGGGCTCAGCTGCCTACGCCTGGCCTCCTGCCTCTCCACGGAGATGCAAGCACAGTGGGTACTTGTGATGGAGCCTGACTTTCAGAATGGGACCCCGTTCTGCTGTCCTGTCTGGAGCCAGGCAAAGATCAAGTCTTGGTTTATGGCTTTGTTCAGGGGCTCCTGGCCTGGGGCGAGGCTGCCACTTTCCTGTCATGTTGATATTCCCCGTGATGGTGTCTGAAGGGATTCTTTGGAGCCACAAACAGGGAGGAAATGGCGGAAGAAGCAATGTGGGAGGTATTAATGTGTGTTGGTTTACCCATGTCCTCAGCTGTGTGACCCCAGGCAAGTTACTTAACCTCTCTGAGATTCTTTCTGTTTCCTCTGCTGTAAAATGGGAACAATGACACTTACTTGATCAGGTTCGGGGTAGGAATGAAGTGAGATAACTCAGTAAGCTCTGAGAACCGAGTTGGCACATAATGCTAGCCCTGTGGGATTCACTGGTCTGTAAACTTTCTGGTTAGTTGACTTTTCTTTGTTAAATTCATTTGTCTTCACTGGCCGGAAGCCAAGATGGCTTACTAATAGCATCACTTACGAGTCTTTCTCTTTTCTATAGGGCTGCCACACTTGTGTATCCCTTCTTCCTTGAATTTAACCAGGAGTGAGCAGTGGACAGCTTCTTCCCTATGAGAAGGAGGTGAAGCAGGACCTGAAATCCCGTGCTCAGCTCCCACATGCCCCGTGTCCAGGACAAGTCCTTTGCTGAATCAGCGGCAGACACCACCCGGAGCCCTGCGGGAGCCTTTCCCTGTTCTTCCAGCATGGATCTGAAACTCCCTTCCCACTTTCTGCAGCCTCCCAGAGATAGTTCAGGCTCCAGCCTCATGTGATAGCATGAAGAGAAACTGGTTCCAACAGCTGTGTGCTCTGCTGCCCTCATCCCAAACAACAGTTTAAATGCACAATTACGCTTTTCTCTAAGGCCCAAAATAGGATAGGAAAGATCGTTTTGCTATCCCTGAATGCCTGTCACCCTTGTTTCGTAAGGTAAGATTGGGAAGGGCTTGGCCATTGCCCTTGCAGCTGAGAAACCAACTTTAGGAATAAAGACACTCTCTCCATGTCTGACAAATGTCTGCCCATCTGCTGGCAGGTCAGTCTCTCTCTCTGAGATATAGATTATATATGTATACATATATATGTGTGTGTGTATATATAATACACATATATACATATATACACACACATTCACATATATAATATATATGTGTGTATATACTATACACATATATAATCTATATAGAGAGATATATAGGTTATATATATGTACACGTGTGTATGCATATTATTATACAGACATATACATACACACATATATATACACACAGACATATATATACACGCACACACATATATAATCTAATTATGGAGCTGCCCTTACAGCTCACGCATGTCATGCGCACACACGCAGGCACAGTCATTAGCTTTCAGAGCTGACACATCAGGAGGCTGCATCCCCCGCCTCCTCATGGCTGAACGATGTCTGCTCCTGGGTGACGCGTCCACTAGGCTGCCTCCTACTCAGGTTCCCCCTCCCCAGCCCCTTGTCTCGGAGCAGTCTTACTCTTATTTTGTTTGTGGTACTTTTTCTGCCCGTCGATGATCTTACTCATCTGCTTATGTATTTATTTTCTGTTCCTCCTCCAGCAGGAAGTCAGTCCCAGAATAGTTGTTCTGCTCCCTCCCTTCTAATAAGTGCTGCGCTGAGTGTGCTTGCTTTGCCAGATGGTTAAAACAGAGCAGGGGATAGAAGGACAGATGTCTTCACCCTCATGGAGTTCACCTTCCAGTAGGAGGAGGCGATAGGCCGGGGTCTGCACATGTGCGTGCTACAGCCTGTTCCACGGTGCGTGGCGTGCGGGGCAGGTGAGCGGCTCATGCCATCCAGAGAGCTAGGAAAGGGGGGCTGCAGTTTTAGCAAGATGGGCAGGGAAGGCCTGGATGAGAAGGAGACCACTGAGCAAAGACACCAGGAGTGGGTGCAGAGAGCTGAGGGCACTTCTAGAAGTGCCTGCTGGGATAATGGGGTGTCTGCCAGTGCCACGGCCCTGAAGTGCCACTATACCTGGGGTTTTTGAGGAAGAACAATGGGGCCAATGGCTGGAAGTCAGGACATAGGGGCCAGCGTCAGAAGGTAGCTGACAGAAGAGGTGTGTGGAGAGGAAGTGGGAGGGAAAGAAATCGGGCCATGATGGCGTCTATGGGCCTTTTGATTTTGACTCTGAGTGAAATGGGGAGCCACGGAGGGTTCTGGAGAGACGAGAGCCATGCTCTGACTTCAGTCTTCCCAGGACCCTTCTGGCTAGTGCATCAAGGACACATAGTGGCAGGGAAAGAGTGAAGCAGAGAAACAGTTAGGAGACAGCCACAGTGGTTCAGAGGAGATAGGCTGGTGGCTTGGACCCCGGAGGCAGAAGAGGCCACGGTCAGCAGGGATTGGATTCTGCTTAGAGGGCCACCAGGCAAGCCTGGGCCGGCTGTCCATTTTGACCATGGACCAAGGCTGTCCATTTTGATGGAAAACTCATTCTTCTTCTTCTTCTTTTTTTTTTTTTTTTTTTTTTTTTTTTGAGACAGAGTCTTGCCCTGTCACCAGGCTGGAGTGCAGTGGTGCGGTCTCAGCTCACTGCAACCTCTGCCTCCCAGGTTCAAGTGATTTCCCTGCCTCCCGAGTAGCCTGGACTACAGATGTGTGCCATCAAGCCCAGCTAATTTTTTTTTTTTTTTTTTTGTATTTCAGTAGAGACAGGATTTCACCATGTTGGCTAGGATGGTCTCGATCTCCTGACCTTGTGATCCGCCCCTCCCTCAGCCTCCCAAAGTGCTGGGATTACAGGCGTGAGCCACTGCACCCTGCCAGAAAACTCATTCTTCTACTCCATCCTACAGTTTTCCCTAAGAGAGAAACAATAAAACGCCACCACGACCAATGGCAAAAAGCTGGCACCCACTCCACGACTTTTCATATCTACACGTTTGTACAGCTTTATTTTTAAGCATTCTGAAATTCTATGCAGGAGAGACCCCAGCTAGGTTTAGGGAGTCCTAGGGTTTGTGGAGTAAATGAAGTTTCTCCCTAGAATTAGGGAGGGTAGAGACAGGCAGAGAACTGACAATCCTAACAGCTGCTGTCCTCAGAGCCACTGTTTCTGAGAGCTGCTCGCTGAGTGCTTCTAGCGAGTTAAATGGTGTTCGCCCAAAAGACCTGTTCACGTCCTGATCCTGGGAACCTGTGGCTGTGATCTTATTTGGAAAAAGCTCTACATTACGTCTTTGCAGAAGTAATCATGTTAAGGATCTTGAGAGGACGTGACCCTGAATTATCCGGCTGTGCTTGACATCCAATGACTGGTGATGTTGTAAGAGAAAGACGGAGGGAGATGTAAGATATGAGAGAAGGCCACGCCGAGACTGGAGTGATGTGGCCGTGAGCCGAGGAATGCCTGGAGCCACCAGAAGCTGGCAAAGGCAGAAGGAGCCTCCTCTGGACCCTGTGGTGGGTACGCAGCCTGGCAGATATATTCATTTTGGACTTCTGGCCTCCAGGGCTGTGAGAGAATACATTTCTGCAGTTTTAAGCCACGCAATCTGTGTCCCTGGGAAGCCCAAATAGGGCGAGACCTTTTGCCAAGTGGTCTCCAAGTGTCACGTCATCGAATCCTTCTCCCGGGCTTGTGCCATAGTCTTTCCACTTTAGAGAGGAGGAAACGGAGGCTCTGGGGCACAAAGCCAGTCAGTGGCGGGGCCTGACTTTCAACCCAGCCTGCATGGGGTCAGAGAACCCACTTTCCCCGTGGGGCCTGCGGCCTATGCTAAGGATGCTTGTTCATCTCTCCTGGGCCCGGGAGTGGTTCTTCTGGCCTAGAAGGCAAGAGAAGCCAGTCTTTCGGTTTCAAGGTTTCCCATTAGTGGAGTCAAGCAAAAATGGTGTGTTGCGCTTCTTCCTGAGCTCAGCCTGGGAGCACGGCCTTAACATGCTCAGTGGATCCCAAGACGGCAGCATGGCGGTGCCAGCCTGGCAGCCTTAGCTCCTTGCAGCTGTGCTTGTGAAGGGAGCAGTGAGTGGCTTCCCTCTGTGACCACCTTGGGTCCTAAGTTTCACTGGGGCTGGGATCCATGCGTCTTGCAATTGGCTAGGAATTTCCCGGGCTTTCCCTCCCTTCCCTGTTCAGGGCACTGGGTGTGAGGCATTGCATCCGTTCTTCTGCTCACCTGCTTCCCCCTAAGAGTGTGAGCTGTATAAAGGCAGGAACCAAACAGGAGCCTCCACGTGTTCCCAGTTCAAGGGCAGTGTCCCTTGTGTGTTTCTTCAATAATTCAGTGGATGACTTATTCTGCACGGACACTGCACACACTCGGCCCTGCCGTCTCCGGAGCTGGGAGGTGTGGAGCTGGCTCCTGACCTATTTACACACTGAGGAGGGATGTGGAAAACAGGAGGAGTCCCAGGGCTCCAATGCAAAGAGGAGCCTCTTCATTCCCTCTGCCGTGGCCGTGCAAGGGACAGCGCCTTGTGGGATTGTGTCCTCCACCCAATTATCCTTAGCATTAGTTTGCTAAGGATAATGGCCTCCAGCTCCACCCATGTCCCTGCAAAGGACATGATCTCATTCCTTTCTGTGTCTGCATAGTATTCCATGGTGTATATGTACCGCGTTTTCTTTATCGAGTCTATCATTGATGGGCGCTTCAGTTGATTCCATGTCTTTGCTACTGTGACTCGTGCTGCAATGAGCATTCGCGTGCATGCCTTTATGGTGGAATTATTTCTATTCCTTTGGGTGCATACCCAGTCATGGGATTGCTGGGTCAAATGGCATTTCTGCCTCTAGGTCTTTAAGGAATTGCCACGCTGTCTTCCACAATGCAAGCAAGACGTTATTGAAAGTGTAAAGGGGGCTGCTAATTACGCTGGGGCAGGCGGGGCAAACCAGGACCCTGCCAGGCGAGTCTAGGCCATGGCCCCACACCAGAAGATGAGGGCTGGAGACTCCTGGAGAGGAATCTGAGTGGCGAGACCACCTGCATTCATTATGTGTCAACTCTGCCAGGTGACAGTCCCCAGTGAGCCCATCAAACATGAACCTAGGTGCTGTTGGGAAGGTCTTTGGATGCCATTAACATCTACAATCAGTTGGTTTTCAGTAGAGGAGATTATCCTCAAGAATGTGGGCGGGCCTCATCCAGTGAGCTGAAAGGCCTTGAGAGCAGAACTAGGATTTTGGAGGAGGATGAAGTGTTGCCTCCGGACCGCAGCGTCACCTCTTGCCTGGGAATTTCCAGCTTCCTTTTCAGACTTCGGACTTGCCTCCAAGCTCCCTGAATCTTTTCATATATTTATGTCCTATTGCAGATTGTGTTTCTCTGGCTGGACTGTAACTGATGAGGAGGACTGAAATTCCAGGCTTGGTTGTATAGCATATAAGTGAGGTCATTTGGGTCTGGGGAGCTGGGGGGGGGGTCCTTCAGCTGCATGAGTGTGACCTGCACCAAGGTGCCTGGCTACCTGGGGCGAGGGGGCTGCCATCTAGCCCACACCCCACTCCTAGGCCGTGCACCCTGGCATGGGTCTATGTCTGGCTCAAGGAAGGGTTCCCTCCTCCCTCCAATGTGCACAGAGACCTTGAGATCCCATCCACCTAACCCTGTGCCCTCAGAAGCCTCCTCTGAGAGGGGGCACCTTTTCCTAATTCTCACAAAGGCTAGTGGCTACCTTGTAGATAGCCTTGGATGTGTTAGGACACTTTTCTGAACATCAGTTCCTTATCTGTAAGATGGGAGTTGTGTCCTCAATGGGTAATTAGAGATTATTCATGGGAAATCCTATCACGGTATCTACCACGGGGAGACTCACAAGTGCTGATCTTTGCTGGTGTTGCTGCATTTGTTATTGAATGCATTCGTTAGGAGTCTTGTTAGTAAGTGACAAAAATCCAACTCAAATTGGCTTACACTAAACAAGTTTCCTGCATCTGGGAGTATAAAGGGTGACGCTTTGGCAGAGGCTGGCTCTGGAAAACGAGGACGCACATTTGTGCCCCCACTTTCCTCTGTGCGGCGTCCTTCTCTTCAAGGCTTCCCCCAGTTTGGCAAACACGGCCCCAGCAATGTCAAGCTGAGAGCACCTTTTAAGAAAGACCCTTCCTTCCATGTGTTTTGGCAAAAGTCCCATGAAGCAGTATGAGTGGCCCGGTTTGGGTCATGGGCTCACCCCTAAACCAGCCGCTCTGGATGGATTAGTTCCAATTGGACAGGCCATGGTCTTGGACTCTTTGGGTGAGTGTGGGAGGGTGTGGGAGGGAAGATTCATTGAACCTCATCTCTACTACATGGTACAGCTCCCTGGAAGAAAGAGGGGCTCCATTACCAGAAGGAAACAAGGAATTTTATGGGGAACCACATTATCACTACCACAATCTACCATGCTATACATAAGAAATGCACCTTGGTCTTAATGCACGGTCTTGAGGGGGTGCAAGCTGAATCCAATTCCCAGCGTCTGGGTCAGTGTCCCTCATGGGGGAGCTGCCTCACTTAAGATTCCTTTGGATAGGTAAGGTAGAACACCAAGCTGCGCGGGATTATGAAAAGAAAGGGAGAAATTCACTGGCTCGCAGAATTGAAAAGCTGAGATCCAGCTGTACTTTTAAGCCTGAGCCATTCTCCAGCTCCTGGCCCTGCCTCTCGCTGTCTTGGCTTCACCCTTCACAGACTGCCCTGCAAGGACCGAGGTGGAGTCTCATTGGACTGGCTCAGGTCGTGTGCCTAGTTCTGAACCATCCACTGTTTCCAGAGGGATGGGGTATCCTGATTAGCCAGGAAGAAGTCAGACGTCTCTGAGCTAACTTTACTGAGAATTGGGTAGAGGAGGTCCCCCAAAAGTAAAGTTGGGCACTGCAGTTCAGGAGAAGGGTGATCACTGGTTGCTAAGCAACCATAAAGTAGCCAGCATCTCCTGTGGGTTGGGGTTTGCGCCTGTGAATGGACAAGTGGCACTCGGAAATTAAATGCAGTGCATCCAGTGCTCAAGCTCCTGGGCTTCGTCTGCTCCACACTTTTTCCTCTGCCCTTTGGGCTAAAGCCGTTGGGTTTGGGACAAGAGAAGGGGAGAGCTGGTACCTCTTCCCTTTTTTGCCCAGGAAAGTTGTTTCTCCATCATTTCATGGCTCAAAGTCATTAAATCTGAGTAATTCTTACAAACCAGATCCAGGAAGAATCTAGGAGTGGGCTCTCTGTAGATTAGAATGCTTCAGGCTGCAGGTAACAGAAGACTTGACTGGAAATGCCTTCAACAGAGAAGGGATGTATCATTTTCTAGAAGGAGAAATTCTGCAGCTGGGACGGTTCCAGGGTTGGTTTCTTTGGAAACTCAGAACTTCATCGAGGCTCTGGATTCATTTCTTCTTTCTGCTGTGCCATTTCCAGCCTGTTGACTTGGCCTGGGCCAGCTGTCCTCTCACGCTCATGATTGCTGCCTCTGCTCCTGCCATCACATACACAAGCAGTGCCTGTTCAGTGGAACAAAAGGAAATCAAAAAGAGGAATCACATTGTCCTGTGTCTCTACAATGTTTTTTTTTTTTTAAATCATGAAAACCGTTCCCAGAAACCCCACAACAGACTTTCTGTTTCATCTCATTGGCCAGAACAGTATCACAGGAGACTACTGGGATTGGCATAGACTAGCTAGGATGCACCCTTAGAGCCCGTGGAGGACGGCAGACATCTGAGCAGAGCTGGGCCTCAGCGGGCAGGGGATGACAGGGACTGGCAGGCATCCTTTTGGTCACTCAGAGGACTTCCTTCAATCCACCCAGGGCTGGTTGGCATCATAAACTCAGGATGGCAGCACTTGGATGGCTGTGGTTGCTTTGTCTCCAGTGAGTGCCCCAGGAAACCATCTCTTCTGGTCGCCACACGGCTATTTGGTGAGCTGCTTGCTGGGGTGAGCTGCTGCTGAATGGGTGTGGTTGAAACTGGAAGGGTGAGGTCCCAAAGCCACTGTCTGCCCCTGGGTGACTGCAACAGGTAGCCCCCCCACCAACTTCCAGGCAAATCCGTGGGAAATGGAACAAGGTATCAAGGGGAACAGGGGAGTCAGGCCACCAGGGCCCCACTGAGGAAGGCACCTGTTGCACCATATTTTGACGTCTTGAATGTGTATCCACTGGCCCAGGGAGTGGCTTAATTACCAGTGTAATAGCAGGTCCACTTACAGCTTCAGGTTTCGTAGAGGAAAAAGCATCATTGCAAAATGCTTTTGATGTGGTTAAGCGGTGAGGCCACAGTGAATTTTAAGTGCTTGGTAAAGCGCATGGAAAAAGAAAAGCACAAGTCATACTTGGTAAAGGACATTTCCCTTCCTAGATGCCAGGTGTGAAAGGATGCCAGGAATATTCTCTGCTCTTTCCTCCTGCTTCCTGAAGGACTGAGTCCACACTAACTATTATCAAACAAACAAACTTCCAGGGGAAAAGACTGCAGAACCTATACATTCTTTATAATTGGAATCACAGCTATACATTCTTTATAATCAGAATAACAGCTCTACATTCTTTATCATCGCAGCTATACGTTCTTTATAATCAGAAAGTGCTTTCTGGCCAGGCACGGTGGCTCATGCCTGTAATCCCAGAACTTTGGGAGGCCAAGCCAGGTGGATCACCAGAGTTTAGGAGTTCGAGACCCTCTGGCCAACATGGCAAAACCCCGTCTCTACTAAAAATACAAAAAAAAAAAAAAAAAGCCCAGTGTGGTAGCAGGCGCCGGTAATCCCAGCTACTCAGGAGGCTGAGGCAGGAGAATCGCTTGAACTCAGGAGGCGGAGGTTGCCGTGAGCCAAGATCACATCACTGCATTCTAACCTGGGCAACAACAGTGAGACTCCATCTCAAAAAAAGAGAAAAGTGCTTTCTGCTGTCTTACTGAGGTCCCTGCTGCTCTGCTAACTCCTTCTCAAGCTGAGAGGTAAAGCAGGTGCTTTACTTCTGTGTGGTCATGTGTTGGGTGCCTGCTACATCAAAACGCTCTTCCATATGCAGAGAAAATCAGAAGGAAGGGAGCACTGAGTGGCTAGTGGGCAAAGGGGAGAGACAGCGAGACCAACACATGCCACAGAGCTGCCTTTTATATGAATTCAAATTCTGGGATTTCGGACTAGGGCAATATGACAAATATTCATGGACTTTCACTAGACCAAAATTGGAATAAATGCTACACACACCCCAATTTTTAAAATTAGTAAAAACATGTGACTTTAAAGCAGGCTGCCTACGTTGATAATAAACCACATTTTCCCTAACGTGAAAAGTCAGTGCCATTCGAGCTTGTCGACAGAAATACAGAACAATTCCTCAGTGATGTGTGCTTCTTTGCAAAAATCAGCCTTGAATTATGCAGGTTTGAAATAGGCAAAATCTTCCTAAACAAATACTTTGCATACAATACCTCCAACCTCTATTCCAGTATAATGTTTAAACTCTGTGCTAGATGTCCACTTAGTTCTTTCATTGATGTGAAGCTATTTCATTAGGAGTCAGCAACTATGCCCTGTGATCTGACCCAATGCCTGTTTTTGTAAATAAAGTTTTATTGGCACACAGCCACACCCATTCATTTACAATTCGCAGATGGTCACTTTCTCACTCCAATGGAGTGGTGGCCACAGAAACCGTCTGGCCCAGATGTCTAAAACATTTATTATCTGGATCTTTATAGGAAATGTTTGCTGGCTTTAGAGCGAGGAGTTTCATCACTAGGATAAGCGACTCCATTTTCTTTTACCTATGGAGATTTCTCAGCCTTGCTGCACCTTATTGCTATAACTCTGTGACATATTGGTGGCCTCTACGCCACCTCTCAGCTGTCTGGCCTGAGAGCTCTGTCCAGACGGATTGACAGAGGCCAGTACCTGGTGAAGAAGGCAGCATCTGAGAGGAGCCAGGGATGCATTCATTCACCCTTTCATTCAGTCATTCAGCGAGGGTGCAGCACGCATCAGCTCTGTGCAGGCACTGTGTTAGGAACTGCAGATACAGCCACGGCCAGTAGAAAGGGCACCTGTTCTCCTTTTGTTTGTTTTTGTTTTTGTTTTTGAGACAGAGCCTCACTCTGTCTCCCAGGCTGGAGTGCAGTGGCACAATCTAGGCTCACTGCAACCTCCGCCTCCCAGGTTCAAGCAGTTCTCCCACCCCAACCTCCCAAAGGCTGGGATTACAGGCATGAATCATCGCGCTCAGCTGGCACCTGTTCTCACTAGGATAGATATCATAGCGGGGGAGACGTTGGATGGACAAATTGGCAAGGGGGATAAGTTCAGGCACTGCCGTGTGCTGTGGAGATAATAAAAGGAAAGTGGGACAGACAGTGGGGCGTGGGGAGGCTGCCTGCTTAGCTGAGGCGGTCAGGGCTGGCTCTGAGGAGGTGACGCATCCCTGAGAGCTGAAGGAGGAGAGCAAGGCAGCCAGGCAAAGGTCTGGCCGTGAGGCTCTGACTGTGCCTTCGTGCTGTTGTTCTTTGTCGATGCACTCACCCAGGAAGCACTTGTACCCCGTCATGGCGCTAGAATATTAACAAATCATGGTCCCTGTCACCATGCAGGAATTCAGAGTTGGCCTAACAGAATGCTTAGATTTCTTGGGTTTGAATCCTGGCTTCACTGCTCAGGAGCTGTGTGACTGTAGACAAGTTGATGAGCCTCTCTGAGTCTTGGTTTCCTTAACAGCAAAAGGGGGATAATAATTGTAGCTGCGTTATAAGGTTGTTATGAGGACTCTGTGAACAACAGCACGTAAAGGCTATAATACCCCACCACATACACAGGTTTTGCACCACAGCCCACAGGGGGCAGTTCACGTAGACCTCAGAGGTACAGTGACAGTGCAGAGCACGCGCTCAGATAACCCTGACTCAGAGGCGTAGAGGGAGTGCATGTGAGCCAAGCCCAGGACTGCACAGCAGGTGTTCCAGTGGAAGGTCTAGAACGCAAGGGGGGATTCGTTTTGCTGTGTGGGGCAGGAAAAGGTTATTTGGGAAGAACTCCCAGAAGAGGCAACATTTAACAGTCTGTAGATAGGTGGTTAGGAATTCCTCAGCCTGAGCAAAGGTGGTGGGGGTGCCAGGTGAGGGAACGGTATGCACAAAGGCGCGGTGTCTTGAAGCTTCGTGGCACCCCTAGGGAGGGAAGAGGATCTGCAGGGGTGCCATTGGTGTGTGGCAAGATCAGATGCGGGTCCCAAAGATTACACTGGTAGCTTTGGGAGGAGAGGAGGTGAAGGTGGAGAGAAGGCCGAGAAGCCACGTGGGTATCACTGAAACAGTTCTGGCCAACAAGGGTGATGGCAACGACTTTGGAAATGAAGAAAGAAAAGAATGATGAAGAAAAAAAGATGCATCAATCCAGTCGGGCCAGCCCTGCTCAGAGCCTGCTGCAAACAGCCCTGTTTGTGTTGGCTGGTCTGTGCCTCTATTGGTCAGGGTAACTCACCTGCATTTAGCTTGAAGCAAGAACCTAAGGCCAAGTCCTTTTTTCTGACCTCTAATGCAAATGCCCCATATAGATGTAGCATTTTCTGACTTTCCTTAGAAGCTAGAATGATGCTGGGCCCAAATCTGTACCCTTGGATGTTTCGAACTCTCAGCCATGGGCCCTTCACCAAAACTGTAATGTTAATCAACTTCGCACTTCCAACATCCCTCTCCTTTAAGACCCCCACTAATCAGCGAGTTCTCCCAGCATGGCCAGAAGTCCCAGGCATTCAAGGGACATTTGAAAATGTTCTCCACCTGGTAGGTGAGATTCAGGTTTGGTGAATGGAGTTCTGGTGTGAGCCGGGTGCCCCGCCTGCTGGATCTGATGGTATCTCTGGCTGGCCTGTGTGATGGCCCCGGCAGTCGCTCAGCACCTGAAATGTGGCCGGCCCAAATGGAGATGCGAGGCGGGGAGAAACAGTAATCTTCATATGGATCCTGCATTGAAATGAGCATCGTTTGGATCATCGAGTTAAATAAAATGTTATCACAATTCATTTTACATGCTTCTCTTTACTTTTTTTTTTTTTTTTTTTTTGAAACAGAGTCTCACTCTGTCGCCCAGGCTGGAGTGCAGTGGCACCATCTCGGCTCACTGCAAGCTCCGCCTCCCGGGTTCATGCCATCCTCCTGCCTCAGACTCCCGAGTACCTGGGACTACAGGCGCCCGCCACCATGCCCGGCTAATTTTTTTGTATTTTTAGTAGAGACGGGGTTTCACTGTGTTAGCCAGGATGGTCTCGATCTCCTGACCTCATGATCCGCCCGCCTCAGCCTCCCAAAGTGCTGGGATTATAGGCGTGAGCCACCGCTTCCGGCCGCTTCTCTTTACTTTTTAAAAGTAGCTACCAGAAAATTTAAAATCACATTTGTGGTTCACATTATATTTCTAGTAGACTGTGCTGATCTAGATAAATGGTCCATATTCTTTTTTTCTTTTTCTTTGAGATGGAGTCTCACTCTGTAGCCCAAGCTAGAGTGCAGTGGCGCAATCTCGGCTCACTGCAACCTCTGCCTCCCGGGCTCAAGTGATTCTCATGCCTCATCCTCCCGAGTAGCTGGTATTACAGGCGCACACCACCATGCGCACCCAATTTTTTGTATTTTAGTAGAGACGGGGTTTCACCGTGTTACCCAGAGTGGACTCGAACTCCTGAGCTCAGGCCATCAGCCTCCCAAAGTGCTGGGATTACAGACATGAGCCACTGTGCCCGGCCCCATATTCATTTCTTTAGGACTGAATCTACTCCACACCTGCTGCATTTGGACTGTGCAGTGTTTTAAAGACATTTGAATCTGTCAGTGAACTTTAAAACATCGTCATATTTCACATGAAAACCAGAGCTTTCAGCTTCTCAAAAAATATCCTTCTGGGCATAGGTCTGGCTCAGGCGAGTAGCCACCGTGTGCTGTAGACAGGACATCTGCTGGGATCCAGTTCTTCATGAGCCCCGTTCTACTGTCCCGACCGTCCTTCTGTGGCTGGCACGGCTGCCTGGTAGAGAGCAGGTGATGTCTGATCCAGACACCAGACTTGGGAGGAAACTTCCCGGTTCATCCAGAATAACCCCTGCTTCTGGGTTAGACAACGAGACAAGAGAGTCTGGATGCTAGCCCAATTACAGAACTGAGAAAGTGAAGTCTCTTGGCCTCAGTTTCCCTGTGTGCAAGGAGCATAATTATATGTACAGTCAGGAGTTGTTCAGCCTAATGACTGCTTGCGAAGCCCCGTGAGATGACTCGATTAGGACCTCTGGAAAGGGTTCTCACCGGGACTTGGCCTTTGGTTCTCGCTCCAAGCTAAATGCAGGTGAGTCACCCTGGCTGATGGAGGCACGGATCGGCCAACACAAACAGGCCTGTTTGCAGCAGGCTCCGAGCAGGGTTGGCCCCACTGGATTGACACAGGGCTGTGTGGCTCGTCTATGTCTCTAAACCATGAAAGCGTTTTCCCTGCAGGTGCCCCGGCCCAGGGTAGCTGAGGGTGCTGCAGAGAAGGGCGCCGCCTCTAGCTTCTGATGTCTAACGCAAATGCTCCATATACATGTGGTGTTTTCTGACTTTCCTTAGAAGCAATGATGATGCCGGGCCCAAATCTCCACCCTTGGATGTTTAAAACTCACTCAGCCATGGGCACTTCACCAAAACAGTAGTAGTAATGATAATAAACTTCCCACTTCCAACATCCCTCTCCTTTGAAATCCCACTAAGCAGCGAGGTCTCCCAGCATGGCCAGATGACCAGACAAGGCTTATCACACCCAGAACCACTTAGCACCTTCCAGAGGGAACGGAGCCCTAGCTGGATTGAAGCTGCAGGGGAAAGGGCGGGAGATCCCACGCTGATGTTCCCAGGCCCAGGCAGGCAGCTCCGATTTGCTGGTCTTGCCCCCAGATCCTGTTCCATTTGAAAGATGACGCAGGAAGGAGACAAGATCACTCCCTTCTCCAGGGCGCTGCTTGGGTGAAGCCTGGGCTGTCCTGTGGGTGTTCTTTGTTTCTGTCTGGAGAAGACAGGACCGTGTACCACGGGTGAGGGTGCTTTCCAACTCTGCAGAGACTGGCATTCTAACACAAAGCATGCCCCTCTTACCACAGCACTGCAAGGCTGGCACCACCTGCAGCAGACAGCGCCTTGACAGGGGACCGAGGGGCCCTTTCTTACCGTGGAGGACATTACAGTAGTCGCGGGATTTGCACGGATAGAGGGAGGGAGGTGTCTGGGTAAGCCGTGGAGGTCCTCCTTCCTCACTGCCGTGCCCCCGAGGACACACAGGAAATGGCTCTGCTGACCCCTGGGCCAATATTAAAGCTGGGAACAAGAAGGCAGGACTCTAGGGCTCAGGTGAGCTCACCTAGAACAGCTTATACAACAGGTCCCTGCTCAGGTCCTTCCAAAGCCACCTGTGGCAAAGCAGTGGATGATGGCTGTAACCATGGGTGGAGGGTGGCGTGAGTTAGTGCCGCCACTATATGTCATGAAAAGCCTGTCCTAGGACACCAGGATAGAGGAGATTCTGCTTCCAGCCCGGTGAAGCTCCCCACTGAGCTCCCAGCCCTGCCCTCTCTCTGGAACCAGCCTTGGCTGCATCTGCCCTGACCCCCATCTTCCCTTGAACTTCTGTGATCTGCATCCCAGGGTCAGGCGGTGGAGTGTGGCCTGACTTTTCTGTTCCGTTTGACTTGGACATCGGAAGACATTGCCTCTTTAAAGACACAAAATATCTCTCTTCTTTTTTTGGTGGGGAGAGGGAGTGGTCTGCATCTCTCTGTGGAGTCTAGAGCAGGGTTGGGTAGAGATGCAGCCCAGGGATGAAAGACAGATGGCCTGGGCGTGCAGGCACTGGCTGCCTCTCTTGTCATTTATGTTAGTTATGGTGACACCAATTATGACCCAGCACTTACCGGTGTTCTCATTATATAACCCTACCCGCGCTTCCCAGGGGTTGATCCTGTCATTAATGCTCCCATTTCACAGTTCGGAAAACTGAGGCCAGAGAGGTCAAGCAGCCTGCCCAGGGTCCCAGAGGCAGGGCGGAGCCGGTCAGCAGCCTGTGCCCACTGCTTCAGGGCCGGGTTCCTTGCTATGTCTCTGGCTCTTAGTGTGAAGGAAAAAACCCTTGACGAGAGCAGTTTGAAGTTTGGCTTCTGAGCTGTTGTAAGTTAAAAAAAGAACAAGGGCGGTTTGCCGTGGGGTAGCTGAGGAAGCTGATGACCTAGTCCCTTTTATAATGCTGCCTTGAGACACACACACACAAAACACAAAAACACTGACTTCCTTCTGATCACAGAATTAATACACTCATTATATAAAATGTATAACACACAAAATACGCATACATAGAGAGAGTGAAAATCTCATAGGGGCCCGCCACCCAGACTCTGTGCCCTGTGACTCTGTGTGCCTCTTCTGGTTTTTTTTCTGAAAGCCTGAGCACCCCGATTATATATAATTTCCTAAGTGTGATCTTACTGTACATACCTTTCCATGGCCTACTTTATTTTTCAAGTAAGATTTCATGAGCATCTTTGCCCAGCAGGGAACATTCTTTAAAAAGGTCATTGTGGTGGCTCGTCGACGTTCCATTGGGTCAGAATTTTTAATGAATCCCCCAATGTTACTGGACATTTAGATTTTTCCAGTTATTTCCAATTTATTTTTACTTCTCAATGTCATTTTCAATCTTTAATACAATATAACATGTTAGAAAAGCCATCTAGCTTTGATTTGGTTTTCCAAAAATGCTTGGTGATTGGAGTTCCTGGCCCTAGAGCCGGAGGTTGGATGTGGTGTCTGGTTTGTGGCACGCACAAAGCGAAGCTTAATCCTCGTTTCAGTTCTGGGTTCAGAGTGCAAGCTGACTGCTTATCCAGTTTTGGGGTTGGGCTCGGAAGGTGGGAGGAGGTAGGCCGCACGCCACCCCAGTCCCCTGGCCTGATGGACAGGTTTCCAGAGTGAAGGGAGGTGCCAGAGAGGCGGAGACACTCTCCCAAGGACACACAGCAGTGATGCCCAGAAGGGAGCTGGAGCCCCACGGCCTACACCCTGGTCTGGGGCTGTGGCTGTGGCGTGCACGTCCTTGTCCCTTTGAAAGTTCGAAGTCAGGCTTGTGCCATATTTTTTGCAATCCATGACCTGTGAGTCAGCCCTTCTCTGACTTGCGTATTTGGAGAGACGTCAGCAAGCCACGGCCCCCAGCACAGGCCTCAGGAGCTGTGCATATTGGTTTGCACAGTGTCTCTTTCCATCTTCAGCAAACGCCTTTCACTGTTTATCCTTGCCACAGAGGGAAAAACGTTCCTGCAGGCAGCTGCTTCATGTTTCCCATTCACCTCTACCACCGGGAAAATGCCGCTTGAAAGGCCTGGGATGAAAATTTCTCTCCTAAGACTCTTTCCATCTTTTACAACGACAGAGGCGTGTTATGGCCTGAGTTTACCATAAACACAACTGGAAACAATATGACAGCCTGTGGGGACGTGGGGGAGGCGAGGGGGGGTGTCTGCGGAAAATACAGGGACAGATGTGTTTCCTCTCGCATGGACTCTGAGACCACAGTGCCGCTGCGAAACCCCTTTTTCCAGGGCCCCTTGGATTACAAGACAGTGTGCTGCTGGAAACATCTCTTCCCACAGTCATCAGTTAACCTGGGCTGGGTTAAGTGAGGCAGGAGGGCTTTGGAAAAGGGGCCGGAAGAACCTTCTGGGTGGTCCGCCTTGCGAGGGTGGGGCTGGGGCACCAGGGAGGTGTCAAGAGTCCGGTTCCCATCCCTCCCACCCACGAGAAACTTCTCAGGAAGGAGGACGTCGCTCCTGGCAGGAGGGCGTGCTCGGCGGTCCTGATGGTGGAGGCCCTGCCGGGGCCACAGGGTCAGTGGAAGCCGAGGCATTCCACACTCTGCTAGTTTAGAACCACAGGCAATGAGACCCAAAGACCTGACCACTCAAGCCCTTCCATTGCTCTACAACCCTGGCAAAGGAAGTGGCCTCTCTGAGTCTCCCATCTCTCACCGGAGAACGTCAGTGTGTGGCAGTCAGTTTTATGTGGGCAGGCTTAGCGTACCTGGAGACGAACCCAAGCAGTCATCTCAGGGTTGCTGGGCAGGTGTTTTGGGGATGTGGCCGATGCCTACAGCCAATAAAGGAGCTTGCCCCTGAGCATGTGGGAGCACATCACGCAGCCCACAGAAGGCCTTCCGAGGGGAAGCAGGTTTCCCGAAGGAGGAGAAATTCTGCCTCGTAGAAATCCTGCCTGAGGCTCCAGCCGCCAGCCTGCCTTATAGATTTTGGATTTGCCAGCAGCCACAATCGTGTGAGCGAAGGCCTTCAAACAAACCCTTCTGTATCGACCAACTGGCCATACCCGTATTTACACCGATATCCCCAGCGTCATCTATGTTTGCCTTCTGCCGGCCGCATCTCCGCACAGCCTTCATGGACGCACTGAGTTAGCCACTAGAGCTTAACGAGTCATCTACGTAACGCACCCCGCCCCATGTCCAGTCACAGAGGACACCTTGGGTCATGACAGTGACAAGGTCGACTGTGCTCAGCCAGGTTCGTTCTCGGAGTTCACGTGACCACACATGGAGCCCCCCCCCTCCCCAGATGCCAATGTAACGTTCAGACGCTGAGCATGGACCCTCGCTGCCCCCTCTGCCCGCGGGCCGCTTGCCGCCGCTCTGCCCTGCGCCTGGCCGGCTGCACACCAGCGGAATTTATTTTATCTTGATGAGCCTGAAATAAACTCTCCATTAGGAAAATTGTACATTTCTGGCAATTTAAGACAGAGAAAAAGAGAAAGAGAGAGAGTGTGTGTGCAAAAGCTTGACTTGCACTTCAGACAACTGTAAAAAAAATCGATTCCCGGAGCGTGTGTGGGGAGCTTGGGGAAGGAGCCCCATTGAACTAGGTCTTTGGATGAAAATTGTCCTGGTGACATGCTCCAGGTAAAATAGAAAAAGCCCGTTTATTTTCTTCTTTAACAATCACGCTGGATTCTGAAATTAAGCTCTGGGGCAAGAAGATCTCAAAAGATATCCCTTGGCCAGATGCAGTGGCTCACACCTGTAATCCCCCAGCACTTTGGGAGGCTGAGGCAGGCAGATCACTTAAACCCAGGAGTTCGAGACCAGCCTGGGCAACATGGCAAAAAAACCCGTCTCTACAAAAAATACTAAAAATAGCCAGGTATGGTGGTGCACCCCTGTAGTCCCAGCTACTCTGGAGGCTGAGATGGGTGGATCACTGGAACCCGGGAGGTTGAGGCTGCAGTGAGCCATGATTGTGCCACTGCACTCCAGCTTTGGTGACAGAGCAAGACCCTGTCTTAAAAAAAAAAAAAAAAAGAAAAGCAAGCAAAGAGATCCCGTGTTCACGTGTCATTAGCTACTGTTATCGATGGGGACCTAAGCCTCTCTGTTCACCTCCCCCTCCTTTTTTACCTCCCCATCTCTGTTTTCACTTCTCATCTTTATGCTCAAACTAGGTATGATTCACAGCCAAGCTGACTCTCCACTGTCTGGCTTTCAGACAAATCTTTGGTTATATTCTCACCCTCTTCTCCAAGACCCAGGAGCCACCTCCCCCTTTCCACCTGGCTATCATCCCATTCCCGGATCTGCACCCCAGCATCCAAGCACTGGGGCTGGCCCCTGGCCTCCAAGCAGCTTCACCCCTGAAGCTGCACGCGGCCAAGTCCGAGCCCGAGCCTACTTATTCTCCATTTCATGCAACAAATTTCTGGAGACCTGGAGCCTTTGAATCACCCACAGAAAACACCTTTCTGACTCAATTCTTCTGAAATGCCCCAGGACTGGCAACCGAGCCAGTGTAAGCTGGTTTCTGTAGCGGGTGTGCCCATACGCTTTCAGAAGTGGCTCACTGTGCACCCAGGGAAGGCCAGGCTCAGAAAGTAAACACACCGTGTTTCTTTTAGGTTTAAATGCGCATTTTGAAACACGGAGACTGTCCTGTTTTGTTTAATTGTTATTCAGTCGTTTGTGCTGCCAGGAGGTCAAATACAGTTCTTACCACCCGGGAAGCTGTCTGGGCGCAGCTGCTCTCTGGTTCAGGAGCTGTTTAACTGCACAATGACATGCAAGACGTGGGCATTGCATGGACCTGCCTCCAGGCGTTTTGCTGCAGGTGAGCCGCTGGCTTGTAGCTGCTTGCAGATCTCTGCCAGCGAGAGATTTAGTGCTTCCAACAACATACGAAAACTGGCCCAAAGGCTTTCGCCGAAATAAAAGACGGCTGTTTACCACGGTTTGGACAGTATTTGTTTGCAGATGTCTGCGAACTGTCCCTGCAGAGCCCGCCATCATTTCAGTTCATGCAGAGAAACCGCTCTCATTTTATTTACTAGATGTATTAGTTTCCTGGGACTGTTGTAACTGAGGACCACAAGCTGGGTGGCTCAAAACAAGCAACATTTATTCTTGCACAATTCTGGAGGTTAAAAGAAGTCCGAAATCACGGTATTGGCAGGGCCAGGCTCTCTCTGGAGGCGCAGGGGAGGCTCCTGCCTCGCCTCCTCCTAGTTTCTGCTGGTTGTGGCAACCCTGGGTTTGTGGCCACATTGCTCCCATCTCCGCCTCTGTCTCCACGTGGAGTCTCTGTGTCTCTTCTCTTATGATGACATCGGTCGTACTGGAGTGGGCCCAGCCTGCTCCAGTATGATTTCATCTTAACAATTACATCTGCAATGACCTTGTCTTCAGACACAGTCACATTCTGAAGTCCTGTGTTTCTAGGACCTCCACTGATCTTTTTGGGGGATGCAGTTCAACCCACAATAGTAATCCATGTTTTATTCCATGACTTAAAAACATAAGCTCCTTGGTCAAACTAGAAAAGCAGACAAAGAATATGGAAAGTCAGACACTGAGAGTGGGGGGGTCACAGGCACCAATGCCCGTCGGGGCCCAGCTGGGAGCATGAAGGAGGGTTGAGTCCTGGGTTAAAAACACCCACCCAGCACATCCAGCTTGGGTTGTGCCTGGGATAGAGTTGTACGTGCAAGAAACGCCCCAGTCTTCCCTAACTCCACTATGAGGAGACATTTCAGAGAAAGTGCAAGTGTGTGGGAAAAGTTGGCAGACTTCGGCTCTCAGGAACGGAGTATGAGGGAGCGGTGAGGTCTGTGGCAAACTGGACTGTCCAGGCCTCCTCTAAGGGGCAGCCCCAGGGAATCCCAGCCAGTTACTCCCATGGAAGAGGGTGGCCAGCAGAGCCTTGAGGCCTTGACTCCTCAAGGGAAGCTGGACAACTGGGCGTGGGAGTGAAATGACCTGATTTGTACGTCTTGGTAACAAAACAGGATTTGTTAAGAACTTAGGGTAGACAGAGGCATCTGTAGGCAGAGCTGAACCTCTGAGTGTCATTTTGTTTTTTCTGACTCGTAGAAAGGGGAAACTGAGGATGACCTGGCGGGGGGATTGTGGAATGCCTTCTGTGGCAGGCTTAGCCGTGGACTCCAAGACATCCAGGCCCTAATCTCTGAAACCTGTGACCATGTCACCTTCTACAGCAAAAGAGACTTTGCTGATGTGATTCACACAGCTTCACGTACCTCTATGTACATGTCAGGCACACAGATACACATGAACATAAACAGATACAGAAGCGCACATACACATGCCCACACATACACACATATCACCCAAATACAGATATACACATGTGCACACACACATGCACACATGTACACACACATCACCCAAATACAGACATGTAAACACGCACACACATATGCACACACACATAGGCACATACACACATGCATGCACATACACACATCACCCAAATACAGACATACAAGCATGTACACACACATACAGGCATGCACATGGATACACATCACACAATGCACATACATGTTCATGCATATACAACCACACATGTATACACCACACACATATGACAATCTGCATACCCATCTGCACACATGCACACAGATTCACACATGTATAATACATCATACACATATACACTGCACATACACATATCACAAATATACACACACTACACATAAACACACACGCACATATATGTACACAGATACACATGCACATATGCACCTACACATATCATACACATACATACACATGCATGTGCACAATCACAGGGTTAAGCTCCACACATGTACACACATATACACGTGCACACATACACACCTGTGCACACAGGCACACACAATTTACCTACATATAATACACAGCACACACACTTGCACTGCCCATACATATATCACAAATATACACACATACACAGGCATGCGCATACACACACAGATACACACATATGTGCATGCACACATCACACACATGCAAATGCATACCCATGCATGCATAACCATACATGTGTGCACCACACGTGTACACACATAAACACGGACATCTGTACACACATGCACACACACTGAATAACAAACATATAATACACAGCACACACACACACGCACACATGCACACATCACACACACACACCACACCCCCCGGGCCCCAGGCCTGCATCAGCAGGGATATGCTGGGGAGTGCTGTCGGTGTGCCTGGTCCCAGGCTTGGGGGGTGCATGCTGCAGAACTCCGCCTGCCCTGACCGCCCTGTGCTTCTGCAGCAGGGATAGCTGGGTAGTGGCGGGGGCACCCCATCGGCCTTGGCACCAAGAGGGAGTTCTCTGCATGAGGAGTGGGCTGGGGACCGTTGCTTGCAGAAACAGGAGGACCTGGTGGCTCTCACCTGGGCAGAGGGCGCAGAACCGGAGAACTTTGCCAGTACCTCACCCAGGCAGAGGGAGCAGAACCCGATAACTTTGCCAGGACCCAGCTGCAGCTAGGTCTTCTCCTCCGAATGTTCCTCCTACTTGTTCTTCTGCGTCTTTCAGGTCCCAGGGGAACGCTTATCTTGTTCATCTGCTTATTTTTTTTAACCTTTGCAGGATCCCTTTTAATGTGTTTTAAAGAGCAAGCCTGCATTTCCTGCCTGGCCCGGGTCAAGAGCCCAATTCTCCGGGGCGCCTCGTGGTGCTGGGGAGGGAGGAGCTGGCCCCACGGGAAGAGTGTGTGTCCTGGGGCTGCCGGCCTCACGCAACAGGAGCCTCTCCTCTCACCGCTCTGAAGGCTTCAAGTCCAAAGTCAAGGTGTGGGCAGAGAGGCTTCTTGTGCAGGCTCCATGGGAGCATCTGTCCCAGGCCTCTGTGCAGCTGTGGTGTGTGGTGTACCGGCAGCCCTTGGCGCTCCTAGCTGTGGTGTGCCGGCAGCCGTCGGTGTTCCTCGGCTTGTGGAAGCATGATTCCACTGCAGTCTCCGCCTGTGCCTCCGTGTCGCCCTCCTGTGTGTCTCTGTGTCTGCTCTCCTCCTTCCCAGAAGGACTCTCTCCCTGGATTTCATGCCCAGCCTACTCCAGTGCGCGCTCTTTTCCGTCCTTACCTTCATGACATCTGCAGTGTCCCCATTTCCAGATGAGGTTACATTCGGAGGAGGGCATGACTTTTGGGTGAACACTATTCAATGCTCCACAAAGAGCATTCCAGGAAGTGTGGCAGGGGCTCGATGGTTCAGGGGTGCTGTGGTCTAAGGTCCATGCTCTTCCCTGGTCTTGGCTTCTGTAAATGCCTGGCTTCCATCTCACCCCTCCCCGTGGGGTCCAGAGCACAGACTCCGGCGAGAAGTTGCCTGAGTTCAAATCCTGGCTCTGACGTTTCCTAACACGGGGACCTCGGAGATGAGCTGTGCCTCGGTTTCCCCATCTGTAAGCATGAGGAGAATGGCGACCGCCTGGACCTCACGGGCTTGCTGTGAGCCTGGGATCAGCCTGTACACATGAAGGGCTCCCAGCAGAGCCTGGCAGAGTCTCACTCAGGTGCCCACTTCCTTTTCCTCTGACTCTGGGCAAGTTGCTTGTCTGCAGTAAGCCTCAGCTTCTCTGCGGTAAAATGAGCCTAACAATACCCTTTCACAGGGGCACTGTAAGATCAAAGGGATCATTTCTAAGTGGCTGGCTCCCAGTCGAGGCGCTCAGTAAAGGTCAGCCATTATTACCCGTATATAATGAGTTCCTATTTCTGCTGTAACAAATCACCAAGCCAAGGGCTTAAAACAACACAGATGACTCACCTTACAGTCCCGGAGGTCAGGAGTCTGAAACAGGTCTCACGGAGCTAAACTCAGGTGTCACCAGGGCTTTGTCCCCAGGGAGGCTCCAGGGTGCGGGGGGAAATCCATTTCCTTTCCTCTTCCAGCTTCCAGAGGTGCCCACGTTCCTGACTCCCGCCCTCCATCCCTCCGACCTCCGCTTCCCTGGTCGCCTCTCCTCCTCTGCCTCCAGCCCTCCTGCCTCCCTCTTCTAAGGGCCCTGGGGATGACATTGGTCCCACACAGAATACCCAGGAAAATCTCTCCAGCTCATTTGCGAGTCCCTGTAACCCTGTAAGGTGACACAGTCGCAGGTTTCAGGGATGAGGGTGTGGACATCTTTGGGGAGACCCTTAATCCACCTCTCACGATCCCCAACAGAGTCTTCAAAGAGCACTGTCCCTCTGCTGTGTCAAACAGAATGAATAGGCCCACCAAGAGCTGCTCTCTGCCTGCACAGACGGCAGCCGCAGATCGTGCCTGCCTCCTGTTCAAAGCCACCCATGTTCTGGGAAGGAGGAAGGAGCACTCACTCGCTCATTTGGCCGGTCCTGCTGAGACAGCCCTGGCTCTGCCCAGGGTGCTCGCTCTGCCTTGCCCAGTGGCTTCAGGGGTCCCTGGTCAGCAGCTGGACCCCTCCCCGCTGGCTGGCCTCAGTACCCACACACAGCACCATCTGTGCTCCAATCCCACTAGTCTGTGGGTTACACCCATGCACCCCGTAAGCACTTTTTGTGTAAACTATTAATAAACTCTTTAAAAGCTCCCAGATGGCATCACATAGACGCATTATGGGTGCTCAGCCAGTCGGGCTGAATATATGAATGAATAAAAATAAAGGACAATGGAAGAAGTCACCTGGCTCTATGTTTCCTCTTCCTGGCAGAGGAAACGTAACTCACACAGGACTAGGGGAGGTCTGTGGATTCTAAGCACTCCTGCTGCTTCTAAGTGGAAGTCTGGAGTCCAGGGAAGACATCAAAAGTCACTCTAAGGAAGCTGAAACACAGGGTATCCAGTCCAGGGGCTTGGAGACACGGTGATGGACAGTGAGAAAACAGGCAGGCTTGGTTCAGCGCCTGGAGACAGGCAGAAGCAGGGAGCTCCACCTCCCATGGGCTGGAGGGACATCGGGAGGAGCTATGTCACCTGACTTGGGCCCATCCGAGCTAGAGCCAAGCACGGCCACCTGGACAGGAGCAGGAACCCTGGAAGACGCCTGTCCCATGAGGAAAAGCTGCCTCCGCAGAGCAGAGAGAGAAGGAGAGACACCGGCTTCTCCCTGCTCCTGGCCTCCAGATTTCTGCTGCCAGGGCCTCCTTTGTTTGACCCCACCTAGCAGCCAGACAGTGAGGGAGGCAAGAAGGGTGGTTTCCTTTCATGCCCAGCAGGGCCCAGAGAGTGTGGAGTGGACTCGAGAATGAACAAACCGCTCCAATTTTGCTGGGGAGGATCCCAAAAAACCTTTAGAATGCCCTCCACCCCCACCCCCTCACAGATGGGTGGGGTTGTGGGTGTGGGCACAGATGGTGCCAGGGAGATGGCATCTGTCTAGAGTACAGGAAGAAGGTGCCAAGGGCTTTCAGGATTTGGGGCCACTCCTGTTCTTTTGCTAACTTTATCTGGATTTCTCTCTGAGGAACCTAAAGTTCTTTGCACGTATCCCCTCATTTAATCCATGGAACAGCCAAATGATGCCCATTTTACAGACTGAGAAACTGACACCAGGGACACCCAGCTGGGACTTACATACACATGGTGCAGTTGCCAAGCCCTCTTTCCGCCTGTCTGGGAGGCCCTTGCCAGCTCATCCGATGGTGCCATTGCATGGCTGACCCCGCGGAGCTCTGGGCAGAGGTATCCAGGGGCTCTGCTGCTGCTAATCACAGCGTGGACTGTGCCCGCAGGCCGCCTGCACCCACTGTGAGCCATCCGTGCACACAGCAGGGCAAGTAGCTCATCTGCAAACACAGGATAGGCAAAAACGCAAAGGCAGGAGTTAGCACCAAGGTATCGGGGGCAGGTGAGAGCCAGGTGCGCACCCCCGGCCTGAGGGGTCGTCTCTGATGCAGGCAGCCAGGAGCAGACGAAGGAGCCAGCCAGCTGGCTTCAACTCTTGTTTTGCTTCACTTCCTAGCTGGGTGGCCTTAGGCACATTTCTTGTCCTCTCTGCACCTCTGCAAACTAATCCATCAAGTGGGGAATGTCATAAAAGCTGTCTTAGAAGTTGCTGTAAGTATTAAATATGAGGAAAAAAGCTAGAGAGCTTGGCACCTAGCACGCCCCTCCAAATCATGAACTTGAATGTCTTCCTTTCCACGCTCAGACCTTTCAGTGTCTGGGAGAGGGCCCGGCATGCAGGCTCTCCGTCCTAGGGACCTGTGCCTCCTGACGCCACAGGCCATCTCTTTTAAACACTTGCTATCTTTGTCCACCTTGGCTCTTTCTGCTCATGTCATGGGCGATGCCTACAGCCAGCGGACTGCTTTGGCTAACACACAACTTTCCAGTGGATCTCTTGGACAGATGTCTCCAGGATGTGACTTTTCCAAGACAGTCATCACCGGCTCCCTCTTCCTGCTTCTTCCTAATTTTTATGTGGGTCATCTTCAGGGCCTGTGGGTTCCATGGAAAGTCATCTCCTATCACGAGGAAGCTGGTGAAATTCCATGAGGATGTTTCAGCATGAGCTGTTCTTCCTGATCCTTTTCCACGGATTAGCTTTGTGTATCCCCACACCTCTACGAAGCTTATATTTTTATTACTATTATTATTATTATTAGCCTCCTTTTGCAGATAAGGAAACTGGGCACAAAGAGAGTAAGTTGTGGACCTGGGTTTGCCCAGCTGGTGAGTGACAGACTCGAGCCTCACATCCTGGCAGCCTGGCTCCACATTTTTCTAATTGAAATTTTTACAGAGATAATTGTAGATTCATAAGTAATATAGAGATCCCATGTACCTTTTAGCCAGTTTTCCTAATGATAACGTCTTGCAAAATGATAACACAGCCTCGTGGCTAGAAGACTGACCTTGATCTAGCGTCACTTTTGTTTGTTTGTTTTGGGTTTGTTTATTTGTTTGTTTTTGAGATAGGGTTTCACTCCTGTCACCCAGGCTGGAGTGCAATGCCATGATCCGGGCTCACTGAAACCTCCGCCTCCTGGGCTAAAGTGCTTCTCCTGCCTTAGCCTCCCAAGTAGCTGGGACTACAGGCACATGCCACCGTGCCTGGCTAGCGGCTAATTTTTTTTTTTTTTTTTGTAGAGACAGGGTTTCGCCATGTTGCCCAGGCTGGTCTTGAACTCCTGGGCTCAAACAATTTGCCCACCTTGGCCTCCCAAAGTGCTGGAATTAAGGTGTGAGCCACCATGCCCAGCCTGGCTTCACTTTTAACCACAACACTGCCTTGCCACGCAGGTTAAAAGGTTGATGGTGATTCAACTCCAAACCTTAGGTCCATCTGACCACTTGTAGTGATGCTCCATTATACTTAAGGCCACATATGAAAACTTTCAGGGGCGTTGAGTAAGTCACCTCAAAGACGCTTTGGCTTAGTGTCCCATCTGGGTCTCATCCATCCACCATCTGTCGCACACCATGCTCCTCAAACCAGCTGAAACACCACCTGCCATCCCACAGGCTCATCTCAAATGGTGACTCTGACCCCAACCCTCCCATCGAGAGGAGGAGCCTGTATTTCTTCCCCTTGAATTTGAGTGGGCTTGTGATGACAGAAGTGATGCTATGAGGATAAGATGCTTCTGAGGATAAGCCATAGACAGTAACAAAGCGTCCTCCTGGTTCTTTTGAAGATACTACTCCTGGAATCCAGCCGCCATATTGCCAGGAAGCCCAAGCTAGCCCATGCGGAGAGACCACATGGAGAGGCCACGTGAGTAGGTGCTGTGGTCAACAAACCAGCTGAGGTCCCAACCCGCAGACAGTCAGCCACAACCACCACATGTGTGAGTGGAGACACCTCCAGGTCTGCACTCTAGCTACTGAGTCAGCCCTGGACACACACGAATGCTCAAAGCCGAGGCCCCAGACCATGGAGCGGAGCGAAAACAGCCCAAGCATGCCCTGTCCAAGCTCTGGCTGCTCAGAAGCCATGAGTAAAATCACGGTTGTTTTATGCCATTAAGTGTAGGGTGTTTTCTTGTCTAACAACACCATCCTGCAAACACTTCTTGAGCACCTGCTCTGGGCCAGGCAGGATGCTAGGAGCAGGATGTCACAGTGAACGGCCCAGACACAGGTCATGCCCTGTGGCATCTCCATTCTTGTGAACACAGAAGATGAAAGATAGTCAGGGTTTTGCCTCTCTTCTTGCCAGGATTTGTTTTTGTTTCTGTTTTATTTTATTTTTAAGAGGGGGAAACTTGGACTCAATCCTTTTTGGGCTTTGATGCTCCTGCCAAATGAATTAGTCAAAAGTATTTTAGTCTGGCTGTGCCAATTTAGTGTAGCCTAAGCAGAATTAGCTGTGAGTCACCTTCTGTTGCTGCGCTGAAGGACTGACGTCCCCTGGGTGTGTGTGTTTGGCCTTCAGTACTGTAGCGTCTGACCCTTGAAAGTGGGGTGATATTACAGACACTGATGGGAAAAATGGGGTGGGGAGGGGCTTGGGCCCTGGCCTCTGAGTCTCATCGGGATCCGCACCTTTGGAGCCATTTCAGACCATCTGAACAAGGTCTTGGGGTAGCTGGAAGAGTGTAAATCATCGCTCATGGGAGGGAAGGACTTGGCTTGGGTGACAGTCACAGAGCTCAGCCGTGACGGGCGGTGCTGAGGGGTGGTGACCAAGCCACGCTCAGCTGGGAGCTTTGACTGGCATACCCTTCTCTCCAGCTGAGCAGAGGTCCTACCCACAGCGTTCCCAGGGCTCTTCCAGGGGCCAGCTGGGGATGGCAGTGGGCGGATGGAAAAAGCCGATTATTTCCCTGGTTCAAGGCCAAGGCTCAAGTTTGCAAACTCTGTGAAAACAAACACAAGAGTGAATGTTCCCAGTCCCAGCAGGACAGAAAACAATCAGGAGGGATTCCCAGAGGGCGGAACCAGGCCTGGGAGAGACCCCAGGGTGAGGTGCCCATGCCCAGGCCCAGGAGGCGGACTTTCCCATCGGAAGCAAGGGTCGGTGGTGACGTCCATGCCTCGTGCTGGAGTGACCGGGACGGGTGAACCCAAACACTCAGTGGGAGCATCATTTCTGCAAATGGCATTGCAGATTTTCAAACACTGCCTCATCAAAGGGCTTCCAGATGGCCTTTTGCAAAACCAGTGAATTGTCAATATTCCCACAGGAGACATTTGTTTTGACACTGAGCATCCATCTCTCCCATCTCCCAGAAACGGGGTTTTACATTTTTTCCGGGGAACTCATCTCCCCTTATCTCAGCCCTGTGGCTCTGCAGGGATGGTCATGTGCAGACCTGGCCAGTCAGAGCACTGCATCTCTTTGGCCACTGTGATTGGGTCAGGGATAGGCATGTGACCCAGTTCTGGCCAATAGCCACCAGGCTGAGAACTTCAGTTCACACAGGCGAGAAAAACAAGGTTCATTTCCACTGGGCTTGAAGCACAGAGGATATCAGCTGGGAAGCCTGCATAAGGGACATCATGGGGAGCAAACTGCCTGAGAATGAGGACACCTGGAGGAGAACAGGGCTGAGAGATGATTTTGACGATTGCATTTGAATTTAGCCGTGCCCAGATCCTTCTCCTGCCATCAGAGTCAATGCATTCCTTTTCTTTTCTTCCTTTAGACATTTGAGTTTGGTCTTAGGAACTTGCAACTGAAAAAGGCCTGGGTGGGAGAAAAAAAAATCCTATCTCAAAAATGATAGAATGGGTCTTCCAGGAGAATGTGCATCTCGCCACAGAATAGGGGGAAGAGGCATGAGTTCGTCACTGGACGAGACTCTATGGTTTCCCTAATGAACTACCGCAAATTTAGTGGCTTAAAACAAGCCACTAAAATAAGCATGTTTATTTTCTTACAGCTCTGGAGGTCAGAAGTTCTGCAATCAAGGAGTCGCCAGCTCTGTGTTCCTTGGGGAGGCTCTCAGGGAAGATCCAGTCCCCTCTTTTTTCAGCCACTAGGAGCACCCACGTTCCTTGGTGTGTGGCCCCTTCCTCCAGCTTCAGAGCCACCAAGTTCTCATCTCTCTGACCCTTCTTCTGCCATCCTGTTTCTCTGTGACCACAGCTGGGAACAGTCCTCCAACGTTTAGTGCCTCTGTGGTTAGACTGGTCCCACCTGGGTAATTCAGGAAAACCTTTCCATTTCAGGGTCCCTAACCCCTACTCACATCCACAAAGCCCCTTTTACCATGTAAGGTGACATATTCACGGGCCCAGGGGCTTGGATGTGGACATTTTGGTTGGGGGTGCCATTATTCTGCCTACCACTGTCACTCAATTAGCAGACATTTATTATGCACTTGATGTGGACTTCATATTTGTTGAGGGCTAAAGGGGTTGTAAAAAAGTTTTTAAAAATCAAGAAAGCTTGATGAAACACCCAGTGCAGCAGGCTGCACCAGTGAAGGTTTGATATTTTGGGAATATCAAGGGTGACAGAACGGCGTCTCCTGAACTTATGGGCAACCCTGGAGCTCCCTGTCGTCAGCTGAAACAAGCATCTCTTTCTTTCTTTGATTTTTACGAAAGACACATCCAAACGAATGCAGAGGCGGGTGGGACCCTTTCCAAGCTGGGCGTTGGAGCGTCTCCAGGTGATGCTTTCTCCCAGCCAGCTTCGCTTGGCCACCCCCACCCCTGCCCTTCCCTGCCCTGACTGCGGCAGAGGCCCAGGTCCCCTTCTAAACTGCGTGAGGCTTCCTGTTGCTGGGAAGCACAGGCCCCAAGTGGCTGTGAGGTCCGTGAGCCAAGCGTGGGCAGGAATGACACGCCCAGGAGGAGTCATCCGAGGTGCAGGGGATGGCCCGGAGGCGGGTGGGTGCAGCCCAGCCTCACCCCTGTGTGCGTGTGTGTGTGCTAAGGGCAGGCTGGGCTCGCCACACCGCCCTTCCTCCAGATAGGCCCTGCTGGTCACCAGCCACACATGACCCAGCTGCTCAGTGACTCCACCTCCAGGCAGGCGCTAGGATGGGTCCCAATGCATCTGGCATAAAATCCACACCCTGTGCCATGGCCCCTGAGAACCCCTGGTCTGGCTTCTCACCTCCTGAGGATCTCCTCCTGGTCCCTTTCCCAGCCCCCGTGACTCCGGGCCCTCACAGACCCATCCTCTGTTCCTGGAGGACTCCAGCCCACTCTCCTCCACCCTGCAGCCTTGGCACGTGCTCTTCCCCATCCCCAAATGCACTTTCCCAGGGAGTCCCACAGCCATTCCCCGCCATCATTCAGATTGCTTGTCACAGGTCACCTCCTCAGGACGCCTCCGTGATCATTCTTTCTAACATTCCAGGCTCCACTATGTTTTCCTATTTATTTCATTCTTTTTCTTTTTGAGACAGGGTCTCACTTTGTCCCCCAGGCTGGAGTGCAATGGTGCCATCTTGGCTCACTGCAGCCTTGACCTCCCAGGTTCAAGCGATTTTCCTGCCTCAGCCCCCCAAGTAGCTGGAACCACAGGCACGCGCCAGCACGTCCAATTTTTTTGTACTTTTTAAAGAGACGGGTTTCGCCATGTCTGTCAGGCTGGTTTCCAACTCCTTTTTTTTTTTTTTTTTTTTTTTTGAGACAGTCTCGCTCTGTCGTCCAAGCTGGAGTGCAGTGGCACAATCTTGGCTCACTGAAACCTCTGCCTCCCGGGTTCAAGCAATTCTCCTGCCTCAGCCTCCTGAGTAGCTGGGCCTACAGGCGCACACCACAACACCTGGCTATTTTTTGTATTTTTAGTAGAGACAGGATTTCACCATGTTGGCCAGGCTGGTCTTGAACTCCTGACCTCCTGATCCACCTGCCTCGGCCTCCCAAAGTGCTGGTATTAAAGATGTGAGCCACTGCGCCTGGCCTGGTTTCCAACTCTTGAGCTGAAGCGATCCACCTGCCTTCCAAGGCGCTGGGATTAGAGGCATGAGTCACAGGCCCCAGCCCCTGTTTCATTCTTTAGAGTGATTATCACTATTTCCAAGGATCCTGTTTTTCTTAGGTCACTTGCCTCTTATGTCACTGCAGCGTAACGGCCTTGAGGACATCATTTGAGTGTCTTTTTTACTTGTTGCCAAGGAAAATGCTTGACAGAGAGTAGGTGTCCAACAGTAGCCACTGGGTGAGTCGGAACGGGTTGTGAAGGTGACCATCTTCATCCTTGGTGTGGGAGCCTCTGGCACCTGCGCCCTGGTGAAGTCCTCTCCCACACGGAGTCAGGAGATAAGAATGCACACCTTCCAAGTTTACACCATCCAGGTCGTTCTCTCCCACACGGAATCAGGAGGTGAGGATGCATGCTTTCCAAGACTACACACTCTAGGCCATCCTCTCCCAAACGGGGTCAGGAGGCAGGTGGGACCCTTTCCAGGCTAGGCATTGGCACGTCTCCAGGAGGTAAGGATGCATGCCTTCCATGACTACACCCCCCTGGCCGTCCTCTCCCACATGGAGTCAGGAGGTAAGAATGCACACCTTCCAAGTTTACACTATCCAGGCCATCCTCTCCCACATGGAGTCAAGAGGTGAGGATGCACGCCCTCCAAGGCTACACCATCCAGATCCTTCTCTCCCACACAGAGTCAGGAGGTGAGGATGAATGTCCTCCAAGGCTACACCATCCAGGCTGTCCTCTCCCACACAGGGTCAGGAGGTGAGGATGCATGTCCTCCAAGGCTATACCATATAGGCCCTGCGGCTCTGCCTGGTCTCCTGGAACACGTGCTTCCAGAGCTTTCAGCCACCACAGAAGAAATACTTCTACCTGAGGCCAGCATGCTGGCGAGGCCATGTGGATAGCCCATAGTCCTAGCTGAGCCCAGCCTTCCAGCCCTCCCTGCCAGGGTGTGAGTGAAGTCACATGGACCCTCCGGAACAGCCTCTTCTCAGAACCAGATACCTCCACATGGGCCCTGTCCAGGCCAAGGAGAAAAGAAGAGTCACCCAGCCCAGCCCTGCTGAATTCCAGACCCATGGAATTGCAAGAAAACCATGTTTTTAAGCTGCTAAATTTTGTATTTGTTAAAGAGCAATAGAAAATCTGAAATCTGAACATTAGGTTATTTATATAACAATGCACCATAAACTGGGTGGTTTATTAATAGCCCATATATATGTATACACACACACACACACACACACACACATTTTTTTTCTTTATCTAGAACAAGCTTGTCCAACCTGTGGCCCATGGCCTGCATGTGGCCCAGGACAGCTTTGAATGCAGCCCAACACAAATTTGTAAACTTTCTGAAAACATTATGAGAAATTTTTGTGATTTTTTTTTTTTTTTTTTTAGCTCATCAGCTATCGTTAGTGTTTGTGTATTTTATGTGTGGCCCAAGACACTCAGTGTGGCCCAGGGAAGCCAAAATTTTGGACATTCCTGCTCTAGAAGTTTCTTCTTCTTCTTCTTCTTCTTTTTTTTTTTTTTTTTTTTTAAAAAAAACTCTAGTGGCCACAAGAAGAAAATAAATGCCTGCCATAAAACAAAAACTTAACAGTTCTAGGAACTTGGGCCTGGCAACCCAACTTTTCATTAAGTCTAAGATACCATTGATTCCATTATTGTTGCCATCTAAGACTAAACCATGACACAGCACCCCAGCTTTAGAGGGTGTTAAATACGAAGAAGGTGTCTTAGAATTAGTGAACAACAGTGAGTTCGCACATCCTAGTGCAAATGGAATCCGGCAATTATTCCCAGCAGAAACGCAGCCCCTGTCGGGAGCCCTGGAGACAGCCTGGCTTCCCTTGCACAGGCATTCACCGTTCAGCCTTGCCATGGCTCTCCAGCTGCTGTTGGACGTTGGGCAAATTGTTAACCTCCCTGAGCCTCAGTTTCCTCATCCAGCAGATGGGGTAACCGTGGAACACACGTCCCCGGGCTGTTGGGAGGATTAAGTGACATGATGCGTGCAAGGCACTTTGCACCATCTCTGGAACCAGCAAGCACTCAGGAAACGCTAGCGATGATGGTGATAATAACGATGGTGATGGCAATGGCTTTTTTTTTTTTTTCTGACATGCCTTCCTTGTCCATGCTGCAGTAACTATTCCATCCTGGCTGAGACTGGGCATGCTTTCTGCTTCGGGTCCTTTCTGCACAGTGGGCAGTTTATAACCTCAGCCAGCTCTGCAGAGGGCAGAATGCCATGGTCCAAATGTTTGTGTCCCTCACAAAATTCCTATGTTGAAATTCTCGCCTCCAAGCTAATGGTTCTAGGAGGTGGAGCCTCTGGGAGGTGATCAGTCATGAAGGTGGAGCCTCGTGGATGGGGTCAGTGCCCTTAGAAAAGAGGCCCAAGGGAGCCCCTTTGTCCCTCCCACCGTGTAACACACAGCAAGGTGCCTGCGTCTATGTGGGAAGGACCCTTGGCAGACACCAATCTGCCTTTATCTTGGATGTCCAGCCTCAGAACTGTGTGAAATAAGTTTCTCTTGCTTGTAAACCACCTGGTCTATGGTAGCTGGTTACAGCAACCTGAACAGGCTGAGACCCACAGATTTACAGCCTCCTCTTCCAGAGTCTGACTCCCTCCCCCTGGTTTTGTCTTTCCTGAAGCCTTCTGCGCCCCGTCCACACTTGCTTCCCCACCCCCCTTTCTCTGCCTTCAGTAGTTGTTTATAATTCAGTTTGAGACAGTAATTTAGAAATGACCTTCTCAAGACCTAGTTGGCATGGGATAAATTATTTTTCCCTAGGGCATTTTATTATTATTTTTGTTTTGTATTATCCTCTTATAATTCATTCACAAAAGCCTGACCTCTCAACAACTTTGTAAACTTCTCATTGACTCCAGGCTACTGACGACTCTTGCTTACCAAATGCAGGCGAAGCTGTTCAGAAGTACAGCGCATCGCTGGAAGATAAGGAATGGATCTTCTGTTGGCAGCATGGAACTGGACCTGGATGACATCAACATTTGCCAATAAATGTGAGTTGAAGCTTTTGTTAAAAAATGGAATATGGAGAGTTGAACCTTCATTCAATAATGATGACAGCATAATGAAGTAGACACTGTTATTTGTCCTGTTGTTCAGATACAGAGACTGAGACACGGGAGAATGAAATGGGGTACTAATGTCGTCCTAGCTACTGTGTAGGATGACACATGGGGTTGGGCTTGGTAGAGGGTATTATGATTATTAGCATGGTTTCCATTACTGCTGTGGTCATTGACGCTGTTGTACTCTGTTTTCCTCCTAGCATTTGGACACATTCTGTCTGCCTGGAGACATTCTGGAAGCACATGCAGGAGAGCCTTGTGTGCCATCTGGCTGCAGTTGGGAAAGGCGAACCTCCCCCGTTTTTGATACTCTTTTTGAACCTTCCCAGTCCACAGAACCCAGTTCCCACATTTTGGGTGGCCAGATTCTCCTCTTCTATGATGGGGAGGACTAAACGCCCTTCACCAACATCCCTCTCAAAAAGCATGGCCGGGAGACTTGCTTTCCTATATCCCTTTAAGAATTTGGGGCTTGATTTTCTCCACTCAGAGGAAGTTGTGATTTAGAAATTTCTGTCCCTCTGTGTCGAACACATAATTAAGATGATGGCCAAGAAATCTGGTCCAATTTTCCAAGTAAAAGCCTGGCCACCGAATGCCCAGCTGTTGATGAAGTTTCCATTTCAGACAGAACTCTAGCCTTGCAAACATTTGGCCCATAAAAGAGTGGATTTTCCCATGGTCAAATGAGTCACTGGGAATATTGACTCGTCTTTTAAAAATCAGAGGTCACTTAAAAAAATTGAGTTGAAATGCATGTAACATAAAATGAACGACTTTAAAGCACACAGTTCAGTGGCACTTAATATCTTCACAAGGTTGTGTAAACACCTCTCTCGACTTCCTAACATTGTCATCGCCCCAAAGGAAAGCCTGAACCTGTGATCGGTCACTGCTCACTCCCCTCTCCCGAACACTCAGCTCCTCCCCCTGGCTCCTCTGCTTTCTGTCTCTGCAGATTTTGCCTCTTCTGGGCATTCCGTGGAGGTAAAATCACATGCTACGTGGCCTTTTGTATCCGGCGTCTCTTATCATGTTTTTGGGGTTCACCCATGTTGTAGCATGGATCAGCGCTTCCTCCCTTTCTGTGACTGGATGATATTCTGTTGTGTGGATGGACCACAGTTGTGTATCTATTCGTCCACTGATGGTCATCTGGGCTGTTTCCACGGAGATCGCTTTTAAGGAGAGATCAGAAACAGCTCTGGGCTCAGGGGCACTCTGTGAGCTTTTCTGTTACTCCCCCCAGTCCCCCAGGGGATCCAGTTCACACAGAGGTGTTGAGAGAGTCGGTCCCCACCGTCTCCACAGACCGCAGACCATGGAATCTGATGGTGGACATATGTGAGGCTCCAGAGAGGCGCCTGCAGTGCGGGAGGGCGTCGGTGGAGCCTGGCAGCCCACCCCACCCTCAGAACAGCTTTTGGCCTCAGGAGCAGCTGCAGAATTCAGGCCCCGCCCTGCAGTGACCAGCCTGTCCGGGCTCCGGGGTTCAGTCCAGGTCAGGCCCCACGGCCGCTGGTATTGGGCCGGGCTGCCAGGTCTGGAAGTGCTGGGGAGAAGGAGACTGCAGCCAGGCACCCGCAGGGCTGGGCTGTTACGGTGGGATCGTGAGAAGGGCCCTGAACAGGGATCTGAGCCCCCTGTTTAGCTGCATTCCTTAAAAGTGGTTGTGAGTAGACGGGGTCTCTAGGTTGAGGTGTGAGCTCCCGTCCCCTCCGTGATGCCTCACAGGGCTTGTTGTGCGCGAGGGAATGGTGTCCTCCGGCCCAGCACACGGGCAGCATCCAAGGCACTGGGTCAGGCGACCAAGGAGCTACCTGCACTTTCGCCAGCCCAGACAGGGGACGGGACACCGGAGGTCTGCTGCCAGTGGGGCTTGCGTGTCCCCTCTGAGGCCAGACCTGGGGGTCTGCACGGTGCAGGGAGGGCGCAGCTGGAGAGGCCTGTGTGACCCCCGTAGAGTGTGTGGGTGTGGGTGTGTGTTTCACAGTGTGTGAAGATGCATGTGGGTGTGTGTGAGGATGTGTGTGTGTGCATGGGTGTGTGTGTAAATGAATGCCCCACTGTATGCATGCCTGTGAGCGTGTACGTGTGTAAATGTGGGAGTGAATACGAGTGTGGGATTGCGTGAGGGTGTGAGAGAGAGGATGTCTGTGTGTGTAAGGGGAACAATCTTAGCCTACACGGCAAGTCGGCCATAACCACAGCGACGCTCCCCACGTGTGGGGCTGCTGTGTGGATGGTGCTGGGCCTGGCGATGGGATGTAACTTGCACCCTGGCTTGGAGGGGTGTGTCACGGGGGGTGTGTCACGGGGTGTGTGTCACAGGGTGTGTGTCACGGGGGGTGTGTCACGGGGTGTGTGTCACGGGGTGTGTGTCACGGGGGATGTGTCACGGGGGGTGTGTGTCACGGGGTGTGTGTGTCACGGGGGGTGTGTCACGGTGGCTCCATGAGAGGCCTGAGAGCAGCAACCACAGCCAAGTGAGCAACCCTCAGCAGACAGCAGTGTCCCAGCAGTGAGCCGCTACTACACACCAGCCGTGTGCCCAGCTCTCCCCAGGGCCCCAGATCCAACACAAAGGAGAGGGAGCCGCGCTCATCTTCATGGAAGGGGATGAAGCCAAACCCGCCGTCGTCACTGAGGAGGGCTGCGTGGGAGGCGGTGCCGATGGGGTGGAGGTGAGGATGACATGAAGGGTGGCACCCTGCATTTTTGAGCTTTCTCTGTGCCAGGCACCAGGTTTCAATCGTGCCTCCTTAAACCTGCACCCAGCCCTGCAAGCTAGGTGGTATCACCATCCCACGTCACAGTTGAGGGGCAGAGGAGCCTTGGGGACAACTAGGAACTTGCCCTAACTGCCCTCTTGCGCCAAAGTGAAAAGCGGGGCTGGAAGGGAGCTCCAGAACTTGGAGCTCATATAATCTCTGGCAGAGCCACGCCAAAAAGTACAACCTTAGGGGCCCCATCTGCTGAGGCCAAGGATACCATCTCCTGCCCACATTGCTACACCCCAACCCCGGGTGCCCCCAAGCTAACTAGACTGCAAGTTGCCTCTCGTGACTTTTAAGGGAAAACGAGAGAAGGAGAGTTCATCCACAGCCATGATTCCTTTGATCCCCTCACCTCTCCTTAATTGCATCGGGAGTTCATGCCTTTGTGTGTTGGGGGCGATTACTCTAATTTCTTGCAGCCCAGCGAGAAGTAAGACATTGGTTTTTGCCAAAACTTGCTGTGTGAGCTGCCAGGGATGTCACATCCGGAAATTTTGTGATGAAGAAACTTTTGAAAAAAATTAAAAATCAAAGGGAAGTTTGGGGAAACAGGGCCAGGGGATTTTCGTCTAGTTTCGCCCCAGGAGCTGCTCTCACACCCGCCTGCCCTGTAATCTTCTTGATTCGTTCTGCTGGAGGCAGGCGGTCTAGGAAAAAGCTGAAGCAGGGGCAGAAAGGGAACGTGAGTGAGAAGCAGGTCTGCTGGGGGCCAAAGGAGGCGGGGAAGAGATTGGATGGGGGTTTCTTGGGGGATCCAAACCCTAATCTGGGTGTGGGCAGCTCTCAGGACAGAGTGCTTCCTGTCTGGAGTCCAGTTGCTGCACCTGGTCCCTGTGTTCATGCCGGACTCTCCCAGGGCAGGACCCTCCCAGCCTAGTGGCTGACTGGCATCGGGGGCAGGGCAGGAGAGGGACTCTGGCCGCGTGGGTCTCCTGTGGCTGCTGTAACAAATAACCACCAACTGGATGGCTTAAAACAACACAACTTGACCTGGTACAGTGGCTCACGCCTGTAATCCCAGCACTTGGGGAGGCTGAGGAAGGAGGATCATTTGAGCTCAGGAGTTCAAGTCCAGCCTGGACAACACAGCAAGACCCCGTCTCTACAAAAAATAAAAAAAGAAAAATTAGCCAGGCTTGGAGGTGCACACCTGTGGTCCCAGCTACTCGGGAGGCTGAGGAGGGAGGATAACTTGAGCCCAGGAGGTTGAGGTTGCCATGAGCCGTCATTGCACTATTGCCACCATTGTTGCACTTCAGCCTGGGCCACAGAGCGAGACCCTGCCTCTAGAAGCAAAAACAAAAAAGCAACCAACTTCATTTTCCTACAGCTCTGGAGGCCGGAAGTCTGCAATGAGTCTTTCAGGGCTGAAATCAGGGCTGGCTGCACTCCTTCCAAAGGCTCCCAGGAGAGTCTGTTTCCAGCCTTTTGCAGTTTCTGGAGCTGCCTGCATAACGCAGCTTTCGACCCCTTCCTGGGATCACTCTGGCCTCTTGCTTCCTCCTCTGACCTTCCTGCCTTCCTCCTCAAGGACTCCTGTGATTACATTATCCAGGATCATCTCCTCATCCCAGAGTCCTTAATCACAACAGCAAAGTCCCTTTTTCTATGTCAGGTGACATGTCCAGAGATTCCAGGGATTAGGATGTGGACATCCTTTGGGGGAAACTACAGGCTCAAAACCAAAAGGGAAACAGCCCACTCGAATGGGGTCTCTCCCCCGTGCTTCTTACAGTGAGAATCTGCCTCCCTTTCTGCTCACCCTAGATTTCAGAGCCAGCCTGGGGTGCTCAGGCCAGGAGTAGCACACGTACACAAGTGGCTCGAGCCTGACCCCCTCTTTGGGGCCCCTGGTGCTCGTGCCCCAGCCACAAGGCCGGTTCTCAGAGTGGAGCTGTCTTGGAGGCTCTCATTTGCTGTGAAGGAATAATCCTGGACAAATGCTTTTCATTAAGGAGCCCACGAGACACAATATCAACCTAGCAAGAGGATTAGGCTTTTGCAATGTAAACAACCTAACTATAGAGGAAAGAGACCCTGGCTTTCTATGAAGCTACCTGGAAAACAGCAAATTTCTTTAAAAAAAAACACACACACACACAACAACAACAACAACAACAACAAAAAACAAGCAAACAAACCCTACTAGGTTTCCAAAGTGAGGGGGCAGACAGGGCCCCACCTCCACAGCTCAGGTCTGGGAGCCCCTGCGCCATGCAGCCCCGCCCACCCTCTGCCCTGCTGGGTCTCAGAGATGCCAGAGGAGTTCCTGGGAATTCCCCTGGTACTCTGCCAGCCCAGCAGCCCTCCCACCACGCCCTCTCCCCTGAGGCAAACAGCACCCTAACCCTTCCAGAACATTCTTTGTAGTCACAGAGACAGGGCTGGCCTGGCTGGGTGGATTCAGAGCCCCCGCCTCCTCTGCAGCCTCTTCTCGTCCCCCACCCTCCCACCCAGCTTCACGTCCAGAGAAGGTTGTTCATCCCTCAATGAGGTTGCGCCTGCAGCCCCTGCAGGTGGGAGGAAGGGCCCGTCAAACTCCCAGACCCCCAGCTTCAGCCTCCTGGAAGCGCTTTCTAAAATGAGTCTCATAGTTCCTTATAAACCGCACGATTATCTCTAGGAAGTGGCACTGGAGCGGTGGCCTTCAAACAGAATTAAATCTTCGAGGTATAAGTAGCAAATCGCTCTCCTTCCAGCCCCGTTGGCTTCAGACCTTCCTGAGAGCACACCACTGCTTCTTTTGAAGAAACCCTGGTGTTCCAGGTTGGGCAAAGTCAAGTCAACTCTCACACTTTCTGAGTGCAGGAAAATAAAATACACTACAATTTTGAAATCTTATTTTGGCCCATATTTCATGTTCTTTTTATTTATTTACTTATTTATTATTATTATTTTTTGAGATGGAATCTTGCTCTGTCACCCAGGCTGGAGTGTAGTGACTCGATCTCAGGTCACCGCAACCTCCACCTCCCAGGTTCAAGCTATTCTCCTGCCTCAGCCTCCCGAGTAGCTGGGATTACAGGCATGCGCCACCACGCCTGGCTAATTTTTGTATTTTTAGCAGAGACAGAGTTTCAGCATGTAGGCCAGGCTGGTCTCGAACTCCTGGCCTGAAGTGATCCACCCGCTTCGGCCTCCCAAAGTGATGGGATTACAGGTGTGAGCCACCGTGCCTGGCCCCATATTTTGTTTTCTAAACAGACTGTGACAAACTTGAGAGCAGGCCCTGGGCCCCTGGTGACCTTCCAGTGGGGACCGCAGACCCCAGCCCGCACCGCCCTTGCTCTGGCTCTGAGATGGCCGTGTGTTTCGGAGGAGAGGGATGACCTGCAGCTGGTAGGGCCCCAGGCCAAGCCCGGCCTCTGGTGCCTCTGCTCCAGGGTCAGCAGCCCCCATGGGGAGGTCAAGGGTCTGCCCTGCCCTTGGGCCAGCCCAGGGGGCATGCCAAGCTCCTCCTGGCCTCTCTGCAGGGGCTCTGTCAGGCCTCCCTGCTCTTTGAAGCCACAGCCTCAACCCTGCAGCTCTGGAGAAAGGCTGGGCAGGTCAGTGAGGGGAAGCCTGAGCCGGCTCATGCTCCAAGATAGTGTGAATGAGACACACAGCCCAGGCCGCCTCTGTATGGCAGGCCCGGAGCCCTGCCCATCTGCCCAGCTCGCAGACGAGCCGAGTGAACCCCTAGAAGCACCCAATGGTACCCTCCACTGTGGAGAGCTGGCCGTAGAACAGTGTTTGTCCCCAGGGACCTTCCTGCAGGCAGTTGCTGAAGTCTCAGCCTATTCACCCAATAAGTGTTTGGGGAGCCCCTCCTGCCTGCCGGGGACAGGCTAGGTTCTGGGTGCAGCTCGGAGCCACACAACATCCTACCCACGGACCTTCCAGCCCAGTGAGCGGAATCCTGACCCTGCCTCCAGCTAGACCTGCAGATAGTTCCATGCCCCAAGTCCCGGGCAGGGGTCCTGACAGCATCTACCGTCTAAGAGTGGGACAGACGGCAGAGGGGGCTTGCGGGAGGCGGCGTGGCCAGAGCCTGCTGCCTGCCGCATCCACGCAGGCTTCTATGAGCAAATGCTTTCTCAGGCAAACGAAACAGACTCCTCCAGGCTGAAGCTGAAGCCGGAAGATGAGCAGGCGTTGTGCGCAGCTGCCCAGGAATGAGGGAGGAGGGTCTGGGCATGGGAACTGGAGGGAGAGAGGGAGGGCAGGCAGTCACGGCCGACACGGAGGGCACACAGCCCACCTGCCCGCCACCGCCCTAAACTCTGTGCACACATCGGCCATTTCAGTCCAGGCCCTGCGTGGTCGGCCCAATTGTTGCCCCCACGTTGCAGACGAAGAAACTGAGCCCTGAGAGGCTGAGAAACCTCCTTCGGGTCACAGAGCTTGTGGGTGGCAATCGGGTTTCTAGCCCTGGCATTCTGCCACCAGAGCTTTCTGTATCTATTATAAAGTAAGATATAATCCACAAGCCACAAAATTCACCAGTTTAATATGTAAAAATTTCATGGTGTGTTTTTTTTTTTTTTTGTTTGTTTGTTTTTTTTTTTTTTGAGAAGGAGTTTCGCTCTTGCCGCCCAAGCTGGAGTGCAAGGCGTGATCTCGGCTCACTGCAACCTCCGCCTCCTTGGTTCAAGCGATTCTCCCGCCTCAGCCTCCTGAGTAGCTGGGATTACAGACATGTGCCACCATGCCTGGTTAATTTTTTGTATTTTTAGTAGAAACGGCGGGGTTTCACCATGTTAGCCAGGCTGATCTCGAACTCCTCATGGTTCTTAAAATATTCACGGGTCTGGTGATTATGGGCACTACCAAACTTTAGAACATTTCCATCACCCCCAAAAGAAACCACGTACCGACTGAGCAGTCACTCCCCACGTCCCCGTCCCCTCACCCAGCCCGTGGCACGCAGTCCTCTCCTTCCAGTCTGCACAGGCTTTCCTCCTCTGGACACTTTACACACATGGACTCAGGCCATGTGGCTTTCCGTGTCTGGCTTCTGTCTCCAAGCATGTTTTCCCGGCTCCTCCAGGCTGTTGCTTGTGTTGGTGACGCATTCTTTTTCGTGGCTGAATCATATTCCGTCACATGTGTACACCACGTTTATTCATCCAGGCATCCATTGAAGGACTTTGGGGCTGTTTCCACATTCTGGCTCCTGGAAATGGTGCTGCTGTGAACATCCCTCTGTGTGTGCATCTGGGTGAGGAAACGCGCTTTCATTTCTCTTGGGTGGACTGGTCAGGTCATGGGGTTCTTCTGAGTTTGACCTTTTGAGAAACCACCAGACTGTTCCACACAGCAAACACCCGTCCTTTCATGGGCACTCCTCTGTATGACCCCAACAGATGCCGCCAAGGAGGCACCGTTAGCATTGGGGCTGATGGACACCATGCCACCAGATCCCACCGGTTGTGGACACAGTCCTATTCCCCAGCTGACCTGACAGTGGAGGCCTTGAGGCTGAGTCACCCCTACAGTCTTCCCTGCCCCAAGGTTGTGCTGCTCTGCAGGGACGGCAGGCCTCTGGGGGCATGTAGGTGCATCCCCTCTCCTCAGCGTCAGAGGACTCTGCAGGGCCCGGTGTCAGGGACTCTGGGGGTTGCTGCTGCTTCCATGGGGCTGCACCTACCTCGATGTTTCCCATCACCCAGCCTGCCTCTTTCCTCCCCAGCAGGTGCTGTCCCACACCCCTCCGGCTGTGTAAAGAATCCTTCCAAACTCTGGGGGCTTAGAGCACGGTCATCTTATTATAAATGACAGAATTCTAGACACATTGGAGTGGTTTCCATGCAGAAAGAGGGTGTGGGGCTGGCACCCGGGGAATACGCAGCTGGGCCTGGAGCACTGGGCTCTCTGGGCCGTTCCAGCTCTCGGCAGCTGCTCCATGCGAACCTCCAGAGTATGCCCCAGAGCACCTGGACTCCCTGCACGGTGGTGCACACATCCTAAGTGTGCCTGCTGAGAGCACTGGCAGAGGATGTGTCACCTTTCACAGCCTAGTCTTGGAAGCCAGGCAGCCCTGGTCCTGCTAGACTTCATTAGAAAGACAGGCACAGAGATCCAGTTTAAGGGGAAAGGGCATGTTTTAAATACAGTGTATAATAGAACATTTGAAGTATAGTAAGGCCAACAAATCAGGAGATGACGGCCTTTGAAAAGATAGTTTGTTACAGTTCCCAAGAGGAGGGGACATGCCACACCATGCCAGGCCATGCCAGGCCACTCGGGAGCACCAGATAGAGCAGGAGGCAGAGGCAGAGGGAGAAGCTGTGGGCCAGAGCCTTTCTGGGAATTTCTGTAGGAGGAGCAGGTGATAGGGTTTGGCTGTGTCCCCACCCAAGTCTCATCTTGAACTGTAGCTCCCATAATTCCCATGTGTTGTGGCAGGAACCCAGTGGGAGGTAATTGAATCACAGATGTGGGTCTGTCTTGTGCTGTTCTCGTGGTAGTGAATAAGTCTCACGAGATCTGATGGTTTTACAAAGGGCAATTCCCTTGCACACCCTCTCTTGCCTGCCGCCATGTAAGACGTGCCTTTGCTCTTCATTCACCTTCTGCCATGACTGTGAGGCCTCCCCAGCCATGTAGACCTGGGAGTCCACTAAACCTCTTTCCTTTATAAATTACCCAGCCTCGGGTATGTCTTTATTAGCAGCATGAAAATGAACTAATGCATCAGGCAAGGCAGGGTAAGCGTGCTTATCATTGACTGGCCTGAGTAACTCCGGTAGGTACTGGGCCTAGGAGCCTCCCTGGTTGTCTGGTGCCTGGTCTTGGCATGATTGGAACAGGTGGATAATGATCCAGGGTGTGAGAGCCCCGCAGAGGAGTGGTTGGGGTATGGACTCTGGATTGACTGGTTTGCATTTGAAAACAGCACTTGCCGGTGGATTGTTCACTACTGCTAGGCATTGGCTAAGCCCGGGAGGGCCCGTCTCTCCAGGGTCAGCAAGGCCCCGATGTCAAAGCCTCAGGGTACAGAAAATAAAATACACAGTCAATAGAGCATAGACCCCACCCCTTGTTGGAGGACTCACCAGTGCTGGGATGGGAAACACTGCTGAGGCTATTTCTGGCACATACCATGTGCTGTGGGTATTGACCCCAGGGGCATTCCCTGCTAGACATCTGGAGTGATGCTTTCTGGTTTGGTCTCTGCTTCCTGGAGATACAACCAACTAATTTACAGACAAGAGAGAGGAAGGAGTGAAAAATGCTGTCTGGAGACAAAGAGCAATGCACCCATTATCAAAAAGGAGGAACAAAATAAATTAC